>NC_000003.12:160372240-160675270 GCF_000001405.40 Homo sapiens
GTTTATATTATTTCATTTTTGTGTCAAAATTTAGTTTCTCCCTTCAAAGGAGGCAGTAGTCTTGCACCCCCAGCTGCCTTGGCCTTCTTACTTGAGCCTTTAGCATCCAACTCTCAGTAGTTCAGATTTACAATCACCCTCAAAACTTGCAGTCTCTAATAGATCAAAGAAATTTTATAAGTAATTAGGGACCTTTCCTTTTGGGTTACTGTCATTATAACAACTTAACTGCTCTACTGATTTTTCCGGAGATGAAAAAGGAAAAGTCTATGCCTTATGAGGAAAGTATAGATGGCACCAATGATTAAACACTCAAAAATCAGATGCATAGTTCTACAGTAAGTTTGTAATTCTTAGTCCAGAAAAAGGTATCAGATTACTCTGTTGAAATACCAAGAGGTTAGCCAAAATGGGAATATCTATCTAATTTAATTCTGCTTATTAATCCATAATTAACAAACTTTGAGAACAATAAAATTAAAATAGGACAAAAATGATAGTCATTTCAAAGTCATTTGATATTAAGGAAAACACATTTTAAATGTTGATGGGTAATATCATTACATGATATGATGAATACATAAGAAAATCAACTGTATTATATGGTATAATCTGTATTTTACCTTTTAAGAAAATCTTGTTTACCCATCTATGGGAGGGCAGTGAGAGGAAGAGCATCACCATCCCCTCTCTAAAATAAACACTGCACACAAAAACCAACTCAAAATGAATCACAGACCAGAATGTAAACACTGAAATTTCACTGTAAGTGAAATTTTTATGGCATGGGATTAGGCAATAGCTTCATCACTAGAATATCAAAAGCAGAAGCAAATTTTGTATTTTTTGTAGAGATGGGGTTTTGCCATGTTGCCCAGGCTGGTCTCAAATTCCTGAGCTCAAGTGATCCACCCATCTTGGCCTCCTGAAGTGCTGGGATTACAGGAGTGAGCCACGATGCCTGGCCAAAATGTCCTGATTTTTAATATTGGGTCTCCACCATGCTAATGGGCCAGATTAAGCTCAGAGGTCATCTATTTGTGATCTCCAATTCTTCATTGTGAACATGTGCTTCCAACCAGCCTTTCCAAGTCTGGAGACTCTGAATGCATTTTCCCCATGAGAATAAAATAAGTAGCAATTTGGTTTCCAGACTCATTATACAGGAAAACTATAGCACTAAACTACTAGCACTATTATCACCTAAACCAGTGATTCCCAGCCTTTTTGGCAGCAGGGACTGGTTTTGTGGAAGACAATTTTTCCATGGACCAGGTAGGGGTGGTTCAGGATAATTCAAGGGCATTACATTTATTTTGCACTTTATTTCTATTATTACATTGTAATATATAATGAAATAATTATACAACTCACCATAACATAGAATCAGTGGGAGCCCTGAACTTGTTTTCCTGCAACAAGATGGTCACTGCTGGGGGTGATGGGAGACAGTGACAGATCATCAGGCATTAGATTCTCATAAGGAGTGAATGACCCAGATCCCTCGTATGCACAGTTCACAATAGGGTTTATGCTTCTATGAGAATCTAATGTCACCACTGATCTGACAGGAGGTGTAGGTCAGGCAGTAATGGAAGTGATGGGGAACAGCTGTAAATACAGATAAAGCTTTACTCACTCGCCCACCCACTGCTCATCTCCTGCTGTACTGCCCAGTTCCTAACAGACAGCAGACAGCTACTGGTCTGTGGCCCAAGGGTTGGGGACCCCTGACATAGACTAAACAATTAACAATGTTTATATTAAACAACTTATTCCAAGTTTCCATTTTAGACTCTGGAACATCTGAAATGGTGAATCCACAGGTAGTAAATGGGAAGGAGATAACAGAAAAATTGAAGGAAGTGGAAGAAGCACTGGGAGGGCACTGGTGAAGGGTCTCGGGAAAGAATTCAAATCTTCAGACTGGCACAGTGGCTCACACCTGCAATCCCAACACTTTGGGAGGCTAAAGCAGGAGGATCACTTGAGCCCAGGAGTTCAAGACCAGCCTGGGAACATGGCAAAATCCCGGCTCTACACATGTACTCCCAGCAACTTGGGAAGCTGAGGTGGCAAGATCGATTGAGTCCAGGAGGAGGAGGTTACAGTGAGCCAAGATGGTGCCACTGTACTCCAGTCGGGAGACAGAGCAAGACCGTCTAAAAAAAAAAAAAGAAAAAAGAAAAGAAAGAAAAAGAAAAAATCTTCCATGGTGGATAGTGGGATGGGCTTTTAGAATTTCTCTGAAGATCTGTGTCATCTACAGGCAACAAATTGATAGAAGAAAGAGAAAAGAAAGGAAAAACGGATATAGCACTTCAGCTGCTGCACACTGTCTCAGTAGTAACAGCAGCTGAAATTCTTGTAGTTCTTCCAAAAGGCCAGTGATCTCTGAAAGAATTCTGTCAATTATTCATAAGTCATTTGTCACAAAGTGAGAATGTCAAATAATGAGTCTTAAAAGAAAAATCTATGAAGCCAAAAGTAAATCCATCTGCCTACTAGGAGATTAAAGTAAGATTTATGTTCTAAAGGTACATTTATTACTAAAGTAACAATAAGTTGACTTTTGCTGTTAACTGAAACTTACCCACGGCTACTTCTATGAACTCTGAATTTTCTACTCATGAATAAATATTCTGCCTTGAGATTATCTGTAGCAAACATTTAAGCTTAGAAAAGAAATACTACTTAGTATTTCTGGTTACCTTTGCTAACATTCAGTTAATATACAGCTAAAGAAATGCAAGTGATTTGAACCTTATCCTAAAAGTAAACATGGTTTTAAAAATAAAATTTGGAAATTTTTGGAAGTCAGTTATCGAAAATGTTTCACAATATGACTTTATCAAATAGTTCTGAGGAATAGTCAGCAAGTTTTTTGGCAACCTAAAGATCAGCTGATACATACTCAGGTAAACATTAAAACTGCTTACTGTTCCTATGTAAAATCTAATTAAGAAAATCTGTTACACAGAAAAAATCATATGTAATCTAACTTCCAATAGGAAGGACCATTGGATTGACTTTATGGCCACTCCTTTCTATTAACATAAAAAATTAAGATGCTCCTCTAAATAGTGTGGTTTCAGATTCTTAGTGTGTCTGTTCCCCTCCATCAGTATAGAAATCAAACATACAACTTAATTTGGAAAGGGTGTTAATATTATGAAGTTATCGGGGATTTTTAAGTAAGGAGATACTCAATATCTTTTCGTACTATGATTTACTTAACTAGACCTCCAATTCTATATAAGATATGCTTCAAACGTTTCACAATTATTTTTTGAAAATATTTAGCTTGTAACTGCCTTTCTAGAGATTCACTAACATAAAAAAAAGCCCTTGAGTATTTCCTATATTTCTTGGCTTGAAATAATAGTGTTACCATGGTACATCAGGTACCAAGCAAAGAAAGACAAAACAGTGTAAAATATAAGAGATTACTGTTTTGAACTCAACCAAAGTCAGTCTCAACCACCGTATTAGATTGTTTCTAAAGGAAAACTTTAAGGCATTTTTGTATTGTATAATTTGCAAAAATGAAATTGTCAATTGTAAAACATACCTTGCTGAGCTAAAGTTGATCTAAGCATCCCAGTCTTTGACCAAATTTTTATTTGTCCATCTTCTCCAACTATACAGGGAAAAAAAAATTAATCAGTATTTTTACCTATAGAAAATAAATTTAAACATTAAATTTGCATATAAGAATCAACAGTATCTACCGCATATTCTTTTTTCTTCTAGGCTTCCTGAAATCATGGAATATTACTACATATTTAAAATTCAGAAACAGTTTAAATGACAGAGTACTTTATAACTATCATTTAATAGAAATTACGTTGAAACGATTTTATCAAAGTAGCTTAACTTTCATGACGAAAATTTTTATTTCCTTCAATCTTAGAAGACTTGTAAGTATATTACTCAAATAATGTTTCCTTTGTCACTGCAGTCTCCATCTTAGAATTCTAAGAAAAGTGTTTCCAGTGTAATAAGAAGAGCTGCAGCCAAATTCCAGTGAGTTGGGGACTGAATGAAGTGAGGTAATAGACTACTCTTTTGAACAGCTTTGCTGAAAAAGGGAGAAAGAAAATAGTTGCAGGTAGAGAGAGCTGTTTGTTAAGAGAGGGATTTCTATTTCTTCTTAATTTTTAAGATGGGTGACATCCGAACATATTTACATGCTGACAAACCATTGGAAAACATGTTAAAGATACAAGTAAGAGAAGGGCCAATTCACTGAGGAAAGTCCTAGAGAAGGCCCACAGTATAGGTATGGTGGTTTTAAAACACATCCTCAAATTCTTTCTTATTCTTCACTTCAAGAGGCACAGTTTAATTTCCCTCTCTTCCACTGTGGGCTGTACTTAGTGACTTGCTAAGTTAACAGAATATAACTGAAACAGAGTATAATATCTGAGGGTACACTACAAAAGATACAGTAGCTTCTACCTGGCTCTCTTTTGGATCACTGGGAGACACCAGCTGTCCTATTTAAAAACACTTAAGCAACCCTATGGAGATGCCCATGTGGCAAGGAATTAATTAAGGTCTCCTGTCAAAGCCAGAGAACTAATGCCTCCTGCCAACAACCATGTGAGTAAGACATCTTGGAAGTGGATCCTCCAGCCCCAGACAAGCCTTCATATGACTGCCGCCGCATCCAACAATTTGACCAGAACCTCATGAGAGGCTCTGAGTCAGACAGAACCACCCACCTAAACTGATCCCTGACCCACAGAAACTATCAGGTACTATATGCTTATGATTTTAAGTCACTAACTATTAAGAGTCATTTGTTATGAGCAATAGAAAACTAATGTAATAGGTTGAATCATTAGAGTAGGGCAGGGGATTGGAAACAGACAGAATGGGGATAATGGTCAGTTAAATGAGAATATTTGGAATTTTCAAATTTTAAAGAATTACAACTTTTATTTATTCCATACGTGACCATTCCAAAAGCCTTCTTTGACAGAACAGTCTCCAAAGGTCACATAAGAAAATGATTAATATAACATTCTGAATTGTAACATTTATATAGCAGTGTAGAACAATACTATGCCAATTATTTGCTATTACACAATGAAAGACACTATTGCTAAATGAAAATATTCTGTTTCTTTGGAAATTTTTCTTTAAAATATTCATTTCAAATGTCATTTTTACAGACAACTTACCTGTAACTAATGCTGTTCCTTCATAATTCCATCTTCCTGCAAGTACTGCTCCACAGTGAGCTTCTACACTTTTTTCCACTCTTCCTAACTTGGAAATCAGATGAAATTTACCTGAAAGAAATTACATTTGAAAAATCTATTTTATTTATTCAATCAACAAAGCACCTACTACTAGACTAAGTAATAGGCACTAAAGGCATAAAGGCAAATATTAACATTATAATTATTCTTAATATCACATATAAATCTATTGGAAAATAGGCACAAAAACAAAATTATTTAAATATTTTAAAATAAATTGAAAATGCATATGCTTACGTGGTTCAAAATAATTATACATGTTCATAACAGGGAAAAACCCAAATTCATAAACCTTTTGATTTAGTTAATACAATTTAAATACCTATGGTCTGGGTATATGTCTATGCTTCAGAAACGATGTGCCAATAAATATACCACACCTATGGATGAGAAAGTGTTTTAAATTACCAGCTGTATATTACTAGACTTAATAATCATTCGTAAACCACAATGATCCTTTCTTGGCTTCTTGTATCACTTATTCTTTGCACTGTTGACTTGTCTCTCTGACATCTCTTATATAATTAGCTTATGTCCTTTAAAGTTTTACAGTGTTTTTACTTTTTGCCAATATATGTACATACTTCTGCAACTAAGTGGCTTGCTTTTGTCTACCTGTTGCCTGACACAGTATAAAATTATATAAGGCAAGTATTTTAAACTTGGGATTATCCATTTTATTATTTTGGTTCTTCTCCTTTATACCTTTTCCAGCTTTTTTATAGCCTATAAAAAAAAAAAAAAGTAAAGACTGCAAAATTGTGCTTAAATGGAAGACTTTCTTGACATTTCTCTTGACCCTCCCTTGGCCACATCACAACAGAATTTTATGCCCCTCTGATTTATCATAGCACTATATACATATGTCTATTATGTTATTTGTTTCAAGGTTTTATATTCACAGTTCTTAGCTCTGTCCATTGAAAGGGCCTTGAAGCAAATACACCCCATTGGAATGAGCACAGCTAGCACTGTTATCTTGTTTTTTTAAATACCATCAACCACCAGAAAAAGAACAGGTCTCTGTGGAAAATGGCTGATTTGGGGGCTGGGACTAAGAAAGTACAAGATAAGCCTGGAACATCTTGTGCCAGCAAGGAAGTGCTCAAAAAATTATGAGAACACATATAAAATTTAAAAAAAAAAAATCACTGTAGCTGGCTTGATGGGGCTCCCACTGGCCAAATCTAGGGCACTTTTAACATCAAAATTTAAAAATGATAATAATAATATATTTATGAAATAAAATGAGAATCTACAAGTCTAATCTGACCCCAAAAAAACAAATAAATATATGGGCATGGGACAGGAAGCTCTTCCTTGGAGTAGAATACCAACTAATCAATATGGAAGAAATTACGGAGTTGGAAAAATCACCATTTGGCAAACTATCTTAGTAATAAATGACTCAGCCAAGAGTCATCAATAGATGCTAAGAGAGTGGGAGGCAGTTTGATGAAGAAGATAATATTTTTACATAGTCTCAAAGTATCTTTTCATAAATTATTAAAAGGAATAAATAGTAACTTTACAGAGATTAACTTAATGAACATGAACTTATTAACTTATAATTAAGGTTAACATCACCAATAATGGGTCAAACCAACATCATAAATCTCCTAGTCTGATGCCCCGAGTATTCCTGCTAAGGACATATAAATTGAATCTAATCATGAGGAAACATCAGACAAAAACAAATTGAAGAACTATAAAATAACAGGCATATATTCTTCAACACTGTCAAGATCACAAAAGACTGAAGAGTTGTTCCAGATTAAAGGAAGCTAAAGAGACACAACAAAAACAATATGTTATCCTATACCAGCAAAAATAAACTTCTATGGAAAATTAGAATGATTGTTAAAATTTAAATATAAACTATAGATTAGATAATAGCATTGCATCAGTGTTAAATGTCCTGATTTTTATCAACAAATTGTGGCAATGTAACAGAAAATTCTTATTCTTAGGAAATGCATTGAAGTATTCATGGTTAAAAGTACATGTCTGCAAACTGCTCTCACATCTTTCAGAAAAAGGGTGTGTGCTGGGGGCGAGGAGGGTTTGTGTAAAAAGAAACAGAGCCAATACTTTGTCCCAACATATATGGGACAAAATGTTAAACTAGTGAATCTGGATAAAGGACATGCAGGAATTGTTTGTACAATTCTTAAAACTTTTCTGTAAATGCAAAATTATATCAAAATAATTGTTTAAGTCAAACACTCCCTTTATCACCTGAGGTAAACTAAATTCTAGCTGTGGTTCAGGGCCAATCTTCTAAGTGCCAGGCACTCTACCAAGTGATTTTACACATGTATCTCATTTAATCAAGTTTCTGAAAAACAAAGTTTTAAAAAACTACCACAAGTCTCTCGGTAAATAAGGTGTAATCTGATACTACTGTTTGTCCTAACATCCTTTCCATCTTCAGGTTACAAAAGCCCTCTTCTCTTTCTCTTTTCCTTTGCATGTGGATGGCCTGAGGCTGGATACGCTCAATCAGTGTCCCATTGTCTTTTTTTCTTTTTTTTTTTTTTTGAGACGGAGTCTTGCTCTGTGCCCAGGATAGAGTGCAATGGCGCAATCTCAGCTCACTGAAACCTCTGCATTCCAGGTTCAAGCAATTCTCCTATCTCAGCCTCCCAAGTAGCTGGGACTATAGGCATGTGCCACCATGCCTAGCTAAAATTTTTTTGTATTTCAGTACAGACGGGGGTTTCATCATGTTGCTCAGGCTGGTCTCGAACTCCTGACCTCAAATGATGCGCCCACCTCAGCCTCCCAAAGTCCATTTCTCTTGACTAAACTGATTGACTCAGTGATGGGCATATGACCCAAGCTCATTAAGGGTCCCTCTGCAAGCTGCCTGCACGAGATACTGAGGAAGAAGCAGTCTTACAAAGTATGATGAGCCTTGGGCTACTGGCCACCGTCATACTCACCATCATGTTCACCATGTGCAGAGAGTCTACCCAAGAGATGGTGAGAACAGGGACCCGATGCAACTAGTGCTTGATCTACCCCTACAGCTAGGTGAACCAAAAAACTCCATTTGTGCTTAAGTTAGCCAAATAAGTTTCTGTTACTTTCAATCAATGTACTCCTAATTGAAACAGCAGGTAAAGTATAACACAGATGAAAACAGTTCACGTATTTCTAAGAAAACAAATATAAAAACATACCCTTAAAAAGTGAAAAAAAAAATCATACTTGTTATTCACCAATAAGAAAGCTGCGGTCAAATTATAAAACTCTTCAACTCTGTAACTGAAAATTAACATGTACTGGAAAATAAAGTATGTATTTTAACAGATACCTTACTAAATGAATAGGTATATCTTTTCAGTGTGGTTATATTAAGTTAAATTTGAAGAATTTAGGAACTAAAACTATGATAACAGCTTAACTCAACTCATAAGAGTACTAAAAAAGTAAAGCCAGCTGGGCATGGTGGCTCATACCTGTAATCCCAGCACTTTGGGAGGCCAAGGAAGGAAGATTGCTTGAGGCCAGGAGTACAAGACTAGCCTGGGCAACAAGATGAGACCCTGTCTCTACAAAAAAAATGTTTTAATTAACCAGATGTAATAGTGTGTGCCTGTAGTCCCAGCTACTCAAGAGGCTGAGGCAGGAAGATTGTGTGAGCCCAGGAGTTTGAAGCTACAGTGAGCTATGATCACACCACTGCACTCTGGCCTGGGCAACAGAGTGAGACCCCATCTCTAAATATATATATATATATATATATATATTAAAGCCAAAGACCCATATTCAATCCTAGTATATGCCAGTTAAACTAACTTTCTTCCATGACAATAATTTCATAGCCCATACACAAACCAAGTGACTATTCAGAAAAGAAATACAATATGTGGATAAAAATATGCAGATCCACAAATACCAGTTTTGTAAAACAACTCAAAGCATAAATCATACTATTAAGTCTTTTAAATACAATGGCGAGCATATAATGTTTATTTAAAACTTACCATCAGAACTTGTGAGGACAAAGCTTTCTGCCTGGGTTTGTTTCTTTACACCCAAACTTTTTGGAAACCAGTGAAAATCAATAGGGTAAATATCATCAGGAAGCTTTACTATTTGAGTTGTTTCACTGGTTAACAAGTTCCACTTCACTATCTGGTGATCATCACTACATGAATACAGCTCTTCAGCAGTAGTCCAGCCCACACAGCTTACTAATTCTTGATGTGTCACCATGTTAAAGAGACATAAAACATACAAAAGTCTTTAATCTTAATGAATAATTCACAGATGCAGATTATAAGGTATAAGTAAAATAGGGTCAAATGGTTTCAAGATTCTAAATGTATTTTCCATTTTATGACTGGTATTTTTTTCTATATAAAAGAAAATAAGCATCTATTAAAAGAATTGTAAAAATGGAAAGCAAGAAAGAAATCCAGATGCCAAAAGGTGGGGGAGAAAAGATCTGACCACATGAAAATTTAAAACTTGTGTTATACAATATTCTATACACAAAGCCAAAAGGTATACAAAAGAGACTTAGTAGATCAAAAGGTATCAAAGAATCTACACTGAACTGTTGGGGGATAGGTAGGGAGCAAAGGGAACTATACTTTTTTCTTTATATATGTCTGTATCATGTAAGTTATTAAAATAAGCATGTATTCTTTTGCTAAGGAAAAAATAATCAAGTGTCAAAACAAGACTGAAATCTAACAGTAGGCTATCCTTTTCAATCACATATTATCATAACAATTCACCTAGGAAAGAACTTATGGTTTAACAGCTGAAACTAAAATCTTACCAAACTTTTTTTAAATTTTTCATTTTATTTCTTCACTTATTTTTAATTGACAATACCAAACTTTCCTACATTAAAATTAGGAAATAATTCAATTATAATTTACTTCACTTATAAGATGCATAGTGCTGGATGAGATATGATCCCTCAAATTTTTACTTTATTTAACCCATTTTTTCAGCTCTAATTTATCAGAAGAATTTCTATGTAAGCTGAGATGCTCAAGTAGCCCTCACTTCCTCCATCAGGACAGGGTGATTACCCTAGCAGAATTGTGTACCTAAAAGGCATTTCAGTTTGTTATTTACAAAGGATGTTTTCTCTTGCTACGTCTGGATTTCTATATTGCCAGATTATTCCTGGTTGAGTTGTTTGTTCTTATTGTTATGATATAATCCTTTTATTTCCTTCTTTTCTCACCAATACTTTTACTGTCTTATCTGAGCAATAATACAATTGCTTTTTCTAAGGAAATGCAGACAATGCGCCTAATTATTCTAGGATGTTCCAAGATTTTTTAATACTTCAAAATACAATAGATTAAGCAGAAACCAAAAAGATAAAGAGAGATTATAGAAAGATCTTAAGAGTCTGCACAAAAAGGTAATAAAGAGACACCAGAATACTCAAAACTCAAAACACAATCTAAACAAAAGGACAACAGACCATTCCTGAAAAAACTGTTGTATTATTATTGCTGTCGCCTAAACAATGTTAGGTAAAACCTAAAATGGGAGAAGCTTAGGTAAAACCTAGAAAGGAAGAAAACTCACACAAACAAATATGTACACATCTCAAACCAAAAATCATTAGCTTATCCTTATATAAATTGCTATAAGTACATGCCAGACGTCCATGACATTATCTTCAAACTCACAGGTCAACTAAAATTATCGTAGAAATGAGAAGACTGCCAGATCAAGAAAGTCTAAAAACATTGTTATTCTTTGGCTTGAAAGGTAAAGGCAGACAGTAGACATGGTCAAAATCTATAAAATTGTGTATGGTGTGAACTCTTGAAAGCACATTTTTTTTGAAAAGACAGTAAAAACTATTTAAGGGGGAATAAAAATAATTACATCTTCACTTAATAGTTAAATAAGCAAACAAGATAATATAAATGAAAACACCTACCAATTTAAAATGTCTGACCAAATGTTTAAATCAGTGCTTTCCTAGTTCTGATGAAGGACCAGATTTTTCTTTATTTCGAATCCATTGCATATGGATATTTCGTAAGATACAATAAAAATAAAATATTAGAAAAATTGGACATTATAACAATGTCAAATTGCTACAAAAATTTCTCAGCCCTTACTTTCAATTTATTTACCTATTCTTTCACAGACCTGCAATAAAGTCTACAAAGGATACTTTGAGCAGAATTAGTCTAAATGTCTAAGAATGATGATAGTGGGGCCTGTCATATCTCCTTGACACATAACTGGGGACTCTTGCTGACAAAATATAGGGTCATGTGTTTGAGAAAATATTATTAATTGCCACCTTCCCATGTGAAATAATGAGGATCTGACTGCTCAGATTTCCCCAACTTGTCCTTCACTTTATCATGAATGTAAAGAAATAGAGCACAGTGGAATGAATACATGCTAGATCACACTAGCAAAGAAACAGTTTGGTTTAAAAAATGCTTCATTTTGGCCAGGCGCGGTGGCTCATGCCTGTAATCCCAGCACTTTGGGAGGCTGGGGCGGGTGGATCACCTGAGGTCGAGAGTTCGAGACCAGCCTGGCCAACATGGTGAAACCCCGTCTCTACTAAAAATACAAAAATTAGCCGGGCATGTTGGCGGGTGCCTATAATCTGAGCTGCTCAGGAGGCTGAGGCAGGAGAATCACTTGAACCCAGGAGGTAGAGGGTTGCAGTGAGTTGAGATCACACCACTGTACTCCAGCCTGGGTGACAGAGTGAGACTCTGTCTCAAAAAAAAAAAAAAAAAGCTTCTTTTTAAGATCCTACTAAAGTAAACAAAAACTGCTTTTTAAGTATTTAAGTATAGTACTTAAGTAGAGTAAGAAAAACGTCAGTAAGAATTTTAAAATAAGATTTATAGCAAACGGTTCACTTTGGAGAATTACTTACAACACATGATCTTAAATACTTTAAAACAATTTAGGTAAACAGCCACTAAAGGAATGAAAAAAAAAATCTATTCTTCAACTAGGATATAAAATAGAGAAACTTTTAACAATACTATAATTAAGAAAATCCAATAAGATTTATAAGCATTAAAAGGATATGCTTTGGTTCTTTTAAAAGAGATATCTTTAGTCTCATGACTCCACTTCCAGCAAAAATTTAAGATGCCACTTGATTGTATTTACTGTAAAAATAAAAGGAGAGAAAATATAAAGTCAGCATTAAAAACAAATGTACGTATACAAACACAAAAGGCAAACAAAACATCATTGCACCCCAACGAGCACCTTCAGTCCTTCTGACATCAAGTACATGGAAAGAGAAAAAAAACTAGTGGGTGTGCCAATCCTAACAAGGGATGACGGAGAGCTTTGGGCTGAACCCCAGGAGTCCTCTAAACCTGCCTGAGACAGATCTACGCAGAACACCACTAGGTAAATCTGGTCAGGTAAAGAATTTCCATGTCCTGAGGCCAAATAAAAAGATTCCACAAACTGGGAACTCTTCAATTGCAAATCAATTTTGGTCCTGTCTATTGGATACAAATATCCAAGGTGTGATTGAGGGCTAAGCTACAATTCTAGAATCCATGTGGAAAAATACAACATCATAAAACTAGTGGCCCAATCTGGGGTTGACATTCTGCAGTGGGGCAGATACACTGCCCAACAGTTACGGTTACCACAGTGACAATGTGAAAAATAGGTGACTTATTTAAGGAAGAGGTAATAAATTGCTTATAAAAGTTATGTAAAAATCACAGTGTAATTGCCACATAAAAACTTAGGAAAAGAAGAATAACATTCCCCAAACAGCCATATCATCAAAAGACACAAATCATTGCTATGAATATAGTTGTTGTATAAAAAAAAGAGAAATCAAGAAAATGCTAAATTGTCTGAGTCCGATTTACATTT
Organism: Homo sapiens; assembly: GCF_000001405.40. Lineage (NCBI taxonomy): Eukaryota > Metazoa > Chordata > Mammalia > Primates > Hominidae > Homo > Homo sapiens. The sequence continues at coordinate 160,385,380 of NC_000003.12, forward strand.
ACAGAATTCTGAGTAACATCACTAACCTAACTAGGCAAATGTAAATCAAATGAAAGTGTAATTAAAGGGAAAAAATCCTCTTTACTAAGTTGAAAATTACTGCTAACTACATCAAAGGAGGTACTGACTATAGATAAGAATTCAGTAGGCCTCTCTTAGATAATTTCTCATTCTCATGAATCCAAGAACCTTTAGATCAGCAAGCTACTAAATAAAGCTGTATTTCAAAGCACTCTTTTCACTTCTTTCTCTTCCAGTTCTCTTAAGGTGATTTCTGTTGAACTTCAAAAGTATGAAACTATGTGGAGCACAGCCAGAGCTAGAATACAACGTCTCCCAGGCACACTTCTTAAGTTCACTTTTTTGGTCTTTAGGAGTTCTCCACCTTCCTCCAAACTCCCTCTTCCATCAGGCCCCCACCAATTAGACAGGGGAAAAAAGACTAATAACATTTTACGAAATGCTGCTTTTTCACAATAATTGAAATTTACTCAGCTTATAAGGATTTTAAAAGAAGAAAGGCAGATAAATATTTGCTTCTGGAAATGAGAATACAATAGATAACAACAATACACATAAAAACTGAATATACTATTACAATCAGAAACTTAAAAGACATGATGTTATTCTACATCAGAAAACCTCAAACTGCCAAAATCCATAATAATTAGGATAATTCCTGATGAGAATAAATCATAATCCTCTATAAATAGTAGAAGCAGTATGGTTTTTACAAGAAAGGAATCACTAACAATTCAGAAACATCATGCCAAGGAATCAGAGAAAGTAAGACAATGGCATTCTAACACTGGGAAGATTCTCCCTTACTCAGAAAGATTTTCCTCACACAATTCCATTTATCTGAGACCATCTGTATGAATGACATGTGTACTTTCATGTGGGATTGAATGAGGGAATAAAAGAAAAGTAATGTTAAAACATAGCCAATTTGGGGAAGTGCAGAGCTGCCTGAACGCTGCATTGAGGTGTTTTTATCTGCCTAAAGGGATTGATCATGAGGATCTGACTAACCAGTGGTATTGGGGCAGGGGTTGGGTTTAGATAATAGAAAGACAATTTTGAGGGTATAGGTAACTTTGCAACTTTACATAGGGAGCAAGTAGCAGCAACCATGTCTTTGCTACTAAAAATCATTTATAAGTTGTTTTTGGTCCAGTGTGGGTCAACATTTATGAGGCTTGAGAGGAAAAAATGGGCCCAACGAAATCTGAGAGTCCAACCACTAAAATACACAGCAAATCTGGTCACTTCTCAGCACCTCCATCATAATCCAAAGCCACCACCATCCCCTGCCTCAATTATTGCAGTGGCCTCAAAATTGATCTTCCTATTCCTACATTTACCCCTACAAACTATTCTAAATACACCAGCCAGTAATTCTTTTAAAGCTAAGTCAGAATATGAAGGCCAGTATGCCTAAAATAAAATGAGTGAGGGACTGGCAGGAAATTAGGGAAGGAGAGGGTGGGACACAACATGCAGGGTCTTGGAAAGTCATAATAAAAGCTTTAGTTTTTCTTCTGAATGAACCAAGAAGCCAGTGGAGAAGTTATGAGCAAATAAGCAATATGAACTGACTTACATTTTAAATGGATGCAATGGATGGTATACAAAAAAGAGCCTATCAGGAGGGAAAATGAATAAGACTGGACGCAGTAAGACCAGTTAGGATTTCAATACCCCAAAAGAGAAATGAAAGTGACTTAGATAAAGGACAAGGAAGGCAACAGTACAAGTAGCATGAAGTAGTCATATGCTAAATATATTTTGAGGAAAGATTCCAGAAGATTTGCTGGTGAATTCAGTTTAAGAAAAACAGTTGTGGCCGGGTGCGGTGGCTCACGCCTGTAATCCCAGCACTTTGGGAGGCCGAGGCAGGCGGATCACGAGGTGAGGAGTTCGAGACCAGCCTGACCAACGTGGTGAAACCCCATCTCTATTAAAAATACAAAAATTAGCCGGGTGTGGTGGCGCATGCCTGTAATCCCAGCTACTCAGGAGGCTGAGGCAGGAGAATAGCTTGAACCCGGGAAGTGGAGGTTGCAGTGAGCCGAGATCACGCTACTGCACTCCAGCCTGGGCGTCAGAGTGAGACTCAGTCTCAAAAAACAAAAAAGAAAAACAGTAGTAAAAAATGACTGTAAAGTTTCAATAGGTGGAATGGAGTTGCCATTTATTGAAATGAGGAAGATTGAGAAACAGGTTGGAATGGGGTGATATCAAACATTCTGTTTTGGATATGTTAAGTGCAAGGTTTCTATTAGACAACCCAATGGAGAAGTCAAAGAGAAATGAGATATAATACAGTAAGTCTGGAGTCAAGTGGGAAGTTGGAGTTGCAGATATCAATTAGATATCAATTTGAGGGTTGTCAGCAAAAAGATCATATTCAAAGCCATGGAATAAGATGAAATTACCAAAGAGACTATGAAAAAGTGGTAGATTCAATGGCCTGGAAATCCTACTGAAGTCTTTAGAATTGTTGGCATTAAGATTCCAGAAGAAGTTAACTAGCAAAAAGAAGTGGAGATAGACAATGGGATACTTAAAACAGATTTTAGAGCCAGTATAGATATTGGTAATGATAAGATAGGTTATGACTGTGAAAGTGGGTGGCTGAGGTCAAGGAACTGACAGGCCAGGGATTTATTTGTGGACATTTTAATGATGTCAAGATAATGACAAGAATAGTAGTAGAGATAAGGACAATTAGCCGCATGCTAAAATATTCATTGAATGAGGGAAGAGCAAAGACATATGCAGATGACCGCATAAAAGCACAGCAGAGAATGGTTTAATCTGGTAGGACTTGTTTCTTTTTTTTTTTTTTTCAGTGGCAAATTCTTCCAAGCATTTAATGAAAAAATCACATCAATTACAAACAAACTCTTCCAGAAAAGATAAGCCTAAGAAACATTGTCCAGAACATTGCATCAATACACCACCATTACTCTGATATCAAAACTGGACAGGGGCATCACAAGTCAAGAAAAGTACAGAAAAATATCCCTCAGGAGCAAAAATGTGGAAAGCCTTAAGGAACTTTTAACAAGCAGAATCTAGCAATATATACTAAGGAAAATACATCATGACCGTGGTAGGCAAAATAATGGTCTCAGAAAGATGTCATGTCCTAACCCCCAGAACCTATAAATATACATATTATATTATTATATATGTAACATATAAGTATATTACATAAAATATATTTATGTAATTAATAATATATAAATACATTCTATATAAATATATATAGAGAGAAAACGTTAGGTAGCTAAAAAGAACTAATGTTTCATATGGAAAGTAAATTTCATATTCCAGTGATCTTAAAATAGGACAATTATTCTGGATCATCCAGTGAACCCAAATAAATATACAAGGCCCTTAAATGTAGAAGAGGGAAGCAGAAGAAAAGTCAGCATCACAGCAATGTGACATGAGAAAGACTCAACTGGCCATTGCTAGCTTTTAAGATGTAAAGGGGTTACAAGCCTAGTAATGAGGACAGCTTCTAGAGGCTGGAAAGGGCCAGAAAACAAATTCTCCCCTAGAGATTCTAGAAAGAAACACAGTTCTGTCAACACCTTGATATCAACATAACCCAAGTCAGATTTCTCATCTACAGAGTTGTAATATAATAGAGTTGGGTATTTAAAGCCCTTTAATTTATGGTAATTTGTTACAGCAATAATATGAAATTAATACATGGGCCTTAATGGGTGGGACCAAGAATTAAAGCTGAGATAAGCCATTATGAGGTTCCATTCAACCTTTCCAGGCTTAAGAACAGGCCAAATTGAACTGTTAAATGGAGAAGTGATGGGGATAATTACCCTTTTTCTAAATAGATCTCATAATGATTTTCAGTCATCTACTTAGATTTATATAGAAAAATGGTGATTGAAATCATCCTTAAAAAATGATTTTCAATTTTTTATTATTATTATACTTTAAGTTTTAGGGTACATGTGCACAATGTGCAGGTTAGTTACATATGTATACATGTGCCATGCTGGTGTGCTGCACCCATTAACTCGTCATTTAGCATTAGGTATATCTCCTAAAGATATCCCTCCCCCCTCCCCCCACCCCACAACAGTCCCCAGAGTGTGATGTTCCCCTTCCTGTGTCCATGTGTTCTCATTGTTCAATTCCCACCTATGAGTGAGAATATGCGGTGTTTGGTTTTTTGTTCTTCCGATAGTTTACTGAGAATGATGATTTCCAATTTCATCCATGTCCCTACAAAGGACATGAACTCATCATTTTTTATGGCTGCATAGTATTCCACGGTGTATATGTGCCACATTTTCTTAATCCAGTCTATCATTGTTGGACATTTGGGTTGGTTCCAAGTCTTTGCTATAGTGAATAGTGCTACAATAAACATACGTGTGCATGTGTCTTTATAGCAGCATGATTTATAGTCCTTTGGGTATATACCCACTAATGGGATGGCTGGGTCAAATGGTATTTCTAGTTCTAGATCCCTGAGGAATCGCCACACTGACTTCCACAAGGGTTGAACTAGTTTACAGTCCCACCAACAGTGTAAAAGTGTTCCTATTTCTCCACATCCTGGACTTGTTTCAAAGGGACCAGGAGATTTTAGACAGGAAGGAGAAACAGAATCAACTGTCCAGATACAGTAACGAGAGATAAAACTCTGACATATGGGAGTTTGGGAGGCAAAATAGCTTCTACTTGAGAGATCTATAAGAAAAGCAGTTTCCAGGGACAGGCATGGTGGCTCATGCCTGTAATCCCAGCACTTTGGGAGGCCGAGGCGGGCGGATCAGCTGAGGTCGGGAGTTTGAGACCAGTCTGACAAACATGCAGAAACCCTGTCTCTACTAAAAATAAAAAATTAGCTGGGCATGGTGGTGCATGCCTATAATCCCTGCTACTCAGGAAGCTGAGGCAGGAGAATCGCTTGAACCCGGGAGGCAGAGGTTGCAGTAAGCCGAGATCGCACCATTGCACTCCAGCCTGGGCAACAAGAGTGAAATTCCGTCTCAAAAAAAAAAAAAGAAAAAGAAAAGAAAAGCAGTTTCCTTAGGAAACAACCAGATTTAAGTTAGACTTTGAGAGTAAAGGGATCATTCAGAATAAAAGTGGAGGACTGATTTGGCTAATGACACACAGTGAGTTCCAAAAAAACTTAGATGGTGAAGAACTAATGGTTTAAGATAGATGGTTGGAGATGGTAGAAACAGCTGGCTATCCTGCAATATCCATTCATCCCTGCTTCTGTGGTATGAATTTGAAGTTTTGCTATACATCTGGCCACCTAGAACAAAGACTATGTTTCCTAGCTGCCCTTGAAACTAGGTGTGGCCACACAAGGCATTAATAATACTGAAACCAACAGTGGCTATTATAATATCATCAACCTACTGGCCCAATCTGGATTTTATATTCTGTGAGGGGTAGAAATGAGGTAAGAGGCAGGACTCAACTCCGGAGGCAGAGCTCAGACACGGGACCAGATTGGGGACTGGCTAAAACACAGAAGAGGTGAAAGCACCTCTCTGTAAGAAATGCCTATCAGTATGCCATATCAGTTTACTATTGCCATGGTAACACCAGGAAGTTACCTGTTTTTCTAGAAATTTCTGCATAGCCCACTTCTTAATTTGCATATAGCTAAAAGTGGGCACAAATATGACTGCAGAAGTGCCTATGAGCTGCTCCTCTGGGCACACTACCTATGGGGTAGCCCTGCTCCGCAAGGAACAGTACCTCTGCTGCTGCTATACACTGCTGCTTCAATAAAAGTTGCTGTATAACACCACCAGCTTGCCCTTGAATTCTTTCTTGGGCCATCCCAAGAACACTCCTGGGCTAACCCCCAGTTTTGGAGCTTGCCTGCCCTGCATCAGATATACTGCCCAACAGTAATAGTACGTACCTAAGTTCACATTGCCTAATTTCACAGTGAGTTATCTAAGGAACCCATTTCATTACTTCTTATAAACGTTACATAAAATTGCCCGGCACAGTGGCTCACGCCTGTAATCCCAGCACTTTGGGGGGCCGAGGCAGGTGGATCACAAGGTCAGGAGATCGAGACCATCCTAGCTAACACAATGAAACCCCGTCTCTACTAAAAATACAAAAAATTAGCCGGGGTGGTGGCACACACCTGTAATCCCAGCTACTCAGGAGGCTGAGGCAGGAGAATCGCTGGAACTCAGGAGGTGGAGGTTGCAGTAAACCGAGATCACACCACTGCACTCCAGCCTGGGCAACAAAGAGAGACTCTGTCTCAAAAAAAAAGTTATATAAAATCACAGCATAATTGGCAAATAAAAACTCGGAAGAGTGACACTCCCCATGCCATGCCATCAAGGCCATGTATAACACAGCAAGATAAAAAAGAGCCAAGATTTCTGACCTTGTGGAAAGTCACATCAATCCTGTACCATCAAAGTTTTAAGTGATAGAGAATAGTTGCATCGTATTTAAATTACTGTCATCAACAGCTAATCCTAATAACAAACTAATGCAGGGAATTATCTTGAATGTGGAGACTGAGGTAAACAGGGATGTAAGGTATGACACAGTAGTCCCAAATGTCTCTTGAGAAAAGGTGGCTAATCAATTTAAACCATAGCCTTCTTGGAACTGCTCTCTTAGGCAGCATTGATACAGACTTTCATAAGGGAAAAAGGGGCAGTCCTCTAGCAGCATATGGAACTATGTGGGATTTCTTTTCAATCTTGATAAGGGTGTTGGCATTTACTTCACTAGCAGTTTAAGGAGGGAAAGGAACTACAGAGAATTAGAGGGAATAACCAAATGTTACTTTCTCCTAATATCCCCAGCCTTAAATGGTAGGCTCAGTCCTTGTGCCTCTTCTGTATCTGCACTCACTGCCATGGTGAACTCATCCAGTTTTATAGCTTAATATGAATGTAAATATATTCACCATATAGTGACAACTACTAATTTCATATTTCTGGTTCATACCTCTCCACTGAACCCCACACTTTTATATCTATTTGACAACTCTATTTGAATGTCTAACAGACATTTCAAATTTAACAAGATCCAAATCAAAACCGTGATTTTCCCTTCAACTTTGCTCCTACCACATTCTTACCCATCTTGGTAAATGGCAATTCCATTCTTCCAGTTACAAACACCAAAAACTTAAGTCATCATTTACTCTTCTCTCACATACCAAATCCAACTTGTAAATAAAAACATTTGTTGGCTTTATCTTCAAAATGTAAAATATTTCACCGCCTCCACTATGACCGCAATCCAAGATGCCATCTTCTCTTAACCAGAATTACTACAGCAGCTTCCTAATTAGCCTCTGAGCCACTCTACAATGTATGCTCACCACAACAGCCCATGTGGCTGATTTAAAATAAACCACAGCCAGGTACAATGCCTCACACCTGTGATCACAGCACTTTAGGAGACCAAGGCAGGAAGACTGCTTGAGGCCAGGAGTTCAAGACCAGCCTGGGCAACATAGTGAGACCCCCTTCTTTACAAAAAAATAAATAATTAGCCAGGCATGGTGGTGAATGCCAGTAGTCCTAGCTACTTGGGAAGGCTGAAGCAGGAGGACTGCTTGAGCACAGGAGCTTAAAGTTACAGTGAGCTATGTTCATGCCACTGAACCCCAGCCTGGCCAACAGAGTGAGACCCTGTCTCTAAAAAATATAAATTAGATTAAATAAACCACTGCTGAACACTCTTCAGTGGCTTCCTATCTCACCCAGAGATTTAAAGACAGTTTCTACTGAAAAGTGCTTTCCTTTCACACCATCATAAAGTCAATATAAATCATGTCAAACCATCATAGTCTGAGACTGTCTGTATATTCAAATCTGTTCATTACAGAACTCTGAAATACTATCAAAAATTAGAAATTTAAATGTTCATAGATTTTACATCCCTGTGTGGATATATGTGTTTATAATATGGAAGGGTTAAAATCAAGAAAATATAATTAAGAGTTAGACCTAAGTAAGCATTATGCTAATTGAAAAAAGCTAGTACAAAAGGACAAATACTGTATGAATTCCACTTATATAAGGTACCTAGAGTAGTCAAATTCATAGAAACAAAAAGTAGAATGATGGCTGCCAGGGGCTAGGGGAAGGAAGAATAGGGAGTTATTGTTCAATGGGTACAGTTTCAGTTCTGCAAGATGAGTTCTGTGGATGGATGGAAGAATGAATGGATGTGACAGTGGCACAACTGTGGATATACTTAATGTCACTGAACTGTACACTTTAAAAAAAAGATGGTTTTTAAAAAAGAAAATAAAAGAATTAGATTTAGGAAATAAAACTAAGAGGTAAAAGCACTAACAATAAGAAAAATTTTAGATGATAAACAGGGAGACCATGACTTGTCAACAAGAATGTACCTATAGATAAGAAGTGGCAGAAAAATCTCTAGTAGTGAACAAGAATGTGAAGAATAGATAAGAAATTCAAGAGCTAGATCACAAGCATATTTATACCGAGTTTTCTTTGGGTCACTTGCATACTAGTTAATAGAGAAAGCAGGCTGGCTTATTACTAACCAAGGTCCTATTAAAAGAAGTACAGTTTTTATCAACGGTCCCCTAAATTGATAGCTCTGACCAGACTCCTGTGTCTCTTCTCCAATAGAGAAAGAAGAAAGGAGAAAGGCAAGCCTTTTATTCAGATTGGTGCCATCACAGAACTTGCACACTTGAGCTGAGATCTCTTGTACAGTAGAAAAGAGAGAGAAGCAGGCTCACCATTTCCAGGCACGGACTCAAAGGCTTAGCCACAGCAAACAGTATGGCCGTTTACTTTATCAGGGGTGTCCAATCTTTCGGCTTCCCTAGGCCACATTGGAGGAAGAATTGTCTTGGGCCACACATAAAATACACTAACATTAATGATGGCTGATGAGCTAAAGAAAAAAAAAATCACAAAAAAATCTCATAATGTCTTAAGGACATTTACAAATTTGTGTTGGGCTGCATTCAAGGCTGTCCTGGGCCGCATGTGGCCCATGGATCGTGGGTTGGACAACCATGGTTTAATTAGTAAAGACCTCCAACTCCCACCCCATCTCAATTCCTGTATGCATTTGCGAAAGTGTATGTGTACGCTGTGGTATTTACATTTCCTTGAAATTCTAGCTATGATTAATAGCCATACTTCAATATTATTCGTATTGGCTATACTTATAATGAAAATTAGCTGGGCGTGGTGGCGGGCGCCTATAATCCCAGCTACTCGGGAGGCTGAGGCAGGAGAGATCACTTGAACCCAGGAGGTGGAGGTTGCAGTGAGCCAAGATTGTGCCACTACGCTCCAGCCTGGGCGACAGAGTGATACTCCATCTCAAAAAAGAAAAAAAAAAACTATTTTAAAAATGAGATGAATTTGTACATGTTGATATAGAAAGATGTCTATGTTAAATGAGAAAACCAAGGTATACAGCTGTATTATATGATTCAATTCCTTTTGTGAAAAGAAAAAGTGAGATATATTTAAGCTGGTGGATACCAAAACATTTTCTGGGAAGATATGCAAGACACTTAATAATGGAGACCCCTAAAAGGGTGGGGGCACTGGGATGAGAAGGAAAGCTTTAAATTCTAATTTTATATGTTTCTGTTCTGTTTGAAGTTTTCAACAATGCTCACAGTATTATTTAATCTATCCACTTATATATTTAATATAGAATTATCTGAGTGAAAGGATTATGACCTAATTTTTATGCATTTCTGCATTTCTATAAAACCCTAATAAATAATATTTTTATAAGATCACCATTCTCCACACTTGAATCCCCTTCTTATTAAAACTCTCACCTGGCTTATCTTCATGAAGATACTATACTTTGTTTACTTTCTTATGTAAAATGAGGCTAATAATACCTACCTGACAAATTAGTTATGATGATTAAATGAGATAAAGTATGTAAAGTGTCCAGTAGAGTACCCAATACACAGTAAGCACTTAATAAATGTTAGTATTTCCAGTGAAAGTTGTTTTTTCACCCTGCATATATATAGTCACTCTTTTCCCACCTAAAAAGAATTTCTCTTTGCAACAACCACTTCCTCACTGTTAGCCCATGTGGCATGAGGCCCAGACTTAAGCCAATTAGAGCATTCCATTCCCTTTGCACAGACTGTTTCACAGGTGGCCCAGGACTTTTATTCAAATCAATGCTGGGGAAGAGAAACTCTCATTCCCCCTTGGATTTTAATTTTAGAAGATATGAGGCTGGAGTTGCTGTAGCTATCTTACCACAGCAAGGGGAGAGCCAAAAGGTGCTAGAGGCCATCATACGGAACCTGAAAATACTGCCAACACAATGGAGTTCAAAGCAAGGAAAGAAACCAAATCCTTGTGTCTTTGTCTGAACCCTTAATCCAGTTATAGTCACCTGACTTTTTAGTTCCAGGAGACAATATTTGTTTTTTCTCAAGACAATTTGGATTGGGTTTTCTGTCACTTGTAATCAACAGGCTCCTATCCTAGATATTACTGTAATTATTTCTTCTTCTTACATTCTAAAAATGAACATTTCCTTAATATCCTTGGTCTGGTGCTAGCTTCTCTCCACTTACAATCTTAAAAACCTAACCTATTTTTAGTGATCCAGTTATTCTTACAGCACTACCCATTTTATTTTCTCTCTTAAGCCATACTCTCTACCTCTACTGCTTGTTGAATATATCTTTCCAGAATTCCAACCTACGGAATAAAAACATACTTATCTTTCAAAATGATATTTCCAAAAAAGAGCTGTTCTGCCTTCTAGCTTCCTGGGTTTTCGGTGATAAGTTATGTGTGTTTCGGTAACATTAATATACCAAGGTGCTTATATTATCAAGAGGAATATTCACTTCTATCTGCACTGTGTCTATATCTAATTTATTAATCTTGAACAATATTCTCTAAATATTTATACAATACTTACATAAATTCATATTAGTTAATATCTAATTTATCTAAATATTTACAATTACAAATTTAATCTTTTAAAATATTTACTCAGAAATCTAATTTCAGCCTTTCTGAAATGTTATGACATTAGAAGGCAAACAAAACACATATTGTTAAAATGATGAAAAAACCTTGCACTTAAAGAACTGAAAATGAAGATTTTAATTCTAATTCCAATTTTTCTCTTTGAACTTATTTCTTCCTGTGGGGTATAATTTTTTTCTAATGTAAAAAGTGAGGTTTTCCTTCTAAGACTGCCTGAAATTGCAGATAGAGATTACTGACAGATCATTTTAGACTAGGAAGATAAGACCCAGTTATAGCAATACTTTCCAAAATGACTGTAACCCAGTCTTTTCCAGGTAGGCCAGCTTCTCTTTGTAATTAAACTCTGTTAATTTCATGAGACATGTCCAAAATATTGGCAACAATCAACCAAAAGTCTTTATTTCTTGTGACTCTAATATCTTCTCAAAATTTATACTTATTCTGAATGTCTTATTTTTGTGGTATATATAAATCTCCAGATTTAAGTCTACTCTGTAGCTGTTTGTTATGTTTTCTCATTATACAACCTGGTTTATGCCCCTTTTCAAAATAGTTTTCTGAGTGGGCAATGGTTAGGTTCAATTAAATTTAAGGCCATCAGTCAGTTGATTTATCAAAACTATATTTTCTGTGACTTATCGTTCTTCCTATACCTTATCACTAATTCAAGGATACACAAAGAATAGTATATGACTGACTTCAAGGGTTTATACTCTGAACCATCACAATCTACAAAAGCTATAGATTTTTACCCCAAAATGACTCCAGATTTTTTTCCATCCTACTTAGGCACTTCTCACTTACTGTTATATAGTAACAATCTTAACTAAAGCCTAGACTGATCTCAGTTTCTTTCCCCTTTAACATACCCCACATAACTACTGTTAATTATTCTTCCTATATTTACCAAGTCATTCCTTGGCTCAGAATTGTTCTAAAAGCTGTTTCCTCCATATCATATCTAACATCCTTGACTTGGTTTTCAAGATCCTTCAGGAGCTACCCTTCCTCTAACTTGATATCCCATTATTCATCCTTAGCATACTTTGATAAGTTCAATGTCATAAACACAGCAAAATCAAATCCTTATGGAGCATGTGCTAGATGAACAATCATAAACAGTATGATGAGACAGGTATTATATGCTAGTTTCATAAATAAATACTCTCAAGATTGACAAACTGAGGAAACTGTCAAGCATATACCTAAAAAATGATGGAACTTGGGATTCTGTTTTCTATATTACATCTTTCCACTACATTGTGCTCTGTTGCCCCAAATACACCACTCAATTTGGTCTATACTTTTTTTTTTTTTTTTTTTTTTGAGACGCAGTTTCGCTCTTGTTGCCCAGGCTGTAGTGCAACGGCACTATCTCGGCTCACCGCAACCTCCGCCTCCCGGGTTCAAGAGATTCTCCTGTCTCAGCCTCCCTAGTAGCTGGGATTACAGGCATGCGCCACCATGCCCTGCTAATTTTTTATTTTTAGTAGAGACGGGGTTTGTCCATGTTGGTCAGGCTGGTCTCGAACTCCCAACCTCAGGTGATCCGCATAGTTGATACCTCCCCAACTCAGGTTTTGTAGTGTTTTACAACCTTTGGAAATGCAAAAATTCCAGAAGCCCTCAAAGATAATCCTTATATCTTCTTGGTATGCTTACCAGCCAAAAAACTTTTTTTCATTAAGGTTTATTTTCTGTAGCTTGTTTTATGAAAACAACAATTCGTTTTTAACTTCAAACATAAAGATATATCACGATATTGAGTCTACGCTTATGCAATACACACCAGTCTCCCAACCTCACCAAATTCTTACAATTGGTTGGGAGGGGGGTGGCTCTCCACACCTTTTTGAGAATCACTGAACCTGACTTCATGCTCTTCCAGGGAAGAACCATAATGTATTTAGAGTGATCATGTAAATTCATTCAAAAGGGAGATTTAATGGTGATTTAACATGCCAGACCCTAAGTAAGCAAAAGTTAAAGAAAAAAAAAGGAGGCTAGTAGTTCTCAATGTCAAGTACTTAAGAGTTGTTGCATGAATACTGGAGATAGTCAAATGAGCCAGTGGCTCTTTAACAATATAGGGAATTAGGAGCAAGTATGAGATTCTGATTATAAAGTTGTAGGAAAACTAACTTCCCAGAAAAATGCACATAGAATTATGTATACAATGTCAGGCGAGTTATGAACTCTGAAGCCCAATCACCTACCACCAGATCCACAGACCTCAGGTTAAAAACCCACTAAAACTAAGTTCTCGGGGAACAGGAATCGCCAAACTTGCTTACTAATTCTAATTATGCCTTACCCAGGGCAATGTATACAAACACTACTTAGGGAATATTTGCTGATCGATAATTTCCTCATAAAAATAACCATAACACTGGCGAGTCGTTTTTTCCACTAAAGAGCCTTTTAGTCAAATTATTTTAAAAGTCCTAAACCTTTCACTAGTAACACCAATGATCTCGAAAATCATTATTGCGCTATTCACATGTCGACTAAGCTATCACGAATCCAGGTCTTCCAGTTGTCTCTCTACTCCCTTAAAATTTAGGGCTTCCTCCTTCGCATCCCAAAAGCTACACCCGGAGCCCCGCTGCCGCCAGGGAGACAGAAAATGATGCTCCACGAAGCACACAGCTTCAAAACAGGAAAGATGGGATCCAGTGATGGCTACAACTTCCAAACCCTTTTCTCACCAGGTCCAGAGGTGAAGGGATTTACCTCAAGTTCCAGGAAAGCGGTGGCGATTGCTCTCAAATACCTGGTACCTCCCCGTCACCATAGTGACTTCTAAGAGTTACGCTCCCTTCCTCTTCCCGCGATACTTCTACGCGGCACGTCATCCGAGTGGGCCCGAGACCCCGCCTCTCGGCGAGCCCGCCCTCTTCTGAAGAGGCGTTTCTGGACCACTGAGCCCCGCCTCCCACTGTGAGCGGAACCCTACCGTTTTTAAAAAAATCTTTTTCAAAACTTGCCAGGTTGTCTTTCCAAATATTTTTAATAATAGTGCTGCTGCTGTAGACCACAGAGAAAAGAATCCCTCGCTCTTCCTTTTCACTTAGTAGAAACTTCTACCGCGTAGGTCCCGCCAGGAGTTCGCGCATGCGCAGGAGCGACAATAAGATGGCGGTGATAATCGCCGCACTTTTTTTCAAATTAGTGGATCCCAGAAATCATTGCGCGCATTTGTAACGAATTTCCGTTCGAGTTTGTATTTTAGGCGCCATTTTCGAGTGAAGGACCCGGAGCCGAAACACCGGTAGGAGCGGGGAGGTGGGTACTACACAACCGTCTCCAGCCTTGGTCTGAGTGGACTGTCCTGCAGGTAAAGTACTTCTCTTCCTGGTCAGGTTGTCACGCTCTTACTTCCTGCCTTGTCCGCGAGCGCCTGGAAAATAGAGGCCTTGAGCCCGAGCGGCGAAGTCCGGGCTTGAAGCTGCCGCTGGGAGATTTCTCTTGCTGTCACCCCTCCCCCCTCGGCCGCTCCCCGGCGGCCCGGGCTCCCGCGCGCAGCTCCCGGGCGCCACTTTTCCAAGCTACTCAAATGTCTCGGGGAGGCCCTGAGCCTCGCAGATCTTTTCTTTAAAAAATCCTAGTCTCTATCTGGAAAAGGGCGTCTCCCCCTACCCCTCTTCCTTCTGCCAACGGACTAGTCACCGGGTCTCAGCCTTCGCTGGTGACCTTTCATGGTTTACTGTCCAACGGGACTCCGCCTGGGGAGCTGGAGAGACAAACTCTTGCCACTCCAAAATTAGCAAGCGCTGCCAGCGTCCGACTTGAAGTTGCTAGTGGTTAGTCCCAGCCTTCGCCCTTCGCGGTCCGACCGCTGAGAGGAGGGAGACTTCGTTATGCCCCGGGCCGTCAACGGCGCCAGGAGCTAAAGGGCGGGCAGACGAAAGCGGGCGGCGAGTCGCCAGTTAGTCTTCACCGCTCTGGAGAGAGTTGCTAGCCACGGGATCCTGACCCGGACACGAACTCGTTTCTCCACGTCGGTGCGCGCTTGCATCCCTGGCCCCGAAAGCGTGGGAATGTCCGGAAATGCTGGCGTATGGGAGTTCCTTAATTAGAAATGCGTTAGCGAATATTATACGCTTATACTATGGGCGGACGGGTGGAGAGCCTTAAAAACAACAACAACAAACTAAGCAGTTGCTCAATCGTTGATTGATCCTCAGGCACGTCTAGATTTTCCCACTTACATAGGTCTTGTTAAGAAACCAGTCCTGCCTTCTTGCCACTCGTGTCTTTCGATGGCTCCCTTCCCGAAGTCCCGCTGCCTCTAAGCGGAGTGTTAAGCGGGGCTCTCGGAAGCCGGTGGACCGAGATTTCCCCGGGTGGGGCGGGCGCGGTGTAGCGGCCCGCGGGCTGACTTGCTCCCGGCTGTCCCCCGGCCCCAGCGACCATGCCCCGTAAAGGCACCCAGCCCTCCACTGCCCGGCGCAGAGAGGAAGGGCCGCCGCCGCCGTCCCCTGACGGCGCCAGCAGCGACGCGGAGCCTGAGCCGCCGTCCGGCCGCACGGAGAGCCCAGCCACCGCCGCAGGTGAGTGACCCGCCGCGACTCGGCGGGAACGCGCGCTGTGGGACTGGCAGGCAAACGCGCCCAGCCCGAGGCTGGCTGGGGTTGTTGAGCGCGGAGTTGACATCTGAAGGTCCGGTGTCGGTCCGGTAGAGGCTCAGGAAAGCCATTTGGCAACTTTGAGATAGGATTCCCGTGCAATTTTGGTGTAACGGCGCTGGAAGGGATGGGGGCGAGCAAACGGGTTCAGTTGTGAATTTTTGTTTGTGACCTGTGGAATGGTACAGGTCACAAACAAAAATTCAATATCTTTATTGTATTCCCGCTAAAATCGAGACGGTCAATCAAGAGAGCAAGTGGACTTTTTTCCCAGAGACAATCAATATGACTATGTGAGCATGATGAAAAGTTTTTTGACCCTAACCTCACCTCCGTGGTGTTAGATTGCCGTTAAAGAGAAGACGATAATTTATTTGAAGCCACTGTAGCTTTTGTGAGTCCAGGAGTTGGGTGACATTATTAAACCCTCGTGGCAGTGTCGCTGAAGTTCATGAGTTTCCAAAATGAAGGTTCCAGGTGCTCAGCGGTACGGAGAATTGCATCTAGAGCCTTAGGATTTAACCTCCTGTTTAGGATAGGCAGCAGGAAATAGCTTGTTACGGTTTTCCCAGATTTGCTCTATGATGTAGTGTTTTGACTCTTAAGAGGTATAGGTGTATAGAATTTTGTGACCGGTGGCATTTCTTTCAAGAATTTCTTTTTTAGTAAAACCAAGCTGAAGGTTTAGTCACCCCCGTGAGTTTAAGATAATAACATATTTAAGTGGAAAATATAGACTCCTAAGTTTCATAAATAACATCCCTCCATCCCCTACTTTAAAGATGGGCAGTCATTAGTTCTCCGAACTAATTGCACTAATGTAGGCTTTTCCCCCGCCGTTTGCCTTCGTTTTCCTTTCCTTTCACTGACTTAGAGACTGCAAGTGAGGAACTTGATAATAGAAGTTTAGAAGAGATTTTGAACAGCATTCCTCCTCCCCCGCCTCCAGCAATGACCAATGAAGCTGGAGCTCCTCGGCTTATGATAACTCATATTGTAAACCAGAACTTCAAATCCTATGCTGGGGAGAAAATTCTGGGACCTTTCCATAAGGTATTTGTATGGAAATAACTATTTTATAACTTTTTAAATAACTATTGTAAGGTAATACGTTTTTACAAGATGTTTCAGTTTTGTAACTATCCTAAAATTCATTCACTCCCTATTTATCCTGATAGTCTTTCTGTCTCTCTCTCTCACACACACACACACACGTTTCATATGATTTTAACACTGAAATTATCTTTTGTTTATCTGGTTATCTTTGGTACCTCTAGTTACAAAGTTTTCCATTGAATGGAGTCGGTGTGTGTTTCTGTTTGAAAGAGTATTTTCCCTTGGATAATTTTTTTTTCTTAAAGCCTTCTATGGAACCCTTAGATAATTTAACTATAAAATGAGTTTTCTAAAACGTCTGCGTTAGAATTGGAGCATTCTTATTGAATGTTGAAGCTTTTAAGAGAGAACTTGATGTAAGAAAACTCAAGTCGTATGCCTGTGATTAGCAATGAGAACTTTTAAATACTTGCAGTTTTTAACTGCAAGTAAAAAAATCTAACAGTTTCAGTTAAAATCAGTAGTATTAGCATGACCTTATGAACTTTTCCGTGTTTTGTTTTTGTTTTTTTAATGCAGCGCTTTTCCTGTATTATCGGGCCAAATGGCAGTGGCAAATCCAATGTTATTGATTCTATGCTTTTTGTGTTTGGCTATCGAGCACAAAAAATAAGATCTAAAAAACTCTCAGTATTAATACATAATTCTGATGAACACAAGGACATTCAGAGTTGTACAGTAGAAGTTCATTTTCAAAAGATAATTGATAAGGTAAGGGATTTTTACTGTTATTGGCAAGTTCAAGTAAGGAAAATGGACTTAAATGCATTACATATTTTATTTTTGGCTTTAAGAAATTTGTATGTAATTACAGCGGAAAGCATTGGTTTCATTATCTCTGACCGTATTTTATTTTGGGGGAGTGGTGGTGCCTGTTAAAATACTTATTTTTTAGCTAAAGAAATGAAGTATAAATAGTTCATAGTAATCCTTTTTGGAATAAAAGCATTGAGCAGTTTTAGGGTCCTGAGTACTAAATAGGCATTATTTTACTATAAATATTCAGTTCATTTTTAAAGTTATATTTTGATTGCTTTAGAATAAATTAGCTAAACTTGAAAATGTAGCAGTTAGCCGGTTTTACCATCTTCATTATTTCAGTGCATTTTAACTCTAATGTTAGTGGCCCCTGAGTATCTGTGATATGAAAGAGCTTTGCTTCAGTTTGACTACTGCTGTAATTAAGTCCTTTAGAAATGGGGGAAGGACAAGCTAATGTTTGTTTTCTAGAAATGGAGACAACTAGAGGTAAAATGTCTAGATTATTTACCTGTTGAGACTTTTTCTCTTCTGTTTAATAATGTAGGAAATTGATTGTTCAAAAATGACTCGATGGAACCTAAAAATATAGAAAACTAATTACATAATGAAATTGGGAGGTGATTTGTCTTTTGAATTCGTTTTCCTTTTTTTAATACAAAGTGCTTTAATTACACAGAATCATCTATTTTAATTTGGTTTCTTTTGTGCTTTCTATTGTACAAGTTGGGTTGGAAAATAGATTGCCAGGAAATCAGATTTTATTCCATTGCATATTAATTACATTTGATTTATCTAAATTTTAGAAGCCTTTGCTTCAGTATGACAGAACTTTTAAGGTTAAGGGAAAGTGTTAAAGTAGATTTGCAATTGATTTTTTTAAAAATCTGTTTAAAAGAAAATCAAGGGAATTTAGTTGTTATTTCTTTGTGATTCTTTTTACTTTAAATTAACGGCACACTCTTTACCCTCCCACACAAAAAAACTAAAGTGTATCACCCGGTTACTACCTTCCTTCCTTTTTCTTTGAATCATCATTTTAAAAAGCTGCAGCTTTTTAATCTGTCAACATGTTAATAATTTGTGTGGGTTTTGGATATGGTGGGAATCTTGTCTACGTCTTCTCAATCATAAACGTTTTTAGGCTTGTTTGGAGGTGGGTTTTTTCGTTGGCTGGTTGGTTTGGCTTCTTGATTTTTGTGATCTTTGAGAAAGGGACCAAAACAGCATGGAAAAGTATCAATTCTTTGCTAAGTTGGGTTATTAATGAGAACTACTGGCAGTTTGTGTGCATGTTCAATTGAAGTTTTTAATCCATAGAATTAGTTTCAGTATGAAATGAGTGAATTTTGAAGTAGGCCTATGACTTAATACCAACAATTGTTTTCTGGTTTTGTTTTTCCTCAAAACAGGAAGGGGATGATTATGAAGTCATTCCTAACAGTAATTTCTATGTATCCAGAACGGCCTGCAGAGATAATACTTCTGTCTATCACATAAGTGGAAAGAAAAAGACATTTAAGGATGTTGGAAATCTTCTTCGAAGCCATGGAATTGACTTGGACCATAATAGATTTTTAATTTTACAGGTAAGTTTATTAAAGACTTCAAAGATTCTCTTATTCTTGTTACTTTTTTTTCTATAAAGCTAGGTTGGATGAATCCTACATTTTTGAGGCCTTAAAGTACTGTAGCAGCACATCATGGTTTACATGCTACAGTCAAGATGCGAATCATTATTTGCTGCTCTAGAAATTTAAGGAAATTCATTCAAAACTATGTTTTCATCATCAGATGTTCGTTTTATGTTTGGATGAACTGACATACTTGTTCCACTCTAGCAGCACGTAAATATTGGCGTAGTGAAATATATATTAAACACCAATATTACTGTGCTGCTTTAGTGTGACAGGGATACAGCAACTATTTTATCAATTGTTTGTATTTCCCTTTAAGGTAACATTTTAAATGAAATGTATTATATTTTAATCTATCCTTTTCCTTTGTTTTTGTTCTTATTATCTCTTCTGATATATAACCAAAAAATGAAAAAATCTGTACACTTGGTGTTTGATTTACCTAAGCACCTAGTTAATTTAATCTTTGTAACACTTTGGATGGTTAACTTAACCTTTACTCAAGTTGGTTTTTGTTTTGTTGAAAATGACTTACTTGGTGGAACCACTACTACTGAAAGAACGAAACTTTGATATTACATTGTTAAGTATCAGAGCTGTTACAGAGCAAGTCCTTTTAAAGAGATGTAAAAATTAAGTACCTGTGCCAAACTGATTTTTATTAGAAACCCTGTTTTCTTTAAGTAAAAGTATATTCTACCAGCATGGCTTGGTAAGAAAAATCCCCTATCTTTTTTTCCCTGTCCTCAAAATTCAGAATTTTTCGGAAAAAAAAAAAATTAGGGTAAAACCATGGCTTTGTCAAGTTCCTGTTTGATTCGAGGGTATCTTCTTTTCCTGTGTTCTATCCAGAATCACCGAAGCATAATAAAAGCAAAACTATTTTGTGATGCAGAAATGACTGAAATAAGTAGGGAATTTTGTTAGGGTGACTGGATGTTCCTAATAACAAACTTATAAAATGTTAGCCTCTGTTTCCATTTTAGTCTTTATTCTTCAATTGTTTCTAAAAATTATTACTTTTAGACATTCATAGTATACAAGGTAAATCAGTATCATTCTAGGATAACCTTTTTTAATATCTTTTGTTACCAGGCACAGTATATTTGCAATACTTCAACCTAAACTTATTTAAAAATTAATGTTGAGGAAATTAATTGCAGATATATTTCTAAACAAGATTGGAATTTATAGAATGTGGCATTAAAGGATTTTGTGTGTTTTTAAAATCAAATTGAACTGTTTTATTGACTTACATATTCTGGGACTTGGTTTGGTTAATAATGGATAAAAAGTTATGTCCCTATATAATACTAAATTTGATGATGATACCAATTTGCAGGAAATTGTACTTATGTTTATCTTTTGCTTAATCTTTTACCGTCATCCTGGGATAATCAAAGTTTTACATTTATCCAAAGATTCATCAAAATACACTGCATTTTAACCCTTCTAAGGATAATTTTTTTCTCTGTACAGCATCTCTGTACGTAATTCAGTAATAAAGGAAGCTAATGTAATATTGTCCCAACGAAGTAAATAATTTATAAATTGTCAAATTTATATTACATTTGTGCTTCTGAAGTATATGGGATGCTAAAGCCAATTTGTTCACATGATAATCTGAACCTTTTTATGTGATCTTTACAATTGTTTAAAAAACATTTCTTCCCAAATAATACAAAGGTGAATGTTCCAAGTTAACAGATTCAGTTTGACTCAATTAAATTTATAGATAAGGACCTTAGGAACTCACTTGTTAGGAATAAGAAACAGGGATTGGACTACGGTAGAACTAATAGTGCCCAATTAAAACTTTGAGGGAAAGTGACAATGGTTTCTATGGATTGTTTTTTTTAAGTCGCTTATGAAAATCTCAGACTCCTAACTGGCAATTTAAAGCATTTGATGGTAAGTAAAAATGTGATTTTTATTACCTTCTCTCCTACTGAATAACATCTATCTTAAAAACTGATTTGGGAGGCTGAGAAATTGGAAACAGCATCGTAGTATCAACATCCAAGACCTAAATCATTACTTGGAATAAAACATGTAGACTATTTGGCCAGTAATAGTGATTAACAGCAAAAGTAATCTAAATTTAGTAAAAATAAACATTTATTTTTGAGATTAAAAAGAACCAAATTTTTTAGAAGTTCCTAAGAGTAAAATTTTTCAGTGTTAATATATTCGCTTAGCAAATTTTTCAAGTAGGCATTTTTATTACTTAAATCCATTAAAAATTTCATTAATTGGCCATTCAATTGAATTCCTATTAAGGCACTATGCTAAAATGCTGTAAGTAATATTAAGATGGCTAAACCTTATTTCTTGTCCTTAAAGACACATACATGCCTTCAAAAAGTTTGTTGTGATTGACCATTGTGTTTTTTATAATCGTACATTTTCTTTTATATATACCTACTTTGGGAGCCTCGGTCCCGTTGTAAGTCTGTACAAGTAGAGTTTTATTAGCTCTGTATAACATTTCTTGGGTAACTATGACTTATAAATTAGGGGTGCTTTTGCTCCATTCAGGGGTAGAAGAATGGTTAATGTTTTTACTAAAAAGTTGTATTAATGATTGCTGCCTCAGGAATATTTTTGTAAACTCCTCAAAAGCTACAACTATTAGCACAACTTTAATTTTGTCAAAGTTTTCAACTTCATATGCTTTTGTCTTCATATTACAAAATCTAAAGTTTGAAACACGAACCAGGCTGGGTGCATTAGCTCACGCCTATAATCCCAGCACTTTGGAAGGCTGAGGCAGGCAGATCACTTGAGCCCAGGAGTTGGAGACCAGCCTAGGCAACATGGTGAAACTATGTCTCTATAGAAAATACAAAAATTAGCTGGGCATGGTGACACACCCCTATAGTCCCACCTACTCAGGAGGCTGAGGTGGGAGGACTGCTTAAACCCAGGAGGCAGAGGTTGCAGTGAGCCAACATCGTACCACTGCACTCCAGCCTGGGTGACAGACCTTGTCTCTAAATAAATAAATAATAGCCAAGTTCTTTTTTTTTTTTTTAATTATTTTGTAATTTGGAGATTTAATTAACCTAGGTCTGAGTTGTTGCCTAGCCATCTGTTCTTTTTTCCAATGTACTTCTCTTAAGCTTGTCACATAAACTACTTGGGTTCTAGTCTCTTAGTCTGTAGAAATGAGCCTATGCTATAATATCAAAAGAAATTTTTAGTTTTTTCAGTAATGCCTCAGTTTTCCAAAGGTGTCTGATTCAATATCCACAACTAGGGTGAAGGTGGTGGAGAGCAGCAAGGAAGCTACCTCTAACCAACCAGAAATAGATATCAAGAAGTCCAGCTACTAACAAGTTACTCTTTCTGTTTTATTTTAGAAAGATACTAACCTTGGTGGTTTAGTTCCTTGGCCTCTGGTAGCTTACAAAGATCAAATTAGAGTAAAATGTATTGGAGGAAGATAAAGAACACTAATTTATAGTATAGTATAATAAAAGATATAGAAAATAAAAAGATGATCAAGATAAAAACTTAAACCTCAGTAATTTTAGGCCATTTAATTTTTATGCAAACACTCATATTTGCTGTAAGAATCACTGAAACCCTCCTTCATAGTAATTACAAGTAAAAATAAAGAGAAGAATAATTGAGGCCTTACTAGGACAACAAAACTTTGTTATAGCTATGTACTGTTTGAGTTTTCTGTAGTTGATGCTTGCTAAAATTTGGATTACATTTGAATAAGGATAAAGGGCATCATACCTATTCATTCCTCTTAGATTTCTAAGCTGTATTTCAGTAAATTGATTCTCAAAGAGTGGTATAACTGGATCATAATATCCTTGTTTGCCACTCAAGAAAGTGTTCCATAACTTAAGATAACAGTGGTGGGAAAAATCATTTAAGACCTTGTTTCATATGCTTTAAGATACAAGAAATAGAGATAACACTGGGAACATATGAAACTTTGTCAGCATCAGATAATAGTGTTGTAGCGACTTGAAACATTTTTTGTCTGTGATTGTGCCAGTCACTATTTGTGACTTGGATTGAACCTTGATATGACTTTAAATTCAGGTTGATGTTTTAAAATTATTTCTGAAATATATTGAGCTTATTGCCCTAAATTAAAACTATATTCTGTAATTTTACATGAGTTATGTAAGTTTTCTGAAGAAATAAGGAGGAATCCTTTAGGCACAGACTGTCAATCTACAGATTACATAGGAGATGGCACAAATGGAAAAAGAAGGAAGAAAGGAAATGGTAGCAAGTGGTAGGGCAGGCAAAGGACATCAAAGAACAGAGCAACAAGAAAAGTCCCAGGTTGTCATTGTAATACCACAGTAGTCTTAATAGTCAAAGGACAAGTAAAGGCCTGTTAATAGCCTGTTGATTCAATAATGCTAATCTGATAATATGGTAACTGGTTTAAAAAAAAGCAATACGGTATAATAATCTTAAGACTGCTGTAATCCCAGCACTTTGGGAGGCCCAGACGGGCGGATCACGAGGTCAGGAGATCGAGACCATCCTGGCTAACACGGTGAAACCCCGTCTCTACTAAAAAATACAAAAATTAGCCGGGCATGGTGGCGCGTGCCTGTAGTCCCAGCTACACAGGAGGCTGAGGCAGGAGAATGGCGTGAACCCGGGAGGCGGAGCTTGCAGTGAGTCGAGATCGCGCCACTGCACTCCAGCCTGGGCGACAGAGCGAAACTCCGTCTCAAAAAAAAAAAAAAAAAAAAAAAAAAAGACTGAATGTTATACAGGAGTTGAGATGTAACTATTTTGCTTTGTAAATATCCTGCCTTTAAAAAAAAAAATGCTCAACTCTATTAGAGGAAATCATAGCTGTATCTTTCATTTTATTTGGAGAGAGAGGAACAAACAACCAAAAATGAGCAACCATTGTTATTTACCCAAAGCTAAGCTGTTTCTTAATAGCTGTACTCTATCTCTTCAGTAAGTAATTTGCCAGGAGAAATACAATGTTTTTAAGGAATATTTTTGTCAGCGTAAACTGTTAAACACTGAATCCCAACTTTTAGCTATCTGAAAAATGTATACTTAAATAATACATTATGGCCATTTGACTCAAATGTAAGTTCTTTTGGGATGGTTTTTCATTTTCTTAAAATAAGTGTTCAGATATTCTCCTTGAATTGGGTAGAATATTAATTGTCAGATATTGTTTTTTATTTGGATGATAAACACTAACCCACAGGATTTAAACTACAACTTCTAGACTAGGCATGGTGGGTCATGCCCTTAATCCCAGCATTTTGGGAGGCTGAGGCAAAAGGATCGCTTGAGCCCAGGAGTTCGAGACCAGCCTGGGCAACATAGAGGGACCACCATGTGTACAAAAAAAATTTTTTTTTAAAGATTAGCTGGGTGTGGTGGTGTGCATCTGTAGTCCCGGCTACTTGGGACACTGAGGTGGGCGGATCGCTTGAGTCTGAAAGGTCAAGGCTGCAGTGAGCTGAGACCACACCACTGTACTCCAGCTTAGGTGACAGAACAAGACCCTGTCTCAAAAAAATAATAAATGAGTGAACAAACAAACTGCAGCCTCTAGATCAGTAGTTCTCAGCTGACAGTAATTCTGCCCCTTTTCCCATAGGACATTCAGTAACGTCTGAAGACAGTTTCGGTTGTTATAGCTGGTAGAAGTGGGGATGCTACTGGTGTCTAGTGGGTGAAGGTCAGAAATGCTATTAAAGCATCTTATAATGCCCAGCATAGCTCTCCACAACAAAGAATATCCAGCCCAAAATGTCAGTAGTGCCACTGTTGATAAACCCTACGTAGATACAAACTTGAATAAGACTCTTGGCTTCCTCAGTGACTTAACGTTCATCCTGTGTAATCCAAAGGTTTGGGCATTTTTCCAGGCTTCAATCCTGTCTAAAACTTAAACTCTTGCTGCAAACATTTAGAGAGAACTAACAGTTGAAAGCAGAATAAAATACTTTATATAAATATCTACATATTTTCACTTATATACCGATTCATACATAATATAATGAATGTTATGGAAAATAACTTTTGGGGTAACAGTTTTACTTTGATAATCATTGTGCTTATAGACTGTCAGAAGTATCGAAAAGTGATTTATGCAAATAAAATTATTTCTTAATGAGTAGATTTTCAAATAAGCTGTTTTGTCCACTGTTATTGAATTGTTTACTTTTTGTAATTATGTTGAGGCTTTTGGTGAATTATGATGCTCTCATTAGTAAGTTTTACCCCACATTTTTAAGGTTCACCTGTATTCACTTAGGAAATAGGAATCACTAAGATATTTGAATTAAGAAAACAATATACTATTTTTAATGTGTAATTCTTTTTGTTGACTTTTTTCGTCTTTGCTATTTTGTTGAAAATAAGAGGTATATCTTTTTTCATTTGCCTGTACCTATTCTTCCATTGTAATAGTCTAGAGTACAAACAAGCTACTCCTATAACGTAGCAGCATTTGGCCTGAACATACTCAGACACAATTTTCTCTCCACCATCAAACTAAATGACTGCCTAGCAGTCAGCCTTGATGGTTACTTATTATGGATTTTTTTTCTCTTTACTCTTCATAATTAAACTGCATAAATGCAAATATGTAAAGTTAATCTAAGATTTTAATTACAGTTCAAAGTTGTTATATTAGTGATTACAAACTGAAAGTTTTCTGATGTCTTATGTACCAGTGCCATTAGTTTTCTCTAGTCAAGGTGGTCTGTTTGATTTCTGTTATTACCATGAGAAATAGGTAATATCCTTTTCTGTCAAAGGCTCTTGTTTTTAGAAAACTGAACATGTAAGTTTTTGACTACCTTTGAAACCCATTACTTGTTAAGGAACTCCTAAAAACCATGTTTGTAGAGAAAGTTGGTAATACTACTTTGGGACAGGGTTCCTAACACAGTTTAACCATGCAAGTGTTTTTGAAAATTCTTTGTTTTAGAACAGGAGCTTCAATTGTGTTATTAACAATTGATAATGTTTCCACTATAATCAGATTGCAGATTAAGTGAAAGCTTTCCTAAATTTTACTTAAAGAAACAAGTTTTATTTATTTATATTGAACATTCTAGTTGGGGAAATGAGTGTGTGTAAGTGGGTGTATATTACACTTTTATAAGGATTTATCTAAGGGAATATAAATTCATGTTTCATATCTCCCTGTGTAAAATTAAAACTCTTAGGAATACCAGTGAAAATAACATTTTTATTTATACCTTATTAAATCATTGCACTACTAACTGTACATTATTTAGATGTTTATTACTCTTGGCTTTATTATTTAACTGCTCCCAATTCTCACTTAAGATTGATTTAGCTAAACATACACAGTGAGTATGAAATATAACTTTTTTTTAAAGGGTGAAGTTGAACAAATTGCTATGATGAAACCAAAAGGCCAGACTGAACACGATGAGGGTATGCTTGAATATTTAGAAGATATAATTGGTTGTGGACGGCTAAATGAACCTATTAAAGTCTTGTGTCGGAGAGTTGAAATATTAAATGAACACAGAGGAGAGAAGGTGAATCATCTGTAGACTTTCATTGTAAATCAGAATGTTTCATTTATGATCTAACAAATTTTAGTAAGTCAGATATTCATGTTATAATACTTAATGAAGAAGTGTTATATTGAAATTTATATCTTAACATTTAAGATGAACATTCTCCTTATTAACTGTTTTTATCTAATGTTTGCATATTTTAAGTTCATATTGTACATATGAAGTGTGTATTCAGTCTTTAAACTTTTAATTTCTGTAGTTAAACAGGGTAAAGATGGTGGAAAAGGAAAAGGATGCCTTAGAAGGAGAGAAAAACATAGCTATCGAATTTCTTACCTTGGAAAATGAAATATTTAGAAAAAAGAATCATGTTTGTCAATATTATATGTAAGTGCCTTGATTGATATTACCAATTTTTATATTAGTTTTTAACCATTAAGTCAAAGCCCTTCTCTTTTCCTAGAGAAACATGAAGACTGAAGTGAAAAAAAATCTCTAAATATTGTTTTGTGTGACTGAATGTGTTAGCTCATGCCTGTAATTCCAGCACTTTGGGAGGCTAAGGCAGGAGGATCACTTGAGGCTGGGAGTTCAAGACCAGCCTGGGCAACATAGCAAGACCCCATCTCTACAAAAAAAGGAATTATGTGGTGAACTTATCCAATGTGAGGACTATCTGGCTGTGACACCTGTCATCCCGTTGATCACCAGGGTTGAATTTATTAAATTAGGCATATTAATTCATTGAAGTTGACTTTTTAGTATCCTGCTTTAAGTTGGGAGGTAGGTTCACAGGTATTTATTACTGTACTCAGTCCTTTTACGTGTGCACTTTTTAAAATTCGTGTAATAGCAGATCTGATTTTTTTCAGCTTATGATGAACTGTTTTTTGAGATGGGCTGTTTCACCCAGGGTGGAGTGCAGTGTGTGATCACGGCTCACTGCAATCTCAACCTTCCGGACTCAGTTGATCCTCCCACCTCCACTTCATGAGTAGCTGGGACTACAGGGCACACACCAACACACCTGGCTAATTATTATTATTATTATTGTTGCTGGGATTTTTTTGTTTTTATTTTTTCTTTTTTCTTTTTTTGGTAGAGATGGGGTTTCGCCATGTTGCCCAAGCTGGTCTCAAACTTCTGAGTTCAGGCAGTCTGCCTGCCTCAGCCTCCTAAAGTGCTGGGATTACAGGCGTCGGCCACCACATTGGTACAATGAAATCGATTTTTGTTCCTAAATTCTAGCCTTGACCCAGGGGGATTTTCCCCTCATAGCCTAGGCAGTCATATATTGACTAGTTAATAATATTTTAGAAACAGTTAGTTTTACTAAAATTGTTATACAGTTTTGGAAATGGCATTTTAGGAGCTTCAATTTCTTTTTTTTTTTTTCCTCCCTATAGTTATGAGTTGCAGAAACGAATTGCTGAAATGGAAACTCAAAAGGAAAAAATTCATGAAGATACCAAAGAAATTAATGAGAAGAGCAATATACTATCAAATGAAATGAAAGCTAAGAATAAAGATGTAAAAGATACAGAAAAGTAATAATATTTTGGGAAGTACTAAAAGTATTTAGATAATTGTATTACATGTGTATTTATATATAAAGTTACTTCTAGCACATTGTGAGTGTAAGACATTTGCCAGCATATCAAGTGGTGGCCCCCTTAGTGAAAAAAAAAAACTTGCCTTGCATCCAGTTCCTTGTTACAGATGAAATTCCCTACTCTGAAGTCTTAGAACCGTGGGGATGCTACCCCCTAGTGGCGTAGCACAGTAACAAACAATAAGCATTTGGCTTCACAGTTTAATCTTTTAGTAGTCCACAAATCTGATAGAGGGATAGGATTTGGGTTTTTCTAGATAGATTTTTAAGGGTTTTATCATGTCCCTACTTGATGCCATTTTTCAATGACACTAGTATCTCTAATTATTTTTAAATAAAAAAATTTGTATAGTAAGTTTATTGTATAGTAACTTGTAAGTATATTCGTAAAAGGTAAAACCAAAATTTTACTCCTATGGTAAAATTTTTATATACCTAGACATTGTAGTCACTGGAAAATGTGTTATTTTCCCTCCAACTTAGAAAGGCAAAATAGCTGTCATAATCAAAAATACAGGTGCTTCTTCAACTATGGGGAGAGGGATCATCTTGGAATAAGGAGAGTTTTAGGATCCTGCCTTATTAAGAGCCTGGACATATTTATAGAGGAAGTGTTCCAGGTAGGAAATGTGGTTTTAAAATATGTGCACATTCAAAATAATGACTTACAATATACTTGCTTTGCTAGGAAACTGAATAAAATTACAAAATTTATTGAGGAGAATAAAGAAAAATTTACACAGCTAGATTTGGAAGATGTTCAAGTTAGAGAAAAGTTAAAACATGCCACGAGTAAAGCCAAAAAACTGGAGAAACAACTTCAAAAAGATAAAGAAAAGGTAGGTGTTAGAAAAAAATTCTTAAAATTTCACGTCTGAATATCATACCTAGTTTTCATGGATGTGTTTGCCCCTTATTGCCTAAGAGAATGAATTAGTATTCTAAATGTTGTTTTAAGGTTTGTCTCTGAACATGATTTTACCCCCTCAAGGGAAACCTTGCTTCTACTGACTTTATTTTGCAGGAGGTTTTTTGTTTGGTTTTGGAATTTTGCAGAGATGGGGTCTCAGTCTGTTGTCCAGGCTAGCGTGCAGTGGTATGATTATAGTCTTGAACTCCTGGGCTTAAGAAACCTACCTCAGCCTCCCAAAGTAACGTGGACTACAGGTGTGAGCCATTGCTCCTAGCTTGACTTTGAGTTTTAAAGTTTATATTACAATAATATGTTATTGGGAAAACATTTACCAAATCAGGAGTTCCATTTTGGTGTTAATTTTAATTTTCTTTTTCCTAAAGTAGTAGTTTTTAAAGATATTTAAGTTAGGTATTACAGACTTAAAAATATTGCCTGTCTTCTACAAAAACTAAGCTAACAGGATCAGAGCAGGATTTCCCAAGAATTACCAATGTTGGCCAGGCACAATGGCTTACACCTGTATTCCCAGTGCTTTGGGCGGCCAAAGTTGGAGAATTGCTTGATGCCAGGAGTTTAAGACCAGCCTGGGCAACATAGTAAGATCCCATCTCTACAGAAAATCCAAAATTAGCCAGGCTCAGTGGAACTTGCCTAAAAGTCCTAGCTAGTCAGGAGAGTGAGGCGGCAGGATGCCTTGAGTTCAAGATTCCAGTGAATAGTGATCAAGCCACTGCATCCAGCCTGGGTGACAAAGTGAGACTCTGTGTCTTAAAGAGAGATAGGAAAGCTCATAATTTGGAATCTCTTAAGCTGTGTTCATGTTCATAGCTCTGTCATATTTAAACAGATATGATACCTTAACCCCAGCCCCGCAAAAAAAAAGCTTTGTTCCATATGGTTACACAATAATTATAGATTAGGCTCTACTTTACGCTATAAGCATTTTCTAAATGTATTTGTTCACAAAATACTTTCTGCTTAGCACAGCTGATAAATACGTTGAGTCAGTGTTTAAGGAAGTGGCATTTTGGGAAATGTTGAACTTCACAGGTACTAGATAATCAGAGTAAACAAAATAACAAGGCTTTGGGGGTAACCCCAAAGACTTGACAGACTTAGCTAAGTGTAACTGTTACAGAGTGATTAGCCTTTAGGCATAGACTGCATGGATAAGTGATTATTATCAGAAGATGTTAATGGAGTAAAATATTAGCCCTACATGATGACTCTGGAAGAGTAAAGTTGTGAAAGATTTTAGGGTTGGGGAGATGGTAAAGATAATTTGTGGTAAGTTATGATATACCAGGAAGGATAGTTTAGAAAATTCCGTGTAGTCAGAGCATATTTATAGCTAAAGAAGAATAATTACAACCTGAAATCAGGAGAGAAGGATGACAGACCTGAGGCCCTGCCAGAGACAGTTTTCCTTCATAAGAGGTCAGGTGTTTGTAGAAGTAGTTTTACTATTAGATTGAGAGAATATAGAAATTACAGTGAATAGTCGGGAAAATACTTGTTAAAGCTAGCTAATTTAACTCTGATTATAAAGAAAAGAAGAACTAGAGGACCCTGAGAAATGCCTTTAAATATGTCAAATATTGATAGTATTGGGTAACATAAAGATGTATGCTCCTATAACTTGTTTTATAATCTCAGGTTGAAGAATTTAAAAGTATACCTGCCAAGAGTAACAATATCATTAATGAAACAACAACCAGAAACAATGCCCTCGAGAAGGAAAAAGAGAAAGAAGAAAAAAAATTAAAGGAAGTTATGGATAGCCTTAAACAGGAAACACAAGGGCTTCAGAAAGAAAAAGAAGTAAGTTTTTTTTTTTTATCAGTGTTTATTTTGGTGGCTTTTTTTTTTTTAACTTAAAGATTATTTTTTCAAAAATACTGAAACCTGAACTGGTAAGTTTGGACTTTTAATGTCCAACATTCCTAAAACTAGTCAACCTAGACTTAGATGACTATTCTTTTAATTCCTGCTGACATGTTTTTTAAAAAGTTTACTAAATGAGAGTTTGTAGTAGTAGCAGAAGGTGTGATGTCAAATACAGTACCTTGATTATTATATATGCCACTCCTAAGCGTGTTGAATCATCATATTTTGTTGCCACCTGTAAAACCTGGAGCCACACTAAGCGCAGGTTAATGTCTCTTTTGTTTTTGCTTCTATAGCTCTTGTGTAATAGTTAAAAGCTGTGGCTCTTGTTTCAGTTCTTGGTTCAAATCCTAGGTCAATCACTTACTGTCTCTGTTCTTGTGCCGGTTGTCATATCTCCAAGTCATCTTCCTTAAAATGAGAAAGAATATATCTACTTTGTGAAAATAAAGAATAAATATATCTATATAACGTACTGAGAAAGAAAATAAATGTTAGCTATAATTTTAGCATTATATTAATAAAACGAGAGCATGAAGTTGTCACATTGATATGTATTATCTACCCCAACAAGAGTAAGCATAAAATTATCTTTGTTTGTATGTACCACAGCATTTTTGACAGTGCTAAGCATGTTAAATACCTATGTTAATGGATAATGGTAATTGACTGCATTAAAAAGTCATGGTAGAGTCTGCTTTGGCATATCAACATGTTCTAATGTCAAACTATAAAACTTAACAGGTTAGAATACCTGTGTGATGAAGTGTCACTTAATAGAGTCTGCTTTGGAATATGGACATGTTCTAATGTCAGATTATAAAACTTTACAGGTTAGAATACCTGTGTGATAAAGTGTCAATGGATAATGCAGTAGCTTTCATGATGGGATACTTCATAGTTAGTGGATTTTCACTGTTTGCTTATTTAATATATATTGAGTACTCATGTGCCCTGCACCCCATGTTAATGACAAAGCTAGGCCTCAAATGTCTTTATTCCTCAGCGTAATGATCGATCTCACAAAGCTCTTGTGAAATCAGTTGGGAAAAGACTATGTACAGTGAATATTGACAACTAGGCAAAAACTGAATCTAGTCCACTTGTGAGAATTTCTTATTTCTATATACTGTGCTTATAGAATCTCCTTTCTTAAATCGAATATAAAATGTATGGTTTCATTTCAGTGTAGGTTTGAAAGTAAATATCTGTCCAGATTTAATGAACTCATATTTTAACAGAGTCGAGAGAAAGAACTTATGGGTTTCAGCAAATCGGTAAATGAAGCACGTTCAAAGATGGATGTAGCCCAGTCAGAACTTGATATCTATCTCAGTCGTCATAATACTGCAGTGTCTCAATTAACTAAGGCTAAGGAAGCTCTAATTGCAGCTTCTGAGACTCTCAAAGAAAGGAAAGCTGCAATCAGAGATATAGAAGGAAAACTCCCTCAAACTGAACAAGAATTAAAGGAGGTAAATCTTTGCTTCTCTGTTGCATCAGAACATCATTCGTCCACTTCAGCTTTATACATTTTTGTTTTTAATCTCCGCGTCAGAGGTGACTAGTGATAAATTTTCTTCATTTTGTATAATCTCAAAAGAATGAGGTCAGCATTTCAGTATTCCATATGTGAACTGAGACTATCAAGAAACTATATTATCCCCAGAAGCACCATATAGTAAGTAAATCACCACCACCACCCCACTGTAGAAATAATTTAAACAAAAGAAAGTTTGTGTTTCTTTAAATCTTAAGTATAGACAATTTAAAGATAAATAAAAAACAAGTGTATATGTATTTATATAATGAATATACAAACAACTATCTTAATGTGTTTTGGGTTTTGAATTTATGGATGTAGTTTCTTTGCTTGCATTCCAAAATGTTATAAACTAACTAAGATGTATAGCTTATCGGTGCCTGTCCCCCATCCTTGAGTGAATTAGATGTCTAAGGAATTTCGTAAACTTTAATCTCCAAAGATCTCCAAAACCTCAGTAGGCAAGGTGGCAATAAAAAAAAAATCTGTTTGAAGTGTAATTATACTGAAAATAAATATGAGTCTTTTTCATTTTAGTTAATGCATGCTATTTGGTCATCAGGGAATTTCATGACCAGGTAGAATTTAAATGTAAATTAAGTTAGATCCAGTGACTGCTTCTGTCTTCCTGGGATTCGGTTTCTTTTGGGATGAATTATGTCAGTAACTTGGTTTAAACTTTATGCCAGTACAGTAAGTAATAGACATAATTTAAATCTAGTGGATGGAGGAATATACCAGTTAGAAAAGATGGCTGCTGAGAAGTTGGAGATTGAGAAACAGAGGTTGTGTTTATGTGTGCATGTTTGTGGTTCCTTTCTTGTTGGGAGCCTGGCATTTTTGTATAGCAATAGGACTATCCAGTCATCTTTCGTTTCAGAGGTGTGCTTTTTCTCCAGTACCCCCCAGCCCCGTTCAGCTAAAATAAAGCACAGCATAACCGTAGTCCTGCCCAGTCATTTTCTGGGTCAGCTTTTCATTAGGGCAGAGCTGAAGAATTAGGGCACACTTATGTATAACTATGTAGTATCAAACTGGGATTTCCACAGCCCCAGCTATACTTCTCTATCAGGATGAACTGTTTGCTCCTGAAAAAAATATTACACCTAATGTTTTCTTTTATTGACCCAAGTAATTTATGCCCCTTTTAAACCCATCCATATTTTCCACAACCAAACCAGCAATTGCCATACAGGTGCTCAGTTTTGGTTCAAATTTTTATTGTTGGTCTTTCTTTCTTTATTGTTATTAAAGCATTACAACTAATTCAGTGCTATGACTGGTCATATTTAGAAGTTAATGCTTCTGGATTTCATTTTATTTTCACTTTTAGAAAGAAAAAGAACTTCAAAAACTTACACAAGAAGAAACAAACTTTAAAAGTTTGGTTCATGATCTCTTTCAAAAAGTTGAAGAAGCAAAGAGCTCATTAGCAATGAATCGAAGTAGGGGGAAAGTCCTTGATGCAATAATTCAAGAAAAAAAATCTGGCAGGATTCCAGGAATATATGGAAGATTGGTAAAGTAGATTTTTGGGGGGCATGGCTTTACTTTTTTTTTTTAAGAAAGTGTAACTTATTTTTTTGCCTTGACAACCATATTTCAAGTGTCACTGTATATAAAATAAGATTCATTTTGTTTGTTTTAAGGCACATTTATTTTTAAACATTTTGCCCTTACAGTTTCTTGTTTACTTAGCTTTAGATAAATACAATTATTTCATACATATCAAGAAAAATACTAGTAATGTCACACAAACTTAAAACCATTTTATCCTTTTTTTTAAAAGAGAGACTTTAGCCAGGCACAATGGTGTGTGCCTGTAGTCCCAGCTGTTGGAGAGGCAGAGGCAGAAGGATCACTTGAGCCTAGGAGTTCAAGTCCATCCTGGGCAATATAGCAAGACTGTTTTTTAAAAAATGAAAATTAAAAAAAATTTTTTTATATATTTGGGGTTTCACACCATTTTACTTAGGTTTGGGCTAGCATTTAAGGATATAACAAGGGATAATCTAAAAATCCAAGGCTAGCAATAGTGAGGACCATTACTGCTTCTTAGCTTCGAGGGAAGGGAGTTGTGGTCCAGAGGAGATGGGGAAAATGGATACCTTAACCCCACCTATTTCCTGCCCTCCAGTCTTAGCTGAAACCTCAAATTGGCTGAAGGTGGAGAGTCAAAGGAGCCAGTTGATGCAGTCCTTAAGTCAGCCTTTCGGAGAAGGGAACAAATTGATGTAAAAATTACCCAACATGATTGCTTCTGCATCTTGTATCGGGACTTCCACCTTATTTTCTTAAAGATAAACAGTTTGATCCTATTCATTTGCTCTCAAAGAAAGCCCAAACCAGTGAATACTGCTAGATAGTTGTGTAATAGATAAACAGATAAATGTGTTTCATCAGGATTTACATAATTTTAGATGCTTTTCAATAATTCAAAGTTTTCTGAGTTTTGCTTATAGTTCATTTAGGTTTTAAGCTTCATGTTGTTTTCATAAAATGAAAACAGTTCTTTCATTTTGTGCTCATTAGAAATTCAAGCTGCATATTCATAAACTTATACATATTTTGTATTTTGTTGTGTACCCTTTTGTTCTCTTTAAAACCATGTCTACATAAAGTTTTTCAATTAAAAGAAGTTTTTAAAACTTGATGAATGAAATGGTCCTGTGCTTTTCTGCCTAACTCTTTTTTCACCCCACTCTTCATTATTAGGGGGACTTAGGAGCCATTGATGAAAAATACGACGTGGCTATATCATCCTGTTGTCATGCACTGGACTACATTGTTGTTGATTCTATTGATATAGCCCAAGAATGTGTAAACTTCCTTAAAAGACAAAATATTGGAGTTGCAACCTTTATAGGTTTAGATAAGGTGGGTATTCGTAATAACCTACCTATAATTGGAATTTTTTTTTTTTGAGACGTAGTCTCGCTCTGTCACCCAGGCTGGAGTGCAGTGGCATGATCTTGGCTCACTGCAAGCTCCGCCTCCCGGGTTCACACCATTCTCCTGCCTCAGCCTCCCGAGTATCTGGTACTACAGGTGCCCGCCACCACACCCAGCTAATTTTTTTGTATTTTCAGTAGAGAGGGGTTTCACTGTGTTAGCCAGGATGGTCTGGATCTCCTGACCTTGTGATCCGCCCACCTCGGCCTCCCAGAGTGCTGGGATTACAGGCGTGAGCCACCACACCCAGCCCTATAATTGAATTTTTAAGTGCTAAGTGTGTTTTTCTTTTTGGATTCAGGCTTTTTCTTAATGGTTACTCAGTGAACACCTGATGGGTTTTGACGATTATTTTATGTTCTGGGGTTATATGATTATAAAAAATTGTTTGACATTTGCAGTGCCTCCACTAAAGGAATGTACATTCCAGAGTTAAAAGGAAAACCTTTATTGAGATAATTTACCTACAATAAAATTTATCATTTTAGGCCAGGTGCGGTGGCTCATGCCTGTAATCCCAGCACTTTGGGAGGCCAAGGCGGGCGGATCACGAGGTCAGGAGTTTGAGACCAGCCTGGCCAACATGGCGAAATCCCATCTCTACTAAAAATACAAAAATTAGCTAGGCATGGTAGCAGGCGCCTGTAATCTCAGCTACTCGGGAGGCTGAAGCAGGAGAATTGCCTAAACCTGGGAGGTGGAGGTTGCAGTGAACCTAGATTGCGCCACTGCACTCCAGTCTGGGTGACAGAGTGAGACTCAAAAACAACAAACAAAACAATCATTTTAAAGTATGTAATTTGGTGGGTATTAGTATATTCACAGTGTTGTTCACCCATGACCACTATCTAATTCCAAGATATTTTTATCACTCCCAGAAAGAAACCCCATAGACAGTAACAGTCGCTCCCTATACCCCTTCACCCCCTCCGTAACACTAACTACTTTTTTGTTTCTGTAGATTTATCTACATATAAATGGAATCATACAATATATGGCCTTTTTATACAGCTACATTTACTTAGCAGGTTTTCAGGTTCATCTATGTTGTAGCATGTATCAGTACTTCATTCCCTTTTATTGCCAAATGGTATTCTGTTACATCATTTTGTATAACCATTTGTCAGTTGATGGACATTTGTGTTTTCACTTTTTGTGCTTTGGCAATACTTGTGCTACGAACATTTGTGTACAAGTTTTTGAGTGAACATGTATTTTCAGTTCTCTTGGGTATATATATACCTAGGGTAGAACTGCTGGGTCATGTGGTAATTCTATGTTTAACTTTTTGAAGAACTGTCAAGATTGTTTCCACAGTGGCTGTACCATTTCCCACAAGCATGTGTAAGGGTTCCAGTTTCTTTACATCCTCGTTAACACTTGTTATGGTACATCTTTTTGATTATAGTCATCTTAGTGAATATGAAGTGGTATCTCATGGTTTTGATTAGGATTTTCCTGGTGATTTATGATAGTAAAAGTCCTTTCATGTCCTTGGCCATTTGTTATCTTCCTTGGAGAAATGTCTGTTTCAAATCCTTTGCCCATTTTTTAATTGGTTTCTCTTTGTTGAGTTGTAGGATTTCTCTATTCTGAATACAAGTCTCTTGTGAGATATGATTTACAGATATTTTACCCCATTCCTTGGATTGTATTTTCACTTTCTTGATGGTATCCTTTGAGGCACAATTTATCTTTTTTTTCCTTTGGTTGCTTGTGTTTTGGGTATCATACCCAAGAAACCACTGCCTAATCCAAGGTCACAGTGATTTGCCTCCTTTGTTTTCTTCTAAAAGTTCTATAGTTTTGGCTTTATATTTAGGTTTTAATCTATTTTGAGTTAATTTTATCACGTGATATAAAGTAGGGCTCAAACTACTCTTTCCATGTGGCTATCCAGTTATTCCAACACCATTTGTTGAAAAGATTCTTTACCCCATTGAATTTTCTTGGCATCCTTGTTGAAACCACCCAACCATTAATGTAAAGGTTTATTTCTGGGCTTTCAGTTTTATTACTTGTGCTGGTATAGGACACTGTCTTGATTATTGCAGCATTGTAATAAGTTTTAAAATCAGGAAGTCTGAGTCCTCTAATTTTGTTCTTTATCATATTGACTGTTCTGGGTCCCTATAATTTGTATATATGACTTTTAAGATCCAGATGGTCAATTACTGCCACAAAAAAAGGCGAGGAAGTAACTGGGATTTTGATACAGGTTGTATTGAATTTGTAGATCAGTTTAGATAGTATAGGCATCTTAACGGTATTAAATCTTTAGAACCACAAACATGAGATGTCTTCCGTTTAGGTCTAATTTTAGAACCTTTTGTGTATAATTCTTGTTTCTTTTGTTGAATTTATTCCTATGGGTTTTTTTTTGTTTTTTTTTTTGAGTTTTCTTTTTTGTTAACTGTTGTTTTTGTTTGTTTGTTTGTTTACTTTTAGATGGCTGTATGGGCGAAAAAGATGACCGAAATTCAAACTCCTGAAAATACTCCTCGTTTATTTGATTTAGTAAAAGTAAAAGATGAGAAAATTCGCCAAGCTTTTTATTTTGCTTTACGAGATACCTTAGTAGCTGACAACTTGGATCAAGCCACAAGAGTAGCATATCAAAAAGATAGAAGATGGAGAGTGGTAACTTTACAGGGACAAATCATAGAACAGTCAGGTAATAGTGTTTTTGTTTCTTGGTTTGTTTTTTTTTCCCCCCACAGCATTGACTTTATTTAATCTTGTTGGGGAGACATCTGAAGCTGACTTCTCTCCCCTGTTTTCCAGGTACAATGACTGGTGGTGGAAGCAAAGTAATGAAAGGAAGAATGGGTTCCTCACTTGTTATTGAAATCTCTGAAGAAGAGGTCAGCATATCTAAAATTGTATCCAGACTTTTTTTTTTTTTTAAATAGCTTTACCGAGGTATATACTTACTACAAAATTTGGCCATTTTAAGTATGGTGTACTCAAATTTTAATAGATGGCGTTTTCTATAAATGACTAGGGATTTTTTATGTAAAGCCCTTTAAAGTTTTAGAAAACAAAATATTAATCAGAAACTATATGCTCAAAGTACACTTTTTAATTAGTACATTTGGATCATACAGATATTCCATAACTTACATAATTATTTCTGTTTTACATTTAATTTATTGGGGTTTTTTTTGTATTATTGCTGTATTACATAATTTTTTACTTCAAAATAATTCTTTAAAAGTATAGCAAAGACTTGATGCAAATCTCAACTTCAGAGTATTTTAAACTTTTTTCCTCCTCAAAAACATGTTCTGAAATAGCTTGAACACCTTTTCCCAAAGTGTTGTGCTTTGATTTTTTTCCCTCCCGTATTTTGAAAATACAAGTTTATGTCCTTCTGCTTAAGTATTTGAATGCTGTACCTTCATTGAAATAATAGGTGACTGTACAACACTTAGTTACCTTTCCATCTGATTTTCTGATCAAGAAATTACTTGACCATCTCCTGAACTTTAAGATTGGGATTGGAACAGGTGGTTTGATTTTGTTCTGGTCTTTAAGATCAGAAGTTTTAGGCTGGGCGCGGTGGCTCACACCTGTAATCCCAGCACTTTGGGAGTCTGAGGCTGTCAGATCACAAGGTCAGGAGTTCAAGACCAGCCTGGCCAACATAGGGAAACCACGTCTCTACTAAAAACACAAAAATTAGCCGGGCGTGGTGGCACGCACCTGTAACAGTCCCAGCTACTCAGGAGGCTGAGGCAGGAGAATCGCTTGAACCCGGGAGGCGGAGGTTGCAGTGAGCTGAGACCGCGCCATTGCACTCCAGCCTGGGCGACAGAAGTTTTAGTTTTCTTCGTAAGTTGACTTTTCTGTCAATCTGAAATGGCTCTTAGAGAAAACTTTCTTTGTAGGTAAACAAAATGGAATCACAGTTGCAAAACGACTCTAAAAAAGCAATGCAAATCCAAGAACAGAAAGTACAACTTGAAGAAAGAGTAGTTAAGTTACGGCATAGTGAACGAGAAATGAGGAACACACTAGAAAAATTTACTGCAAGCATCCAGGTATGTGTGTGTGTGTGTGTGTGTGTGTGTGTGTACTGAAACTATTGGGATTCAACTGGAATTTATCAGAACCATTTTGCTATTTGCTTACAATTTATTAAATATATAAGGGAGGGAGGATCTATAGGCAGATATAACTCTTGATGATTTTGTTTCACTGAGTACTAATAGATAACGCCCTGTCACAGTGTTGTTCCAACCACAGCTATTCCTGTTTTCCGTTTGTACTCCATAGAAACATTACTTTCCTTAACAACTATATGACCCTTTATTTTTATTCTCTTTTCAAAGTGGAATTTTTTTTAATTATGAAAAAGCAATGCACGCCCACTGTTTTTTTAATAAGTTTCCAGAAAATACCCAAATGATCACCTTCATTTTGACGTATGTTCTTTCAACTTTTCTAATACCTAGTTTGCATGTAATGTATTTATATATGTGGTAGATATGTGTAGATATATAAAGTGTGCATATGGTTTTTTTAATGTCATACTAGCTTTTCTTAAATTATGGTTTTCTTTCCAAGGCAGTATAAATGTACTTTGTTTTTAATTGCTTTAGAGCATTTTGTTTATAACATAATTTGACAAATTTTTTTTGTATTATGTACATGGCTATGTTTAAAAAAATCCTTGTAGGTATACCTTGATTCAGTTATTTCCTTAGATTTCAAAAATTACAAGTATTACACCATATGTGTACAATGTTTAAGGCATTTGTTGCATAATGCCAGATTGTTTTCAAAAGTTATAATTCATGCACTACTAACAGCATATTCAAATAATTATTTTTCCAAGTCTTTGAACACTAGGGTGGTCTACATAAGTTTGCTACCTTGTAAACAGAAATGTGGCATTTTAACGTGTCTTTATAATGAGCTTACATATTTTGTGTTTGTTGGCCATTTTCATTTTTTATATCAATGGCACATATCTTTCCTCTTCCTATTAGTGTGTGTCTTTTTCTTGAAGATTTTAAGTGCCCTTTTTAAAAATTCACAATGTTTAAAGCAAATGTTAAAATATTGACCTTAAATGTTAAAACTTTTTTGTAGCGTTTAATAGAGCAAGAAGAATATTTGAATGTCCAAGTTAAGGAACTTGAAGCTAATGTACTTGCTACAGCCCCTGACAAAAAAAAGCAGAAATTGCTAGAAGAAAACGTTAGTGCTTTCAAAACAGGTATGTTTAGAGATAGACCTTTTTTGGGGGGAAAAAAAAAACAGGTTTTTAAAGCTTGCAATATTTAAGAAGCAGTAGAATAATAATAGAAGCTAAGTATATGCAAGTCATTGCACTATTTTATGGTGTTTGTTATAAAGTAAGTGTTATTAATAGTCTCATTTGACAAATAAGGAAACTGAGGCATTTGCCTAAGGTCACACAGCACGTGGTGGTATAGGAATAGGTGATTTTTGAGTCCATGCTTTTAATGTCATACTTTGTATACTTTGGCCCTAATCTTTCCAAAACCCCTTCAAGATAGTGGTTATAGATTTAGAAAAATTATATCACTCAGATAACACAGGGAATAAGTGGTATGCAATCAAAGAAAAACAATGTGTACTTGAAAACTTAAAATATATATATATGTATTTTTTTTCTTTCATAACTTCTTCTTGTGCAGTTATAGACATGTAAATGTTCTACCAAAATAGAATCTTTAGGCAGGAAAAGGAATTCACAGGCAGAATTGGCTCTGTAGCCTTAATTGAAATCCCCTGATCATGCACTTGAGCAGCTGTGCTTGTCTTTCCATGTTGGCTTCAATCAAACATAGATGTGCATCTTAATGGGAGAAGGGATAGTGGATTATGCCACAGTCCCCTTCCAGGTTTACAGAATCTTAGCTAGTGACTCCAGCAAACACAGCAAGGTTCATTTTATTCTTAAGACAGATCCCTGTTACAGTTTGCTTTGTGAGCCAAGGAAGACAAATACTGATTAACCATCCCAAAGAACTAATGAGAGTGGAGTTGGAGCGATTATCCAACTGCTCCAAAAATGTGGGGATTTTCTTCCAAAAGAAAAAGATTTTTAAATGTTGACACATTTCCACAATGCATATCAAATGTGCATTTATATTAATTTGTGTCTGTGTTTATCTGCATTTCTAATATTCAGGCACTCAAATAGTATCTGCTACTGGCCAGGCTTTGTTTTAGGTCCTACTGATAGAGCAGTAAACAAAAATAAAGTCTCTTCCCAGGGAGCACACATGTAAGATGGCACATATTTGAGTGGAGGCCCAAAGAAAGTATGAGTGCTAACCCATGTATGTTTGAGAAAAAAGCATTCCAAGAAGAGTATAAAGGAGCAAATACAAAGGCTGAAGCAGGAGTATGCTGGGAACACAAACCATTGTGGCTGGAATAAAGGACGGAAGAACCCAGATTCTCTGAGGCCTTCACCCACACTCCCCTTTCCCTGCAAGCACCCACAACAATGGCTTTGATGGTACCTGATGGTCAATTGAGAAGCCAAAATGTATATCTGTGCTATTAATGGCAACATTTTCATGGAGAGACTGCAAGAGTCTATATGTGTTTCATCCTTATTTGAAAAGGAATCCTTGACTTTGTTAGGAGCTCTATATATCTCCTCTCATAGAAATGCCATATATTATCAGGAGACTGTTAATATCTCATGTGGAGGACCCATTTGTGCAAGCATATCTTTAAAATTAAATATTTTCAACTATTGAACATATTCATATTTTTAAATAAAGGCTACAGTAAACCATTATATCGAAATCTGTGCAAACATTTTATATTTAAGATAAATTGGGCTGCGCATGGTGGCTCACACCTGTAATCCCAGCACTTGGGAAGGCCAAGGCAGGCAGATCACTTGAGATCAGGAGTTTGAGACCAGCCTGGCCAACATGGTGAAACCCCATCTCTTTGAAAAATACACACGCACGCACACACACAAACACACACACACGCCGGGTGTGGTGGCACATGCTTATAATCCCAGCTACATGGTAAGCTGAACCACGAGAATGGCTTGAACCTGGGAGGTGGATGGAGGTTGCAGTGAGCTGCGATGGCGCCACTGCACTCCATCCTGGGCCATAGAGCTGGAGAACCTCTAACTTCGTTACAGAAAATCCAGACTTCTGTGTGACTGCTTGCCAGAAGAAACATGTCCAATTTGTTTATGCCTTCCAAATTATGCAAGTACTTTTGATTGAATTGACCTAAATTATGTCTAAACCCTAGCCACAGAGGAATCTGGGAAATGTTAACTTTTACTCTTCGTTGTCACAGGAAGGAACGCTAATTCATCTTATATCCTCCACTTTGTTTTAATGTGGAGAACTGCGAAGTTATGTTAGCAGAAGAAAATAACCACAATTTCTTCATTGTGGGCAAGTTAATATTGAGTTAGGCACATAGTGTATCTAAGGCTAAAAATCATTATGAACTCAGTAGTCAAGGAAGTGCCCTAAGAAAAAGTTGTAAAGATATTTTAAAAGAAGCTGAGAACATGAAGCCATTAAGAAATGGTGTGTTTACAGCCGAGCTAGTGTGTTTAACTTTGTGCATTGTTGTAACACCATTTGTTTTGATACAGGATATCGTTTTTTTTTTTAAGGTGCTTTTTCCCATATGCCTAAAATTTGTTTTAATGCATCACGTCAAGTCATAGCAACTGAAGAAATGTACATCTAACAAATGATGTTCATTAGCATAAAAACACAAATTAGGTTCTTTATTTTTTAATTTCAGAATATGATGCTGTGGCTGAGAAAGCTGGTAAAGTAGAAGCTGAGGTTAAACGCTTACACAATACCATCGTAGAAATCAATAATCATAAACTCAAGGCCCAACAAGACAAACTTGATAAAATAAATAAGCAATTAGATGAATGTGCTTCTGCTATTACTAAAGCCCAAGTAGCAATCAAGACTGCTGACAGGTAGAGTATGCATGTTACCCTAACTTGTTTTCCCTTTCCCTGCCTTCACATTGGAAAGGGGGTTACTATGTAATGTTCCATAAAATGTTTCTCTTACTGTTAATTTATTGAACCTGTCTGACACATTACCTAATGGGACTTCCATGACGGAAAACCTATAATGAACATTTATCCTATGGCCAATTAAAAAGGCTGGTAAACAGGTATGCCATAGGAAAGTACAGGTAGACTGTAACTCCCCAGTTGCTGTGAGGGCATAGAAATCAGTTTTGTTTCTCTGGTCTCGGGGAGGGAGTAGTTGGTCCTTAATTTAAATAGATACAGGCCTTAAAAGAATAAGTAAAAGAGGTAAAAATGGGATCACTTAGCAAAATTAATTCTCTTGGTAACTTACATTTTAGTTTTTATTTTTATTTTTTGATACAGAGTCTTGCTGTGTTGCCCAGGTTGGAGTGCAGTGGCACAGTCAGGGCTCACTGCAGCCTCAATCTCCCAGGCTCAGGCAGTCCTCCCACCTCAACCTCCCAAGTAGCTGGGACTACAGGAATGCACTACAACACCTGGCTAATTTTTGTATTTTTTTTGTAGAGACCAGAGTTTTGCCATGTTTCCCAGGCAGGTCTTGAACTCCTGGGCTGAAGCAGTCCTCTTGCCTTGGCCTCCCAAAAGACTGAGATTACAGGCATGAGCCACTGCACCCAGCCACCTTAAAATTTTAAATACCTAGAAGATTTCATTGTCCTTAAAAAAAAAGATTTATCTACTTAGGTTTTTTTTTTTTTTTTTTTCTTTTTGAGACAGTCTCGCTCTGCCATCCAGGCTGGAGTACAGTGGCGCGATCTCGGCTCACTGCAGCCTCCGCCTCCCAGGTTCAAGTGATTCTCCTGTCTCAGCCTCCCAAGTAGCTGGGATTACAGGCACACGCTACCAGGCCCTGCTAATTTTTGTATTTTTAGTAGAGACAGGGTTTCACCATGTTGGTCAGGCTGGTCTTGAACTCCTGACGTCATGGTCCCCCTGCCTCAGCCTCCCAAAGTGCTGGGATTACAGGCATGAGCCACCGCACCCGGCCTTAATTTTTTTAGAGTATTTATTGAAGTGTGTCTGAAATAAAGTTAGGTATGTATATAAAATATTGAAATTTAAATAGCCATTTCTTTTTTTAGAAAAAATTTTAACAAATTGATTGCATATTGATTATCTGGTTAAATTAATCCAGAGTGTTTTGCTCAGAGATAAGGAGGTAATAAGGGAGAAGTAGTGTCTTGCTTTTTTGGAAGTACTTGTTGCCTTGTCTTGAA
This sequence comes from Homo sapiens, assembly GCF_000001405.40. NCBI lineage: Eukaryota > Metazoa > Chordata > Mammalia > Primates > Hominidae > Homo > Homo sapiens. The sequence continues at coordinate 160,430,244 of NC_000003.12, forward strand.
TTGGGAAGTATTTGAAGGTACAACTTTATGGGTGTAGAGATTTAACAATCTCTGACGAGAAAATGACAAAAGAATTTGATAATCTAATGGACAGTGTTGCATCAGTCTAAAGTTGAATGATACAAGCAGCTTATATAAGAAAGGCATTTATAATTAAAAATATACAACTCATCCCATAAGTGTTTGTATAAACCTACAAAAACTGATTTAAGGATGGTTTAGTAAATCATAAACTTAAAAATATATGAATAGAAAAAATGTCACATTAAATTTCATGAAAAGTTCTTTAGTAGGTTTTCAGAAACAATAACAAATCACCTTACCACATTTTTGATGCATCATTTTGCTTCTTTAGAAACCTTCAAAAGGCACAAGACTCTGTCTTGCGTACAGAGAAAGAAATAAAAGATACTGAGAAAGAGGTGGATGACCTAACAGCAGAGCTGAAAAGTCTTGAGGACAAAGCAGCAGAGGTCGTAAAGAATACAAATGCTGCAGAGGTATGAGTTGCTTTGTATTGAAGAGGAGATGGGATGATACTGGAACCAATTTAAAGAGCTGGATATATGACAGTGCCTAGAATGTAGTAAGCACTCATAGACTTAAAGTTTTATAACTATCAATTTTTATTTGTACAATAAGAATACTATAATTTGTGAATTTAAATGCTTAAATTATTTTAAAATGGAAGGGGCATGAGGAGAGATTGGTAATTCCTTCATCTCTGTAATGTGAAAATGATGGCTCTATTTGGAAAATTCTATCTAGCAGTTCTTTTCGGTGTTTAGGAATCCTTACCAGAGATCCAGAAAGAACATCGCAATCTGCTTCAAGAATTAAAAGTTATTCAAGAAAATGAACATGCTCTTCAAAAAGATGCACTTAGTATTAAGTTGAAACTTGAACAAATAGATGGTCACATTGCTGAACATAATTCTAAAATAAAATATTGGCACAAAGAGGTGAGATTGTTACCGTTTAGTTTAATTTTAAACATATTCTTTATGAAAAAGGAGGGTTTGGGGAGGATTGTTTTAGGGGGTTGGGGTTCTTAAATTTTGTTTGTGAGCTACATTGTGATTTTTAATTCTGTGATCACTTCTAAGGTTTATAGGGGACATAACAATATAAATTGTTATATACAGAAAAGTCTGAGTAACGATTAGAATTAGACAACTACCCTTTCACCCTAGGGCTGATCTGGACATTTAAGAAAAGATTACATGGACACTTTTGAGTGTTACAACTATTTTTCTTGAAGTCCTTTGAAAAATAATTGATAAATCAGTCACAACTCCTGTTGTTTTCATAGCTGTGTAATTTGTCATATTTTTTTTTAAACAATGAATTGTATGTAATATTATGCCTTCTCTAACTCTCCCCTAAATTGAACTTTTAGATTTCAAAAATATCACTGCATCCTATAGAAGATAATCCTATTGAAGAGATTTCGGTTCTAAGCCCAGAGGATCTTGAAGCGATCAAGAATCCAGATTCTATAACAAATCAAATTGCACTTTTGGAAGCCCGGTGTCATGAAATGAAACCAAACCTCGGTGCCATCGCAGAGTATAAAAAGAAGGTATGAATGAACTGTGTATGTATACTAGTTGGAGTTCTTTTTAGTCCTTAGCCTAAATTCTGATCTTTAGTTTTGTATAATTAACAATGCTGTTGGCCGGGCGTGGTGGCTCACGCCTGTAATCCCAGCACTTTGGGAGGCCAAAGGCGGGTGGATCACAAGGTCAGGAGTTCGAGACCAGCTGGGCCAACATAGTGAAACCTCATCTCTATTAAAGATACAAAAAATTAGCCAGGCGTTGTGGCACGTGCCTGTAATCCCGGGTACTCGGGAGGCTGAGGCAGGAGAATCGCTTGAACCTGGGAGGTGGAGGTTGCCGTGAGCCGAGATCGCGCCATTGCACTCCAGCCTGGGCGTCAGGGCAAGACTACGTCTCAAAACAAAGTAATAATTAACAATGCTAATTATCATATCAAATTTATCTGAATAGATTTTCCCTATCATAATCTTTTCACAGGAAGAATTGTATTTGCAACGGGTAGCAGAATTGGACAAAATTACTTATGAAAGAGACAGTTTTAGACAGGCATATGAAGATCTTCGGAAACAAAGGCTTAATGAATTTATGGCAGGTTTTTATATAATAACAAATAAATTAAAGGAAAATTACCAAATGCTTACTTTGGGAGGGGACGCCGAACTCGAGCTTGTAGACAGCTTGGATCCTTTCTCTGAAGGAATCATGTTCAGGTGTGTAATTATGCTGAGTTTATAATCCCACTGTTACCTTTTTCTACATATTCTCCAAACTCAGTATTTCTTGGAGGTAGGATGTGAAGGCAAGATGTACAACTTGTTTCATTTACTAGTAAATACTAATTTGCTTGCATGCTATTTATGCTTGCAGTTTACAGGGGCAGACAGCCAGTATTTACAAAATATTTGTCTAGTTCATCTTTTCTTAAATTTTCAAGGCATTTTTAACATGAGGATTGAGAAATTGTATTTGATAAGGAGAAAGAATAGCAAGAAGTATAATACTTAGCTTGCTCTTTAAATCTTAAAACTTTGGTATGTGCTCCTATGTATGCATCCTCCAATAACGTTTTTATAAAATAACAGAAAAGAGAATTCATATTTGTGAAAAGCAAGTTACAGATTCCTAAAAAAGATAGTAGAACTCAATTATGGAAAGCAAATCACAAAGTCTTAACTTTAGCTTTACAGGTAATTTGACTATGATTTTCTTAATCATTTCAGTGTTCGACCACCTAAGAAAAGTTGGAAAAAGATCTTCAACCTTTCGGGAGGAGAGAAAACACTTAGTTCATTGGCTTTAGTATTTGCTCTTCACCACTACAAGCCCACTCCCCTTTACTTCATGGATGAGATTGATGCAGCCCTTGATTTTAAAAATGTGTCCATTGTTGCATTTTATATATATGTAAGTAATCATTTTGGGATTTTCATTCCAGAAACTTTTAGGGGTATCCTAAACATTACACATGGAATTCTTTATTTCTTACAATTGAGCTTTTTCTTTATTGTCTAATAACTCCATCTCCATCTCCTCTGGTATCAGTGGAGACCAAATTATTTTTTATTTGAACCAAATATTTCCATTTTGGAGGAGTAAAATATAAATTAAAAATGCAAATTAGTAGCAGAATCACAGCTAGAATCCTAGGTCATCTTCCTAGATCTTTTCCACTAGAAGTCAAAATAACCAAATTCCTTTCACACTCAAATACTGTTTTATGAATTATTCCTGCCATCATTCCTTTACATGTTATCAATGTAATGTTTATTGTCCAAAAAATATTTGAGGTTACATGTTTGTGTGATTTACCTGTTATTACTTAATGTTTGACTTTTCTTTGTTTCTCTTTAGGAACAAACAAAAAATGCACAGTTCATAATAATTTCTCTTCGAAATAATATGTTTGAGATTTCGGATAGACTTATTGGAATTTACAAGACATACAACATAACAAAAAGTGTTGCTGTAAATCCAAAAGAAATTGCATCTAAGGGACTTTGTTGAACTTTATGCTGAAGATTCTTCAAGTTGATTCAGTGTATTACTGATTTTTTTCTATTTGTAAAGGATTATGAGTTGTATAAAATACATACTCCCTAAACTAGATCATGAAACTGGTTTCTGTTTTATGCAGTTGTCATTTGTAAAGTCTAATAAAATATTCTCTATAATTGCTTCTAGATTACAAAAATATGACAATCTTGTAAGTAGCAGACTATGGAGAAAAATGAGTTACCTGGAGGGTCAGGTAACTTGCCAAACTAAAAAGTATGTTAGTTGAGGCAAAGTCCTAAGCAAGGTTGTGCTATCAAGGCTCAGCATACCTTCGTGGGCCTTTGATTTACCAACACTGGAAATGCCTGCCAACTAATCTTGGATAGATTCTTTAAGGCATTCCACTTAGCTTGCCAGTTGAGACAATCACCACAGTTATTACCCAAATACTATGAACATATTTTTGTAAACCAGTCATTCTGAATTATAGTGATGAGAATTTAAATATATGCTTTTCTAGAATTTGATGTTTGACCATTTATGACTTAATTACCAGAGAGCCAGTAAATTAGGACAGTGTTTCAACAAGCCTAGGCTATCTCGTAAGTTGAAAAATATCCCACTATAGTTGCTTCATGAGTATGAAGTAAGATGGCCTCTGATTTACACTGGTTCAATTTACAAATTTTCAACTTTATGATAGGTTTATCCGGGTACTAAATGCATTTCAACTTGATAGTTTCAACTTATGATAGGTTTACCAGGATGTAGTCCCACTGTTGAGGAGCATCTATTTAGGGGTTAATTACTTTAGTAATAAGTGGAAAGTAAGATACCTTGAGTAATGTTTGCCTATAAAATTGTCAGCGTATTTTTACACTATTGGCTCAAGAATGTTATAATGCTAAGGGACATAAGTTGGCAACCACTTGGTTTTTGGAAGGACTTTCGGTATTGTATTAGAAGTCTGCCCTAGCTGTTAAATTTCTGGGTATTTATCCTAAGGAATTAATTAAAGAGTTAATTGTTCCTTTCTTCAGTGGGCCATTGTTTTAGATATTTAAAAAATCCAACAGTTTCTATCATAATGTAACTGTAAAAATGTAAACACATTATTAGCATGGACTTTTAAATAAAGATTTAAAGAAAGCAAGATCGGAAATTCAAGTACGGTAATTTGTTCTAAATCAAGAATATATAAGGGAAAAGTAAGTTTAAAGTGCTATAATGATAATCAAGTGTTTTCATTTGGTGCGAAAATAGAATTTAATACTTTTATTATATTTTAATAACCAATGCAGTAGAGCTCAGATTTTTTTTTTTTTTTTGAAAGTCTCACTGCATCACCCAGGGTGGAGTGCTGTGGCAAGATCTTGGCTCACTGCAACCCTGCCTCACGGGTTCAAGCGATTCAAGTGCCTCAGCCACATGAGTAGCTGGGACTACAGGTGCACACCACAGTGCCCAGCTAATTTTTGTGTTTTTGGTAGACAGGGTTTTGCCATGTTGGCCAAGCTGGTCTCAAACTCCTGGCCTCAAGTGATCTGCCTGCCTCAGCCTCCCAAAGTGCTGGACTATAGGCATGAGCCACTGCACCCAGCCTGCAGTACTAAGTTTCAAAGAATTAGAAGTACCCAGAACCCATGTGAAAATCCCATAGCTACCACTCCTGAGTATGGAAGTCTCATTAAGACAGTGCAAATAAAATATCAAAAGAAGTTTATTAAAATACATATTTTGTTATACATAAAACTTAGAAATATTTCAAGATTTACATACATCAACTTTTGCAATCTTCCTGCTGGTAAAAATACAAAACAGCAGCATAAGAACCAGTTACTCATATACTCAACTATATTCATGCATACTTAACAAAATGAAAAGTTCTCCTAAAAACTGGCAAGATACAAAATGTCAAATCTAAAATGATATATATACTTACGTTTTTAGCATTCTTACAGATTACAAACCCTTACCAACATTAATCTTGGCCTACTTTAAAGTTGAGTGATAGCATGAACTCTGAAAAGAGAATGCATGGGTTTTCTCACAGCTATATGGCCTTGGACAAGTCACTTGTCAGTTCCCTCATCTACAAAAAGGGGGTTAAAAATATTCACATCACAGAAATGAGATTAAGTAGTTTAACACATAATGGCTAACATTTCATTGCTTACGTGTTTTTGAAACTACAGGGCACTTTTATGGTGTGACTAGTATTTTAAGTAATCAGTGCAACTTAGTATTTTTATCTCTAGCTGAGTATGTGTCTCTCCTTACCTCTACTATGCCCTTTAAATGTTCTTTGCCCACACAATAGTTAATTGTGCTAGGTATAAGTCTGATTCTAATAATAAATTGATATAATACAGTCATCTTAGTGTTAAGACTTATTCTCAGCAGGTAAGAGTTTTAGAACTAGTTCCCTGAAAAAGCTGTATTTATGATAGTTTATGTGCAATCTGTAGGGCCAGGAGCATAGTCTAATCTGACCCAGAATGTCTTTTTGATTTGATATAGGTAAGGCTCTTCGGTGATCCAAGAGCAGCCCCTTTGGGATTTCTGGAAAGCAAATCAACCTGCACTTAGAGTTGCATGGACAGTGGGCCAAAAGTCGTAACACATGCATCATAACTCCAGTCCCTGTTAAAGGGAACTAAAGGGCTTTGATTTAATTGGCCCTCTTAAGCAAAGCTAATAAAAGATTAAGTTGTTGGGCCGGGCGTGGCGGCTCACGCCTATAATCCCAGCATTTTGGGAGGCTGAGGCGAGTGGATCATGAGGTCAGGAGATAGAGACCATCCTGGCTAACACAGTGAAACCCCATCTCTACTAAAAATACAGAAAATTAGCTGGGCGTGGTAGCAGATGCCTGTAGTCCCAGCTACTCGGGAGGCTGAGGCAGGAGAATGGTGTGAACCCGGGAGGCGGGGCTTGCAATGAGCCGAGATCACGCCACTGCACTCCAGCCTGGGCGACAGAGCAAGACTCCGTCTCAAAAAAAAAAAAAAAAAAAAAAAAAAAAGATTAAGTTGTTGGTACTTTTGCATTAGCTTAAGGGAATGTGGTAGAAAATTTAAATGAGTTAAGATGAATAAAGTCCACATGATGCCATCAAAACCTGTTGCAGACCAAGTTACCAACATGATTCTGTTCTAATAAGAATGAGTTTTTAATCCAAGAACTGATTTGACTGACGAGCAGAAAAAAAAACAATCTTAAATTTGCACAAACTATAGAATATGACAAGTATTAGAAAATGCTGGCCCCCAGGCACAGTGTGGCTAACGTCTGTAATCCCAGCACTTTGGGAGGCCAAGGTGGGCAGATCTCTTGAGCCCAGAAGTTTGAGACCAACCTGGGCAATATGGCAAAACCTCGTTTCTACAAAAAACAATTTTTTTAATTAGCCAGGCATGGGGGTGTGTGCCTTGTCCCAGCTGCTCCAGAGGCAGAGGCGGGAGGATCGATTGAGCCTGGGTGGTCGAAACTGCAGTGAGTCATGACCAGACAACTACACTCCAGCCTGGGCAACAAGGTGAGACCCAGTCTCAAAAATTTCTTTTAAAAAGCCACTTTACTCTAACAGTTATCCAAAAGCAATAGTTTTATTTGGAGTGAATGGTGATAAGCATTTAGGGCTCTTAAATCTATCTCAAACACAGGTATGTTTGATCAAAAGATCTTTAAGCCATGCCTTATCACTTTAAGACTTTGTTGCTTGATTTTGAAACCTTTCTATCATCCTTATTCACCCATTCAAAAGCTTCAAGCCACATCAAAATAAAGGTATATGTTCTTTCAGGATTTTGCTATATATATAAAGAACTGTAAAGCCAATTAACTGCAGTATATAATAATGGTAAAAGACAATATTGGTACAAGAATGTTTAAATGTCACAGCAACATTATGTCAACCATCATAAAGCCAATAAAAATGGGATAGTGTATTACTTTTCAAATTGTTACTAGATTCTGTTTCCCAAAGATTTGACTATTTCAGATATAACTTTGACATATCATTGCTAACCAAAAGAAGCAACAAATATAAACATTTGTTTATATTAGTTGCAGCACTAATAAAGCTTAGTTTGCTCTTTATCCATGCTACCCCATTTTTTGTTTAGCAATGTACAGAATAAGCCCATTTAAACAATTCAGGTTGACATTTTCAATGGGAAACTATTTTCCACACAAATTCCTTCAACAAATAGAAAATGTGACACAGTATATTCTTTACCTTATGCAGACTGTTAGATAAACTTTGGTAAACAGATAGAGAGGCTTCAGAAAACCATATTAAAGTGATTTCACTTAAAAAGGTTATGATGTGTTGGTTGAAAAAGAGTATCGACATCAGTATTACTGAAATTAATGTAACTACAACAATGTTTAAAATTTTTAAAAATTCAACTTCCTTTTCATCCTTACCAGGCCAGGAACATGACATCCTTTTTGGAGAAATTTTCATTTTGGGAATGAGAACGTTCTTAATTTGTCCAATTTCTGTTCTGCTCCATTCTTCTTTCAATATTTTGCTTACTCGAGGATAAATTTCAACGGGTTGAACCTCAGGAAGTGGTCTTTGTTTCAAGATCTGTACATGCTGGCGTACATCATCAACTTTTTCAAGAAATTTAAGTGGAGACTCTTCTTGTAAAGATATTGTCAGTGCCATTAATTCAAGCTGCTGCTCTCGTATTTCCTTCATTCTTTCAATTTGTGGAGTATATTCTTGATTAATTAGATTGCCAACATCACAGAGAGCCGTTAGGAAACTTTTTTTTTTCTGTTCTAATGTATCATTAAGCTCCTTAAAATACTGGAGAACAGCTTCCTTATCGCCTTGGATCATTTTCTCAGAATGAGATTTTTGTTCTTTCAGCTTTTCAATAAGATGGGTAAGATCTGTCCAGTGTGTGTCAGTCAACTGTTCAAGCAGTTTTTGAGGAGTGTCCTTTTCTTTCAAATAGGCACTTTGAAGGTCATCTATAGGATGACCATGATGTTGACCTATGGTAAGGCAATGACCACAAACTAATTTTTTATCTAATAGACAGTAAACATTTAATGGTTGCCTGTAATGTTCAGGGCAGGTGACAATATCTGGATGGTCTTCTTGCTGGTACTTTTCAATAATAGCCCTTAGTGCAAAATTAACAGGTAAAGATTCAATGCCAGTTGGAGCAATTTCAGTAATACTTCTGCAATTAGGGCACTTGAGTGGAATTCGTAAAGGTCTCCATATATAAAAGTTACCAGATGCCTGAAGAATGTTTTCCAAACAATTTCTACAAAATGTATGAGAGCATGGCAGTACACGAGGATCTTCAAAAATACTATAACATATGGGACAAGTTAACTCTTCCTCAAAATTGTGCATTTCCTGTCAAGAGAAAAATGTATTTTAAGTTTACATAGAGACACCTGTACATATTATTTAACATTCTAGGCATTAACCTCCAAATTGTTACCATACTGCTTGTCATTTAAAAGAGAACAAGGTATTTTTAAAATGAAGTTTTCTGAGTAATTCATTTCCTAGTATATATAGTGAATAACTGATCACAATTAAGAGTTTATTCCTTAGGGACCAAAATCATCCCAAACAAAGCAATTATCATTAATTTGTAGTAAAATGCTTCAAATTTAAGTTATTTAAATTTGTTGCTATGTGATATGGTTTGGCTGTGTCTCCACCCAAATCTCATCTTGAATTGTAGCTCCCATAATTCCCACATGTTGTGGGAGGGACTCAGCGGTAGATAACTTTAGTCATGGGGGCAGTTCCCCCATACTGTTCTTGTAGTATCACGAGATCTGATGGTTTTGTAAGAGGAAACCCCTTTTGCTTCACTCATTCTCTTTTCTTGTCTGCCGCCATGTGAGACGTGCCTTTCACCTTCTGCCATGATTGTGAGGTCTCCCCAGCCATGTGGAACTGTGAGTCCATTAAACCTCTTTTTCCTTATAAATTACCCAGTCTCAGGTATGTCTTTATCAGCAGCATGAAAACAGACTAATACACTACATAATAAAGACTAAAATTCAAAGTGTTCTGTTAAAGTCTACTTAGTGATTACAACTATTTTGTGCAACATTTTAACATTTAAGATGATAAAATCAAAACCAAGCACATATAATGAGTAGACAAGACTATTTCTATTACAACAAGTTAGGCTTAGCAAAAGTATATTCTTTAACACAAAAGGAGGAAACATGTCCCAGTTGGCTCAATAATGGTTTCTAAAGCAAGCTATCAAATTTCTCCACAGTAACTGTTACTACCATAAATTTTTTAGCTTCTCAAATTAGAATACAAGAACGCTTAAACCCCAGGATCAGCATAGTATAATTCTCTAAAGCAATAATTTTAACTTGCAGATTTAGAAGACAGAAAAATTTTGAATTAATTCTTATAATAAAAATCAGTTTGAAAGATAAGAGTTGACTATAGTAACTGTGAATTAATTTTTAAGTGAAAAACTAGAGCACTAAATGGTAAAGAACAAAAAGAAGACCATTAGTCATCTTTCCTTCATGAAAGTCTCTCGATCCGTATTTCTCTGAGACAGAAAAAGAAACGTAGCGATAGTTCAGAGACCATCTCTGACACAAGTAACTTGACCTCTTGGCAAGCTACTACTGATATTTCCAGTAACAGAAGCCTGACCATTTTGCACCCTACCACCTCCTACTGCTTTCCTTTATACCTACCCTCAATGCATCAGCCACAATTCTAAAGACTAGCTTACCCCTTGATAGAGAAAAATCAAGTTATACCACTGTTGAAAGTACCTTAGGCAAAACTTAAAAACCCAAGTGCCATGGCCAGGCGCAGTGGTTCACGCATATAATCCCAGCACTTTGGGAGGCCGAGGCGGGCGGATCACCTGAGGTTGGGAGTTTGAGACCAGCCTGACCAACATGGAGAAACTCCATCTCTACTAAAAATACAAAATTAGCCCAGTGTGGTGTCAAATGCGTGTAATCCCAGCTACTTGGGAGGCTGAGACAGGAGAATTGCTTGAACTCAGTAGGTGGCGGTTGCAGTGAGCCAAGATTACACCACCGCACTCATCTGGACAACAAGAGCGAAACTCCGTCTCAAAAAAAATAAACACCCAAGTGCCATTCACGTAAAATATAAAGGTTACCAAATCACATGCTATAAAACTAACTTTTAAGATTAAAAATCTGTGAAAACAGCAACTAAAAGTAACTAACTGCATTTTTAATAAAATGCAAACTTGGCTCCTTATCTTTACGATCTGTCAAACTCTTAACTCTTCCTTCAAGGCTCAACTTGAGCCTGCCTTTTCCCCAGATTAGGTCCCCTGTTATTCTCATTAAACACTGCATTTTTACTTCATAGCACTTTAACAAGATTTTATTTAAGAATTTTGTAACTTTTCTGTATACATTAGAATGTAGGCCTCCTATAAGGGCAGGAATTGTGTCTAAACAATGGTTATATTCCTGCAATTTAGGCACAAATTTTAACACTGCAGGCATTCACTTGTTACTGCTTCAATGAACAAATGCCTTTTCAGAGACCTGTGTTAATACAGATTTTTGTTTTGGGGTTTTTTGTTTTTTGTTTTTTTAATAGCAAAATCTCTGCTTAGGAAAAGGTGTAAAACGAAAATCTATCAGAAAATACTCCATTCAGGCCAGGTGCGGGGGCTCACGCCTGTAATCTCCGCACTTTGGGAGGCCGAGGTGGGTGAATCATGAGGTCAGGTGATTGAGACCATCCTGCCTAACAGGGTGAAACCCCGTCTCTACTAAAAATACAAAAAAATTAGCCAGGTGTGGTGGTGGGCGCCTGTAGTCCCAGCCACTTGGGAGGCTAAGGCAGGAGAATGGCGTCAACCCGGGAGGCAGAGCTTGCAGTGAGCCAAGTTCACACCACTGCACACCAGCCTGGGCAACAGAGTGAGACTCCATCTCAAAAAAAAAAAAAAAAAAAGAAAAAAGAAAAAAAGCACTCCATTCAAACTGACAATATTCAGATCCCGAATGAGCCAAAGTGTGTCACACAGAGACTAAGCTTGAACTGTAGAGCATTCCAGCAAATTAAAGTAATTGAGCAACAGTAAAGAAGATGACATTCACTGCAGATAAATTCAAGTGAGTGCATGCTGGCAAGACTTTACAACTTTACCCTACACCTACAGAAAGCTATGAAGTCATACAGAAACCACCCAAGAAAAACAAATGTGTTTTTCAGAGTATTTCAGTGATGTCAGAATTCACATTGAAGGAATAAACAGAATAACACTTTGTAGGAAATAAAATTTGAGCAGTCGACGTACATTTAATCTAGATTTAATATTACTGGAGCTATTCAATTGTTTAAGTAGCAAAACTAGTCCTAAAACAGAATCTAACTTTTCTATCCAAACCCCTATTCTATGCTTGCAGAAAACTAGGGAACAACTCTGAGAATGCACTTAGGGGCCCAAAAGCTCAACTTTCTTTAGAATGAGAATATTCATGACATTGTAAAGCATATCCTAAGCTTATATAAAATGGAAGCAGGCCAAAGCAGGTGGATCACTTGAGGCAAGGAGTTTGAGACCAGCCTGGCCAACATGGTGAAACCCTGTATCTACTAAAAATACAAAAATTAGCCAGGCATGGTGGCGCACACCTGTAATCCCTATAATCCCAGCTACTCGGGAAGCTGAGGCATGAAATGGCGCAACTGCACTCCAGCCAGGGCAACAGAGCAAGACTCTGTCTCAAAAAAAGGAAAAAAAAAAAATAGGAAGCAAAAATCGTGGTTGGTCTCAAAGTTACTGCTATCATATGTAAAATTTTTAATAATACTTTTTAGACAAAAATTTGTGGATAACTTGAAGTTCACAGAAGTCAAAATCTATTCTCAGACTACCCTTTTCTCACTGATTTATTGATTAAAAACTAATTTTAGGCAACAAATTCAAGAGAAACTAGAACTGAAAAATAACTTTGTAAGGTCAGGAACTTTCTGACTCTGGTTGCTGCCTGAGAAGTAAACTATATAGGTGGGCCAGGTGCAGTGGTTCACACCTGTAATTCCAGCACTTTGGGAGGCCAAGGTGGGAAGATCACTTGAAGCCAGGAGTTCAAGACCAACCTGGGCAACACCAAGAGACCCCCATTCTCTACAAAAAATTAAACATTAGTCAGGCACAGTGATACACGCCTATAATCCCAGCTACGCGGGGAGCTGAGGCAGGAGGATCACTTGAGCCCAAGAAGTTGAGGCTGCAGTGAGCCACGACTGTGCCACTGCACTCCAGCCTAGGCAACAGAGCAAGACCCTGCCTTTTTTAGAAAAAAAAAAGATACAGGTGGCTACCATGCTTACAGGCTAGTTCTTTCAGAAACCAATATGAAATTTTATGCAGCAGAAATTTTCCACAACCAGTCTAGGCTTCTGAAAGGAAGAAAAAGAACAAAAAATTAACCTATGTATATTTTCTAGGATGAACATCTTGGATTTAGCTATGCTGTATGTAGGTTTCCAAACAGTAAAAACATCAGTAACACTGGAAACAATAAGACAATGGAGTAATGCCTTTGATATTCTCAGGGGAAAAAAAATGGCTTCTGAAATGGAAATTAAAACTCTATACCTAGAAAAAAAATAATCCATTTTTATATAAAGACAGTTGGACAATATAAGATCTCAAAAATGAACAACCTTCTTCCAACTCTTTCTAAAGAAGCTACTGCAGGGAGAAAAGAAAAGCAAGAATGTTCGCCAGCATAATGGCGAAATGAAGTCCAGGACAACTGTGAAAGCCTAGGGAAGAGTCACTCTAGAAGAGGAAGAAAGATCCAAAAGACAGATCTTTTTTTTTTTGAAACAGAGTCTCGCTCTGTCGCCCAGGCTGGAGTGCAGTGGCCGCTATCTCCTCTCACTGCAAGCTCCGCCTCCTGGGTTCATGCCATTCTCCTGCCTCAGCTTCCCGAGCAGCTAGGACTACAGGCGCCCGCCACCACGCCCAGCTAATTTTTTTGTATTTTTAGTAGAGATGGGGTTTCACCATGATAGCCAGGTTGGTCTCAATCTCCTGACCTCATGATCCACCTGCCTCGACCTCCCAAAGTGCTGTGATTTCAGGCATGCAGAAGACAGATCTTTAAGTAAATAAATGGAACTGACAGAAATGCTTCATGTATATGAAACATATTGAGAGGTAACTAAATTTAGGGAAAAAACGTGATAGAATCATGAAAAGAGAGGAAATATTAATATTATAGTATATGGCTCAGCTGTCACTGTAACAGTCATAATATTGTAAATATCAAATACTGATTTTACCAAAGAGTAACAAAATTATATTGAGGGGGAAAATAAGGGAAGGAAACAGTTTAAGAACTAAATCTTAATTTTTCCTTATAAGAAAGTCAATACATACTTAAAAAATAACCCACAAAAAATAAATATCTAGAAATATAAAAGAAAATACCAAAAGAAATGTTAAAGCAGATAAAAGTGATGGCTTCTAGAGGGAAAGAATCTGTTTTTCATTATAAATCATGGTTTCGCTTTTAACTATTAAGCAATTAAAAATATAATACAATTTTAAAGAAATAAGAACAATTCTACAAGTATCCACACAGAAAAGAAGGATGAAAAAAGGAAAACTAAACCAAAGGTCTCAGAATCCTCCTCTGGGAGACTGGAATTTCCAAAATTGGAATGGCCACAATAATTATCTCCCACATGAGCTGTCCTATAATGTGACTTTGCTGCTACTCCCTGCACATGGAGATGAAATCTATTCTCCCCCATTAGAATATGTGTGGGCCATGTGACTGTTCTGACCAATAGGATACAGTATAAGTGATGTGGTGAGTTCTAGGTATAGCCCTTAACTAGTTTGGCAGGTTGCTGCCTCGGAGCCACAAACTGCTATGTAAGAAGTCCAGGCTACTTTGCTGAAGAGACAGGCCAAATAGAAGGGCAAGGAGTTTCCAGACACATGAGTGAAAAAGACATCTTGAATATCTGGCCAGCCAAGCTTTCAGATGTTTGTTACACAGCAGGAAATAACCAGAACATCACCAGCAACAAGGAATGCTAGAACAGAATGTAGCAATGTCCACAAAGACTAGAAGGAAAGGGATATGAGCTGAGAATTCTGTACACAGCCACGACATAATTTATTCATGTGAAACAACAGAAATACTCTTCAGTAAAATCTACAGAGCTAAAAAAAAATTACATGGGCAGAGCTGACACCATACACTTTACTTACCAAACCAAAAGGAATATAAAATAATTCAACTAAAAAAAAAAAAGAGGAAAAGTGGAAAAAAAAGAATAAAAATTGGCCTGGTGTAATGGCTCATACCTGTAATCCCAGCACTGTGGAAGGCCAAGGTGGGAGGATCACTTGAGCCCAGCAATTCGAGACCAGCCCTGGCAACACAGTGAAACCCCATCTCTACAAAAAATAAAAAACTTAGCTAAGTATGGTGGCGCACGCCTGTTAGTCCCAGCTACTCAGGAGGCTGAGGAGGGAGGATTGCTTGAGCCTGGGAGGTCCAGGCTGCAATGAGCCATGAGCCACGGTCGTTCCACTGCATTCCAGCCTAGACTACAGAGCCACACTTTGTCTCAAAAAATAAAAAAAGAATAAAGATAAATGGAAGATGATAATGAACTAGAAAACTTAAATTGCTAGAACTGGCTGGGCACTGTGGCTCACACCTGCAATCCCAGCACCTTGGGAGGCCGAGACAGGCGGACCACCTGAAGTCAGGAGTTCAAGACCAGCCTAGCCAACATGACAAAACCCCATCTCTACTAAAAATACAAAAATTAGCTGGGCAGGGTGACAGACGCCTATAATCCCAGCTACTCGGGAGGCTGAGGCAGGAGAATCGCTTAAACCTGGGAGGCGGAGATTGCAGTGAGCTGAGATCATGCCACTGCACTCCAGTCTGGGTGACAGAGCAAGACTCTGTCTCAAAAAAAAAAAAAAAAAAAAATTGCTAGAACTGATAAACCCAAGAGATGGCTCTTTTTGAGACTGAGTCTTGCTCTGTCACCAGGGCTGGAATGCAGTGGTGTGACCATGGCTCACTGCAGCCTCAACTTCCCAGGCTCAAACAATCCTCCCAGCTCAGCCTCCCAAGTAGCTGATAGGTGCATGTTAACACACATGCCTAATGTTTTTATGCTTTGTAGAGATAGGGTCTCACTACGTTGCCCAGGCTGGTCTCAAACCCCTAGCCTCAAGACATCCTTCCCCCCTCAGCCTCCCAAAGTGCTGAGATTACAGCTGTGAGCCACCATGACCAGTCTAAGAATTGGTTCTTTAAGTAAATAAACAAGCCATTAGCTATCTGTGATAGGTAGCCTCTAAAATGGCCCCCAATGACCTACACTTTCTGGATACTCTTGAAATCTCCTCTCCCTTGAGTGTGGACTAGGCCCTACTCAACTGTTCCAGAATACAAATATGAAAAGTTTGCTAAATATTTTGAAGACAGTATAACATGATTCCAAAACCTGAGACAATACAAACTAAAAATGGACTAATTTCAAAAATGGACACTGATGTAAAATTCTAAATACAATGTTAGCAAAAACAAACACAGGAGTACATTAAAAAAAACACTGTACCATGACTAAATAAGGTTCTTTCCAGAAATACAAAGTTAATTCAATAACGAAAAATCTATTAATATAATTCAGTCAATTAGTTCAATGGAAAAAAAATTTACATTCACATTATATGTGAAAAAAGCATATAATATATATAATATCAAAACCAATAAGCAGTCCTCAAAGACAGAAAGTAGAATGGTAGTTGCCAGGGCTTGAGAGCAGGGAAGATGTAGAGTTATCATTTAATGCAGGGGTCCTCAACCCTTCCTACCCACCCTGCGCCCCCACCATGGTGGCGGGCAAGCCCACCTGAGCTCCGCCTCGAGCCCACCTGAGCTCCGCCTCCTGCCAGTGTCAGCATTAGATTCTCATAACAGCGTGAACCCTACTGTGAACTGCGCACGCGAGGGATCTAGGTTGTGGCTCACTGTGAGAATCTAACTAATGCCTGATGATGTGCGGTAGAACAGTTTTATCCCAAAACCATGCACCACCCACCCCCACCCGTCCACAGAAAAATTGCCTTCCACAAGACCGGTCCCTGGTGCCAAAAAGGTTGAGGACTGCTGGTTTAATGGGTACACAGTTTCAGTTTGGGAAGATGAAAAAGTTAACGGAGATAGTTGATGGTGATAATTACAAAACAATTTGAATGTATTTAATACCACCAAACTGCATACTTAAAAAGATTAAAATGGTAAATTTTATGTTTAGCATATTTTACACAATAAAAAAAAAACTTTAAAAAATTTTCAAGCGTCTTGCCTATTATCCAGTCTTCCTTTTGCTAAATGAATTTGAATCAATTTATACTACTGTATGTTTTTAAAAAGCAAAAAAGTAAAATAATCCATGTAAAATGTATTTTCCTCTAGTGAGTACTAAGCTCATGTAAAAACCAAGTTCAAGATTTCCTGCTTCTCTTTTAAAACCGAGAAATATTAATATAAAAAAATGAATCTTCTCAGAAAGAAACCTGAGGCTAAATCACTCTACTTACAAATTATTTCACTAATGTCTAGTGTGTTTAAGTGTCAAAACAAATACATTTCTGAATTTCCAAACTTTTTATTAAGTCTTTCTCCAGAGGGCCAATTCACTAGTGAGCCTCCCTGATGTCTAACTGGCATATTAGGTAATAGACAGTATAATAGATGATTAAATAGCACCGAAAATATCATTACCCATTCTCCTGTGTAAACCAGTTTTTAAGTTTTAATTCACTAATGCTTTCCTGCCTTTCAACTCTAAACATGAACAGTTGTAAAACGTTCATTACATTTCACAACCTCTGAAAGGAAAATATATTTATTACATTATAGAATTCGATGACTTGTCCCAAGACTTCTAGTGAGTCAGCTTTAAGTATGGGAAAATTCAAGTGGTGCCACCACCCAAACTGGGGCTCACATCTTTGTGGACCTAACTGATAAAGAAGAAATACATTTCATGCAAGTCAAGACTTACTTAAGAAATAACTACAACTGCACCATTTATAAACATATATAAGATTTTTTTAACATTATCGCAGAAAGTCTGAGAAACAAGATTTTTAAAAATAATTCTGTCACATATAAATATACAAAAATAGTGAGAGATCACCTTAACTTTTTCAAATTAAAAAAATCCTATGGTCAGCTGATTTTAAATCTCTTTGTCCATCTGTACTATTTTCTTTCATTTTGATATCAACCTGTTTCCCTAAACTAAAAAATAAAAATAAAAACTAGAAACAAAACAAAAAAAGACTATTAATTCAATTTAACCGGAATTGACTTGAGAAATTAAGGCTTTAATTGCTTTTGCTGTACTTTTCAAAGTAAAAATATATCTGGTGGGAAATATTCATCAACGTGTTTAGTGAAAGGCAATGTCAAAACTAACATCACCTAAAATCAAAATTTCACCTTGCCAGATTAAATAGCTACTTACTCATTTAAAAAGACCAATACATGAATGCATAGTGAAAAAGTATCCAGGTAACTTAATTTGCAGTTTTGTGTAGTTCTGCAGATCTGTATGTATAAAATAACAACTTTGCATGTGTTTTGAGATGTACACATTCTTGTAAAATTTCTAGAAGGATGTACAAAAGAGTTAAGTGACTACTTTTAAGGTACAGATCAGAGAAGGGAGTTGTTTATTTTTCACTTTATGCTCCGCTCCTTCGATAAAATGGTTGGAGTTTTATACACCGCCAACACAATGTTTTTTCAAAAGACTTCTAAATTTCACTTTGTAGTTTAAATCATACACTCTGTAAAAACTTAATTGTTTTTCATATTTATTTAATCTCCCAGATTACCTACTTTGTTGATCTCGTGGTTTGGGGGCTGAATACACTCTTCTCCAACTCCTCCAGAATCTTTTATTCTTATTCTAAAATTAAAATAATGTTATCTTTAATGTTTTCAATTTATTGTCTCATGTCATAAAAATGGTTGTTAGTTCACTGTCTTTGATATTTATCTTCACGATGCTTCATCGTGTTTTCAGAAAAGCCACAAACACCAACACAGTTGCTGGAGCTGCAGTAGAGGTATCGCTTGTTCCTTGAAAATCCTAACTCTGACCAAACAGACTGTCACAAAGGACCTCTTTTCACAACGTCAAGTAGCTTATGAGCTCTCGACAATATTACCCAACAATGGTGATGGCAGAAAAAACATTCACGGTCATTTTAGAGTGCTTAAAATTAACTGCAAGACAAAAGCATCCATGGGAGTAAAATACCTTGCCAGCTCTAAATTATAACTGATTTAGTATAGTTTGCTCATCTCTCTGTTCTGCCATTTCAATGCTGTGGGACCTGGGTCAGTATTACCAAATACCTCTCAAAAGTGAGGCTTCACATCTGTAAAATGGGTAACTGCACCTACCTCACTTAAGTCCTGCGAGCACCTCCCACAAAGGGGCTCAAAATGGCAGTACTCTTCCCTTCCCCTTCTCAAAGCTCCACTCTCCCAGGCCTCCCTCCTAACGCGCCTCCACCTCGGCACCCGCCCGTCCCCAACCCCGCGGGACTGACCGACTCGGCGGCGTCCGCTCAGCTCACCCTCGCCACCACAGAGGGCCTCCTCCCTCACAGGAACGCAGCTCCACAGTGGAGGGACGGGAAAGTGGCTCCCCAAACTCCAGTATGGGACAAGAGGGAATGAGTGCAGGTCCCAAGCCACTCCCTCCATCGTCGCGCCCCCAGGACTCCCCGCCCAACACACTAGGCACACCAGACTGTGCTACAGGAAAAGAAAAAGGACTCAGAACCACCTTCTCCGCATCCGTAAAGGTCCTTAGACTCACCGCGGGGAGGAAGCGGACCAGGCAACTCCACAGCACGGAAACACAGCGCCACGAGCTCCAGGCGGATGCTGAGAGCCGCCCCGAGTCCCCGCCCTCCTCTGCCCCGAAGGGCTTCAGGTGCCCAGACCGGGCGGGGCCTCGCGGAGCCTCGCAGCGCAGGCGCAGTCTGCAGGCAACATTCAACTGCAAGGCATCGGCCAATGGGAACTATTGCTGGGCTCGTTCGAAAGTAAACGGTGGACGGCGCGGCCCGAGGCAGGTGGCGGGAGTCAGTTTAAGGCTGGCGCCCAGCTTTCCGCGCCTGCGTGCTAGGCGCAGGCCGCCTCTCGGAAGCTTGGCCTCGCAGGAGCGGCTCTCTATCCTGTGGGGAGCTTCGGCCAGTGGGCCTCGTGAGCTGGGGTCCCGCCTGGGGAATCCGCATGGCACCGGTGGTCTGGGGGAGAGGCTGGGCCTGGCGCGGGACGAGGCGAAGCGCCGGTGGCCGACGGCTTCTGAGGAATTATCTTTTACTTGGCGCCACACGGGGCGGGGCCTCCTGCTATGCTGTGGAGCGCAGTGTCTTCCATCGTTGCCTCACAGACCCGCTGCTCCGGGAAGTCGCCACACATTCTCAGGGAACACCCACATCTGTCGCCTGCGCCCTCCGCCGCTCAGCTGTTTGCTTTTGTTTACGCATTCCGGAGACCTGACCCACCGGAGCACTGGGCTGAGCACAGGAGAAGGGGCTTTGGAGCGCTCTTTGTACTCAACTCCAAGAGCGAGTGGGAAACTCAGGACTGGGTTGGGTAGATCCCTGCGTCTCTCCCTAGCCTTCGTCCTCTTCCCCCGTTTTTCCACTTTATGAAAGTATTGCCTAGAGATGAGGGCTGTCCAACTCAACACTTCCAACTTCAAGTTCCTACTTCACCTCTAACTCCCTAGAGTTAGAAAACAACGTACAGCTTAGAGGTTCCTTTCCCTTTTTTTCTTGAGAAACTTTATTCAGCTTTATCTCAAGACATCACCGCTTCCCTCTCCTGTCAACCTTAAATAGTGAGGTTCTGGAAATATGATTAAGGATAGAGTTTATTCCAGCGTAAGGCTTGAGGGTAGCCACCCAGGAGACACCAGCTCCAAATGGGGTTAGCATTCCAAAGTGAAGAAGTTAGGGTTTCGCCTAGGTGGCCAGAGACAAATTTTAACAGGATTTCATTTCCCCTAAGAGACCAGTGCATACTTACAGCTATTTGGTAGGTTACAGATTACTACATTCCAAGAAAAAGTATTTTGTTACTCCATGAGGGGGGGTAGTGATCTCAGGGGGTTGTATCTCTGGTATGGTTTGGTCCTCCTATTTTAATTATTTATAGAAACAAAAGGCAGACGTTGCAGATGCCTGCTGCTTGACTCAGGCTGTAGCCACATTCCTCCCAAGGCTCGGAATAAAGTTCCAACAGCTTTAAGTTTGAATTATTTAACTTCCAATAACTATAAAGTCATTTTGTTTACTAATGTGCTAAATAAAGATATGGGCTCTAGGCCAGGTGCAGTGGCCCAGGCCTGTAATCCCAGCACTTTCTGGAGGCCAAGGCAGGTGGATCACCTGAGGTCAGGAGTTCGAGACCAGCCTGGCCAACATGGTGAAACCCCGTCTCTACTAAAAATACAAAAATTAGCCGGGCATGGTGGCAGGCACCTGTCATTCCAGCTAGTTGGGAGGCTGGGGCAGGAGAATCGCTTGAACCCGGGAGGCGGAGGTTGCAGTGAGCCAAAATGGCACCACTGCATTCCAGAAAAAAAAAAAAGCTATGAGCTCTATATACTGCACATTGCAGTACATCCAGGTCCTAGGCTTTTATTCAGTAAATTACAGAAAATATTAAAGATATAAAGCAGAAAGTAAGGCAATATTAGGCCTTAGTCAATCTCAGATAGCTTCACCAATTCAGCTCCTTAAAAGGTTGCTTATGAAGTGTGAATTGTAGTGGTAGCTACTGTTTCATGGTGGTAAATATTCGTTTTGACTTTATGTACATTTTCTATTAAACATTGGAGTCATCCTGATAGACATCTTTGTAACTTCCTGTCAAAACAACATGTGGGACAGGCGTGGTGGCTCATGTGTGTAATTCCAGCACTTTGGGAGGCCAAAGTGGAAGAACTGCTTGAGCCCGGGAATTTGAGAGCAGTCTGGGCCACAAAGTGAGAACCCAGCTCTACAAAAAATAAAATAATTAGCCGGAGTGGTGGCTCACACCTGTAGTCCCAGCTACTTGGAAGACTGAGGCAGGAAGATTGCTTGAGCCCAGGAAATCAGGGCCACAGTGAGTTATGATCACACCACTGCACTCCAGCCTGGGCAGCTGAGTGAGACCCTGTCTCAAAAACAAACAAAAAAACCCAACGTATTATGAATTATTTTTCCATAGCAGTAAATGTACTATATTTCTATTAAATTATTGTCTTTAAACA
Organism: Homo sapiens; assembly: GCF_000001405.40. Classification (NCBI taxonomy): domain Eukaryota; kingdom Metazoa; phylum Chordata; class Mammalia; order Primates; family Hominidae; genus Homo; species Homo sapiens. Next base: position 160,452,168 of record NC_000003.12, read on the forward strand.
AAGTTTAATTGCTTCTGGAATTGAATTAATATGGCTGAAAATGTTTCTGAGCTTTAATGTTTTTCACCTGTTTTCCCCTCTGTGCTTTCTTACCTCAAAACGGTTATGTATGTAGCAAGAAAACTGAAGAACCTCACACTAGACTTACTGGCTGTTGTTTCCCAAAAAGCCTGAGCCCATGGAGAAAAATAATATTTGAGAGACCCCGCCTGCTGGGGCGCAGGCGGCAGCGGCGTGGCCATGAAGCTGAAGGTGAAGAACGTGTTTCTCGCCTACTTCCTGGTGTCGATCGCCGGCCTCCTCTACGCGCTGGCCAGCCATGTGACTGCCTTCCTCCCCTGCGGGCAGCAGCTGAGCAGCTACGGCAGAAGGATCTGAGGATTTCCCAGCTGCAAGCGGAACTCCGACGGCCACCCCCTGCCCCTGCCCAGCCCCCTGAACCCGAGGCCCTGCCTACTATCTATGTTGTTACCCCCACCTATGCCAGGCTGGTACAGAAGGCAGAGTTGGTACGGCTGTCCCAGACACTGAGCCTGGTGCCCCGGCTGCATTGACTGCTGGTGGAGGATGCTGAGGGTCCCACCCCGCTGGTCTCAGGGCTGCTGGCTGCCTCTGGCCTCCTCTTCACACACCTGGTGGTCCTCACGCCCAAAGCCCAGCGGCTTCGGGAGGGCAAGCCTGGCTGGGTTCATCCCCATGGTGTCGAGCAGCGGAACAAGGCCCTGGACTGGCTCCGGGGCAGAGGGAGTGCTGTGGGTGGGAAGAAGGACCCATCACCACCAGGGACCCAAGGAGTCGTGTACTTTGCTGACAGTGGCAACACCTACAGCTGGGAGCTGTTTGAGGAGATGCGCTGGACCCGTGGTGTCTCAGTGTGGCCTGTGGGGCTGGTGGGTGGCCTGCGAGTCAAGGGCCCTCAGGTACAGGACAGCCGGGTAGTGGGCTTCCACACAGCATGGGAGCCCAACGGGCCCTTCCCTGTGGATATGGCCGGATTTGCTGTGGCCCTGCCCTTGCTGTTAGCTAAGCCCAATGCCCAGTTTGATTCCACTGCTCCCCGGAGCCACCTGGAGAGCAGTCTTCTAAGCCACCTTGTGGATCCCAAGGACCTGGAGCCACGGGCTGCCAACTGCACTCGGGTACTGGTGTGACATACACGGACAGCGAAGCCCAAGATGAAGCAGAAGGAGCAGCTGCAGCGGCAGGGCCAGGGCTCAGACCCAGCAATTGAGGTGTGATGGCGGCCCCACCCCAACTACCACCTCTTTTCAGGCACAGACCTTGTGGGACTGGGCCCCAGGCCTGCCCAGCATGTGGTTTTCCAAGTCCTGACCGCTTGAAGCCAGAAGTGGCCCCTCTGCCCCTCCAGACCCAGGGCATGGTCCTGCTGCTTCATCTCTCCCCCAGCCTGCCATGTGGCACTGCCCACAGGCTGGGGACAAGCAGCCCTTGTATTGAGCCAGGTTGGCCCTGTCTAGGGTGGAACAGAAGGACAGACGGACCCAGGAGGGAGGGCAGCTGATTAACTGGGTAACTTATTGGGGCTGGGCAAGCACTGGGGGGCTGGAGGAGCTGGGCTGGACCCTCCCTACCTGAGCATGCTGACCCCCTTCCTACCTCCAGAATAAAGAATCTCAACCTGAAAAAAAAGAAAAAATATTTGAAGGAAGAGGCCGAATGCTTGAGAGAAGCAGAAAGAATTGTTTGCCCCTAAAATAGAGATGATTCGGGTCCTAGTGGGGGAAAACTATGACACCAAAAGGGAAGGGTTATATTGGTGCCTCCAGGGAGTCTGCTTTAGAGGCCCATGGGTTCCCAACCCTGCCAAAGATTCAAGATTTCTGTAGTCCAGCAATAATTTGGGGGTTGAGGAGGCTGGGATGGTGTGGAGAACCACAGGAGCCTACAAAAACAATGGTGGCCTCAGTGGTGGCAGGCAACTTGACATATTTGGTTTTGTGGACTGTGATTAACATACTCTATAAAAGATAATGTTTTTCTGGGAAGGTGGGACAGGAGAACTAATACTCAAATGCAGGAGTACATGCTTCAAATCCATAAGCCTAAAACTCAGGTGATAAGTTGCTCAGCCACCCAAAAAAATGGTGGGGAAGAGGACAGTTGAGCTGCTTGGGCGGAGGGTGGGGGGTGTCTCTCTCTTTTTTTTTTTTTTGGAAGATGGAGTCTTGCTCTGTTGCCCAGGCTGGAGTGCAGTGGCGCGATCTCGGCTCACTACAACTTCTGCCTCCCAGGTTTAAGCGATTCTCCTGCCTCAGCCTCCCAAGTAGCTGGGATTACAGGCATGTACCACTGTGTCCCACTAATTTTTGTATTTTTAGTAGAGATGGGGTTTCACCATGTTGACCAGACTGGTCTTGAACTCCTGACCTCAAGTGATCCACCCACCTTGGCCTCCCAAAGTGCTGGGATTACAGGCTTGAGCCACCGCACCCAGCCTTACTTCCAGTAATCTTTTGATAGAATATTGGAAAGAGATAAAAGATGATAAACATTTGCAGTTATTACCAGGTGTGGAAGAGGAGGCAATATAACATTAATTTTATGACAACCAGGCCGAGCGCGGTGGCTCATGCCTGTAATCCCTGCACTTTGGGAAACGGAGGCAGGCGGATCAGTTGAGTTCAGGAGTTTTGAGACCAGCCATGGGCAACATGGCGATACCGCATCTCTGCAAAGAATTTTTTTTTTTAATTATGACATCCTTTTGGTGCTCAGGTCAGACTTTTTGCTTCTAGGCATCTTCTGTCTCAGTTGCTAAAACAGGAGGCATCAGTAACAGAGAAGTGCCCTATAGGCAAGCTAAAACTCTTTGATTAGGGGTATTAATAGCTACAGAGTTTAAATACTCCACTCTTGTCTCCCATCACATTAGCCTCAGCAGAATTCTAATAAAGAGAACATGTGATTTTCCAAAGTTAGAAAGCTCCTGTGTTTCATTTCTAGGACTTCACAGAAAATGCACAGCTCTCATCTGGAGCCTGGAGTGCAAAGAAAACAGCAGCAGCTGGCACCGTAATTATAGTGGGAGTGAATCTGTGACAATGAGCTAGGAGAATCTACCTGACAGTTCACAGAAGGTCATTTTATCTGGAAAAAAGCACACAGCTATATGATGCAGTGGAGTTTATAGACTCAGAAACCTGAAGTTTGGGGGTATTTTGGAGGCAATGTAGAACCTCATTTTTAGAGGAGAGAAACCTATCAACCATGTTGGTGTTGCTTTCAACTGAGTTTGAGCTCGTTTGCATATTACTACCTAAAAATATATAAACTACACAATTTTAAAAACTGGAACATAAACAGAATTTGTTTTCACACAGCCCTTTTCAGCTGTATCTCTGAATGCACCTTGGAAGACTCCAAAGATGTGTCTGTCCTGTAGCAGTTTACCTTGTAACTAGTTTTCCTTTTCTTTATTATCATAGAGTCTTTTTTATTTCAAATGCCACTGACTTTTTTGCCACCAACTTTTTTAAGTACTCAGTTTTATGGGTGGCTGTAACCTTAAGTAAATTTGGGGATCTCTTTATGTAGGCACTTAATATCCAATTTTCTAGACTATTTTGTAATGGTTATGCATGCATCTATTTTTTAAAAATGATCCAAACATTTTGAATTTCAAGAATTTTTTCTGATAAATGATTTGTAGAATTTTTATTTTGATACAGCCTTGTGTGATTCTCTAGTCCATTTCATCAAACCAGTATCTGTTAGTTGCCTTCTAAAATACACAGCATTACAGAGGCAAAGAATACAGTCCTGTACTCAAGTTGCTTATCTAAGTGAGCTAACATACAGATCTAGTTAAATGACAATATCAGATAAACTGCAGATTAAAGTGTACCTCCAACTGGGACAAGCAGCCCAGGCCGTATGCCACTGAGTTTCCGAGATTTCTGGTGACTGATGACCAGAAGTCGGAGCTGTACCTGGATGATCTTCACCTGTTCTGAGATCCATAGAGGGATTTCCAGAATAGATACAAATCACACTGGCTGCCCACCTCACAATTAGGCCCCTATTCATCATGTCTGTGCTATATCACCTTTTCAGGTGATAATCTCTGTCTCCTGTAATTCAGAATGGTTGGATTTGAGGCAGCAAGACAAGTCTGGGATTGGGTAATGTCTTCCTAATGCTGGTTGGCATTATAGCTGAAAAGTCAAGAAACATATATCTTTTAAGTTTTCTAGACTTGAAAGAATAAAACACCCCTGTAATTTAAATCCTCTACTGAGACACTGCCCTGTTGTCTTTTAAAGGAGAAACACTAGGACTTTTCTAGTTACAAAAACCCTCTTACAGTATATACATGTCACTCTGTATGTTCAGAATGGCAAATCCCAAATATGTGTGTGTGCTAAGGACTTGAAATAGTTCATGTGGATGATTACTTATACTGTTAACCCTTGAACAAGACAGGTTTGAACTGCAAGGGCCCATTTATGGGTGGATTTTTAAAAATAAATATATTAGAAAATATCATGGAGATTTGGACAATTTGAAAAAACTCACAGATGAACCGTGTAGCCTAGAAATATCAAAAAAAAGGTATGTCATGAATGCATAAAATATAGGTAGATGCTAGTTTATCATTTACTACCATAAAATATACACAAACCTTTTATAAAAAGTTAAAATTTACCAAAACTTACACACACAGACTGTACATAGCACCATTCAAAGTTGAGAGAAGTATAAACAAACATAAAGATGCAATGTTAAATCATAACTGCATAAAATGAACTACAGCACATACCGTCCTACTGTAGTAATTTCATAGCCCCTTCTGTTGCTGTTGCAGTTGCAGTGAGCTCATGTTGTATCTGCTTAAAACACTGTGTGACCTTAATCTTCTCCCCATGAGCAGTTCATCTCCCTAGTAAATCGCTTATTGTGGTAAAAAGTGATCTCTCACCGTTCTCATGTATTTTTCATTGTGTTTAGTGCAATACTGTGAACCTTGAATAACACCATGGGACCCATAGAGTGTCACTAATGATGCTGGAAGTGCTCCCGAGAAGCAGAGAAAAGTCATGATGTTACAAGAAAAAGTTGAATTGCTTGATACGTACCATAGAGTAAAGTCTGCAGCTGAGATTGCCCACCATTTCAAGTTAAATAAATCCAGCATAAAGACCACTATAGAAAAAAAAAGGAGGCCGGACGTGGTGGCTCACACCTGTAATCCCAGCACTTTGGGAACACCAAGGCAGGCAGATCACGAGGTTAAGAGATCGAGACCATCCTGGCCAACATGGTGAAACCCCGTCTCTACTAAAAATACAAAAATTAGCTGGGCATGGTGGTGGGCACCTGTAGTCCAAGCTACTCAGGAGGCTGAGGCAGGAGAATTGCTTAAACTCGGGAGGCAGAGGTTGCAAGTGAGCCGAGATCATGCCACTGCACTCCAGCCTGGCGACAGAGTGAGACTTCATCTCAAAAAAAAAAAAAAAAAAAAAAAGGAAATTCATGAAGGTGTCACTATAGCTATGCTAGAAGGCACAAAAACCTTGCACTTTTTGCAAAATACTTTATCTCATATTGAGAATGCAGCTTTTATATAGGTATAGGATTGCTATAAGAAAGGCATACCTATAGACTCTAATATGATTCAAGAAGAAGCAAAGTCACAATATGACAACTTAAAGCAAAAGGAAGGTTAAAGGATCTAAAGCTGGAAAATGTAACACCAGCAGTGGAAGGTTTGATGATTTTAGAAAGAGATTTGGCTTTTAAAATGTCAGGATAACAGGAGAAGCAGCTTCTGCTGACCAAGAGGCAGCAGATGAGTTCCCAGATGCCATTAAGAAAATCATTAAAGCCAGGCACCGTAGGTCTCTCCTGTGATCCCAGCACTTTTGGAAGTTTAGGCAGGAGAATAACTTGAGTCCAGGAATTTGAGACCAACCTGGGCAACATGATGAGACTCCGTCTCAAAAATACGAAAAAAAAAGTCATTGAAGGGAAATGATTCTGCCTGATTGGGTTTTTAATACAGATGAAAGTGTCCTATTATGGAAAAAAAAAAAGCCGCAAAGGACATGTATTAGTAAGGTAGAGAAGTGAGCACCAGGATTTAAGGCAAGAAAGTATAGGCTAACTCTAGTGTTTTATGCAAATGCTATCAGGACTGCCATTATCTAGAAAGCCGCTAATCCCCGAGCCTTGAAGAGAAAAGATAAACACCAGCTGCCAGTCTTGGTGTACAAAAGGCCTGGACAAGGAGAACCCTTTTTCTGGTTTGGCTCCATTGATGCTTTGTCCCTAAAGTCAAGAAGTATCTTGCCAGTAATGGACTGCCTTTTAAAGTTCTTTTGATATTGGACATTGCCCCTGGCCACCCGGAACCCCACAAGCTCAACACTGAAGGTGTGAAAGTGGTCTACTAGCCCCCAAACACAACATCTCTAAATCAGCCTCTAGGTTAGAGGGTCATAAGGACCATTAAGGCTCATTACATACACATGGTACCCTAAGGAAAGGAAGAGAACCTCATAGAGAAAACACATGAAAGTCTGGATTACACCACTAAAGATGGCATCATTGTTATAGAAAAAGCTGTGAAAGTTATCAAGCCCCAAACAATACATTCCTGCAGTTTTCTTCAGCAGGAATGTATTGTTTGGGGCTTGCTAACTTATATGTAACTTGTTCTGTCATAAATCCAGTTATTATTTATTTTGACAGAACCAATCGAGGAAATCATAAAAGAGATTGTGAATATGGCAAAAAAAGGTGGAGGGTGAAGGGTTTTAAGATACCTTGGAGAAATTCAAGAACTAATAGACACGACACTAGAGGAATTAACAGAAGACAGCTTGAAGATGAGCACCTCTGAACAGTGCCAAATGATGAAGAAAAAGACATAAAAGAAGCAGTGCCAGAAAACAAACTGACATTAGACAACCTGGCAGAAAAGTTTCAATGATTCAAGATTGCTTTTGACTTCTCTTACAGCAAGGACTGTTCTATGATAAGGGCACTGAAACTAATGCAAAAAGTAGAAGAAGAATTGGTACTGTACAGAAACAATTTTAGAGAAATAGAAAAGTAATAAAAGCCAGACAGAAATTGTGACATATTTCCAAAAAGTTACACCAAGTGTGCCTGCCTTTCCTGACTCCTCTTCCACTTCCTCCATCTCTGTCAGCCCAAGACAGCAAGACCTACCCCCGTTCTCTTCCTTCTCCTCCTCAGCCTGCTTAGCTTGAAGATGACAAGGATGAAGACTTGTATGATGATCCACTTTCACTTAATGAATAATAAATATATTTTCTCAAGTTTTTAAAAATGTTTTCTCTAGCTTACGCTATTGTAAGAATGTAGTATATAATACATGTAACGTACAAAATATGTGTTAATACAGGTGTCCCCAATTTGAGGAACCGGGCCACAGACCAGGAGGTGAGCAGAGGCTGAGCTAGCAAAGCTTTATCTGTATTTCCAGCCGCTCCTTACTGCTTACGTTACCACCTGAGCTCCACCTCCTGTCAGATCAGTGGCGGCATTAGATTCTCATAGGAGTGCAAACCTTATTGTTATGGGATCTTTGGGGTGTCGATTTTCTGTCCAGAAACCTGTGTGGCCACAGTGCCTTTGCTTGAGTTCTTGTCCTACATCCAGGAAGAATGAGATACACAGACAAGTGAAGGGTGAAGAAGAAGAAGATGAGCTTTATTGAGTGTTACAACAGCTCAGAGGATCCCCGCAGTGGGTAGCTCCTCTCCGTAGGCAGGTCATCTGTCAGGTGGTCAGTTCTCAGCAGAGAGAGGCCCTGGAGAGGGTGGCACATCCCTGCCAGCAGGTCATCTCTGCAGCTCTCAGCAGAGAGGGTTGGTCCTCTCTGCAACTGGTTGTCCCATCATCTCCAGCTATCAACAGAGAGGGTACCTTCTCTCTATAGCTGGTTATCCTATCATCTCTCTGCCCTCTTCATCCTCTGGCCATCCTCTGCCCTGTGCTAGCGAAGGCCAGGGCTTTTATGGACTGCAGAGGGGAGGAAGTGTGTGCTGATTGGTCAATAGGCAGCCATGGGCAGGCCTGGAAGAGGCACCATGAGTCCCCTACTCCAGTCAGCAGGACTGGCAGCCTGGCCCCTGGCCTGAAGGTGGGGCCTTACTGGGGACCCGCCCCCTTCAGCCCAGGAATCTGTCTGCCTCCTTCTGCCATTTATGGCCCCAGGGCTTGACCCCAACCCCACTCCAAGATTAGAGCCGGCACTGGGAAGGACAGAGTCCAGGCAGTGGGAGCAGACACCCCCCAGCCAGCAGGAATGGAGAGGTGGGGGCCCTTCCCAGGCCCCTGAGGATGCAGACTACAGAGATACCCAGGTCCTTCGCCTGGGAGGACAGCTACAGCTGCACCCAGGGAGCTCCTGCCCCACCAACTCAGAAGGAGGGGGGTTCCTGCTTATCCCTGACTCCTGCCTGCTCCATGGAGGGGGAGGCCCAGGTCTGCAGCTGCAGGTCAGGTGGATGCAGCTGCACCCACAAGGGCAGATCCTGCCTGCTCCCAGCCCCCTCCAAGAGCACAGGGAGGCTCGGATCCACAGCTGCAGTTTGGGTGGCTGCAGCCCCGTCCAGGAGGGTGGGGCTCCTGCCTGCTCCTTAGAGAGCAGGAGGCCTGGGTCTGCAGTCACAGTTTGGGTGGTTGCAGCAGCACTGGGGAGCTCCATGAAGTGTGCAGCCCCAGCCACACCACCCTGCTGCATCTGCTGCCATCACTATCATGAACTGTGCATTTGAGGGATCTAGGTTGTGTGCTTCTTATGAAAATCTAATGCCTGATGACCTGTCATTGTCTCCCATCATCCCCAGATGGGACCATCTAGTTGCAGGAAAACAAGCTCAGGGCTCCCAATGATTCTACATTATGGTGAGTTGTATAATTATTTCATTATGTATTACAATGTAATAATAATAGATATAAAGTGCACAATAAATGTAATGCACTTGAATCATCCTGAAACCATCCTCCCCTCCCCCAACCCTGATCTGTGGACAAATTGTCTTCCATGAAACTGGTGTTTGGTACCAAAAAGGTTGCAGACTGCTGTGTTAATAGACTGTTTATGTTATTAGTAAGGCTTCTGGTCAACAGCAGGTTATTATTAGTGAAGTTCTGGGGGAGTTAAAAGTTTTATATATGTTTTTTTTACTGCATGGGGAGTCATCCCCCCAACCTCCACATTGTTCAAGAGTCAACTGTTGTTCCTTTTTTTTTCCCTTTCAGGATGCCTTTCATGTTCATCATAATCAGAATTGGCCTTTTTAAAAAATTTAGGCAGACTTGAAGTATGATTTGTACCCTGCCTCATTTTTAAGATGATCCTAGCAATGTATGAGTAAACACCAAATACGTTTTAGAGATAGCATTCAAAAGGAAAGAGATTGTCACCTCATATATGCAATAACCTTAAATACAACGGGCGAACATTTATGTAGCACTTATTGTGAACCAGGCACTTTATTAAATCATTCATTATCTTCTGTAATCCTTACAAATGGGCTATAAAATAGTTACTGTATTTTAAACTTTTAAATGAAGTATAGAAAAGAAACAGTGGGTCTCTATCTTCATCCTTGTTTTACAAAGGAGGACACTAAATGCTAGCAAGGTTAAATAATGCCCTCCAGGCTGCTTAATGTTGTTCTCTAATTCCAAAGCAGGAGCTCTTCACTGCCAGATTGTGTGCTCTTATTTTCTTCCTCGCCTTCTGTTATTAGCTTCCTAGGGCTATTGTAACAAGTTACCACAAACTTGGTGGCCTGGAGCAACAGAAATTTATCCTTTCATGGTTTTGGAGGCCAAGTCCAAACTTACATGTAAGTAAGGCTATGCTCCCCCTGAGGGCTCTAGGGGAGAATCTGATCTTGCCTCCTCCAGCTTCTGGTGGTTCCAGGCATTCCTTGACTTGGGTTACATAATGCCACTCTCTGCCTCTGCCTTCATGTGGGCTTCTCCTCTGTATGCCTTCTTTTCTGTCTGTTATAAGGACACTTGTCATTGGATTTAGTCCTACCTGGGTAATCCTGGACAATCTCATCTGAAGATTCTTAATTACATCTACAAAGACTCTTCTTCCAAATTAGGTCACATTCTAGGTTTTGAGGGTTAAGAGGTGGACATATCTTTTGCAGGACCACCATTTAACCTATTACACCTTCCTAATGCGATCCCTATGGGTTGGAGCTGTCATTTATACGATGTTGAGAGCTTAACAGACTCATAGAATACTAAGTGGAGAGTGAATCCCAGAGATCATCTCCACATTTTCAACAGGATAAACTTAGTTCCAAAGGAGAGGTGGCTGATTCGTGATAACACAGCAAGGTCACAGCAGATTCAAGACCATGCTTAAACTTCCTGATGCCTTATCCAATGGCCATTTCACACTATCAGAGAATGATTATATCATTGTGTGATTAACAATGTTTTTCATCTCATAGTGTTTTTCATCTGCCAAAGAATCATGGTAAAAACAATTATCAGTAGTCTCTGTGACAAATTTCTATCAGATCTCAAGCCCTTAAAAAGTTTTTTTTTTTTTTCACTGATGGGCTAAGTTTCACATGGCTAGGAAAGCTACATAATTATCTCTCTTCGTGGCCAACTGCTAAGGGATTAGGTCCAAATCTTAGAATCTCATCAATTCCCTGCCTTCCAGGTCAAATAAATTACTTTTCCTTGGATGGCTTTTGTGTTAGAAATTTTTGCTGCAACTTCAAGATACAGGCTAACAAACGTCAAAGGGTACTGCAAGGCAGACAGACCTCTGGGGAACATACACAATATAGGGGCTTGAGAATTGTTCTGGGGCATTGTAACTTCTCACCCTCAGAGAGGGTATGCAAGGGTTGGGGAGGGGATTTGTGAGAATTTCCTTGGAAAGAGTTGTGGGGGTGCTTTCAGTCCTACCTTCTCACCCAGCATCTGCCCCCACATCAAGCCTAGTGGGAAGGGCTCAGCTATGTCTACTCTGCATTGGAGGAATTGAGTAGCCTAGCATTTACTAAATCCCTGGGGAACCAGATACAGAGATAGCTGTCTACCCTGGTGGCCAGAGACAGGGAGAGTTGCTGCTGCATTCCCAGAGTTGGTGGGTGCTGAAAAAGCCTGAGTGCTCCCAAGGATCAGATGAGCAGGTGTGGGGTTGCCAAAGGTCCTGCCCAATTGTTCCAAGGAGAGGGGCAAACAGGCCTCAACAGAGAAATACTAAAAGCATCACAGCACGCCTTTACTCTGAAAGAGTAAGCAGTGAGCCTGAGGGGAGTGAATCCACCAGGTCAAGCAAACTGCAGGTGAGAAGTCCCAGTAAAATGCTTTAAAGAACCCATGAAAGAACTCCAGAGTCTCCAGATAACCGCAGAAGATCCTCCATAACAAGAGAGTCAGCTTGAAACATTACCCCAGCCCAGAGAATGTGAGCTGGGCTTTCCACAGCACCAGCCAGGTAAGAACTCTCCCACTTCACCTCCCTCTCCTCCACCCTCTGTTCAAATGCAGGAAGGATGAGAAACAGCGGTCAGCTGGGGAAGTGGGGCGGGTGGAAAGGAGGTAATTTAGGAGCAGCCAATCCTGTATGTTCCTCAGGAGTCAATAACCCCCCTGGAATAGGCCTTATCTGAGGGAGAGGGAGCAACTATAATTTCAAATGAAGTCTCAAGCTTTGACAATGGAACTAATTTCTGAAATGAGACTGTTTTGCAATTTAAAGGGGCCTCAGGACTTTGTGTTAGCAAACAGTGACTAGAAAAGTCATGGGCTGGCGGGCGCGGTGGCTCACGCCTGTAATCCCAGCACTTTGGGAGGCCGAGGCGGTGGATCACCTGAGTTCAGGAGTTCGAGACCAGCCTGGCCAATATTGTGAAACCCCCGTCTCTACTAAAAATACAAAAATTAGCTGGGCGTGGCGGAGCATACCTGTAATTCCAGCTACTTGGGAGGCAGAGACAGGAGAATTGCTTGAACCCAGGAGGTGGAGGTTGCAGTGAACCAAGATTGTACCACTGCACTCCACCTTGGGCAACAGAGCGAGACTCTGTCTCAAAAAAAAAAAGAAAACAAAACAAAAGTCACGGGCCTACTGACCACTTCCATCCAGGGTCAGAGGAAGGACTTTCTTCATTAAGTAAATTTTAAATGGACAGTTGAAGAAAAAAATTAAACTATCTGTGTAGTTGATAGGTTCTTGTTCAAATTAGCAGTTACACTGTGTTGAAAACAAAAGCCACAATCTCAAACACCTGTCGATGAACAATTGGAGATCTATCACTCTTTAACAAAACGATGTTTGTTATTGTGGGACAATGCTGGCAGAGATGGGTCTCATCTTGTGATGACTTCAGCAGACTGCCACTAGCAGTGTGTGGTGAATAGTGTGCCTTTAGTTTGCTGGACTCCTCTTCCAGTGGCCCTCTCTCAGGAGCAAAAGGAGCAAAACACAGTCTATTCACTTTTCCTTATAGAGCAGGTTAGCCATTTCTTATTGTGTAAGCTTCTGACCTCCATACTCACAGGGTCAAGTTGGTTTTCCTAACAGTAATGATAATTCCTTCTCTAATAATAATTCTGATGTCAACTGAAGAGACAGTGTTTTTCATCCCCACTGCACTTGATAGTAACCAAAAATGAGCTTCTCATTTTGTACATTTAAAAGATAATCTTTTTTCTTCAGTAAAAATTACACAGCTGTCAAAACCATGAAACTCACATACATGGTGAGACTTTGCTTGGCTACCGTTCAATGTTTCTGGTTCCTAGTGGTTATTAAAGAGTTATAAGCTTCATATTCACTCAAGCTTCTAAATTCTTATTCATAAAGTCTGCTCAATCCAACTATAGGTTTGACAAAAGTAGGGAGTGCCAAATTAGTGGCCAGGTTATTGATAATGATTTGATGACATTTCCAACAGGATGAGGGTCTGGATGTCGTAAAACTAGGAAGCTTTCTACTATTTAAAACCACTCAGCTGAAGAATGTTCTGGTAAATAAGAGATGATTGACAGGATTTTAAAAATAACTCATGATCTTAGACTGTGAAGAATTACATATCCTTTGCAATTGACAAGACATTTGTCACAGGAAAAAAAATTACATACTGAAACCATTCCTAGCTCTGATTGTAATATCCTAAAATATTTCCAATTTCTCAAAGGTTATTACAACATTTAAAAATATCTTCTCAACATAATTTCTATTAACTTCAGTTTTTAAAATATGTATGTAAAAGTTATAACCATAAGGTAAGTTGTATGATTTAACTTTATAACAGTTCATACCAGATACATTTATAAACATCAATACTATGCCTCTAAGTTGTAACACACTGGGGGACTCAAATAATCACTAACATTGCTTGAGGCAGTTCTGGAACTTTTCTTTGGAATTATCTTTAGAGTTGGTCTATGAACCAGACCAGAAAACAGACAAAACAAAAAGTCATATTATTTCATGGATCTATCTTCTATTTCTTTTTAAAAAGAATGAACAGATTACAAGGGGGGAAACTAGCCCAACCCGACATTAAAACATACTAAAAAGCCTCTGTAATTAAAACAATGAGTTACTGGTGCAAAAACAGATGAGTGAAATCATCTAGAGCAGGGATTAGCAGTCTATGGTTCAAGGTTATATATTTTTGTAAGTAAAGAGCTATTGGAACACAGCCATGTCTATTCATTTACAAATTGTTTATGATTGCTTTTACCTATAACAGCAGAGACTTTGTGGCCTGCAGTCCTAAGTATTTACTGTATGGCCCTTTAAAAAAAAGTTTGCTGGCCAGGCGCAGTGGCTCACACCTGTAATCCCAGCACTTGGGATGCAGAGGCGAGCGGATCATGAGGTCAAGAGATTGTGACCATCCTGGACAACATGGTGAAACCCTGTCTCTACTAAAAATACAAAAATTAGCTGGGTGTGGTGGCACGTGCCTGTAGTCCCAGCTACTCGGGAGGCTGAGGCAGGAGAATTGCTTGAACCGCGGAGGCGGAGATTGCAGTGAACCGAGATGGCACCCTGCACTTCAGCCTGGAGACAAAGCGAGATTCCATCTCAAAAATAAAAAAAAGTTTGCCAAATCCTGGACTAGAGTGTCCTGAAATACATTCAAGTGCATATAAAAATTTAGCATATGATAAAGTTGGCATCTTAACTTTATCCAACTCAACTTTATGCCAACTATTCAACCCAGTAGTTGGCATCTACTGGGATAAAGACAGAGTTTTAAGTAAATGATGCTGGGACAATTAATTCACCATTTGGAAAAAGATAAAATTAGATCTATACTTCACACCCATATATAGGAATAAATTCCAAATGGGTCAAGATTCTAAATAAAAGGAAATTAAATCATACAAGTATTACACAAACACATGGATGAATACTTCTTAAATCTCTGTGTAGGGAAAGGCTTTCTAATTATGATTCAAAATCTGAAGTCAACGAGAGAAAATATTGATAAATTTTACTATGTAAAAATGAAAAAAATTAACATGCAAACCCACCATAAACAGACACACACATACACACACACAAAAAGACTGAAAATTTAGCAAAAAATATTTCAACATATGTCAAAGACAAAGGGCTAATATCTTTAATATATAAAGAACTCTTAAAAACTGAGGAACAAAGAACCACAAATCTCATTTTAAAAACTGGGAAAAGAAACAGGCAATTCACACAAAATATACAAAAATGGACCTTAAACATATAAAAAGATACCCAAACTCACTCATACTTAGAGAAATGCGAATTAAAACATCATTCTAGGTACCATTTCTCACCTATAGTATTGATGAAAATTGCAAATTAAAAATTATGACAACACATTATCAGGCTCTGGGGAAATGGGCAGTCTCACTTATACATTGCTGATGGGAATGCAAACTTTTTGGGGCAGAATATGGCAATATCTAACAAGATATATTACCAATCCTCCTCCAAGTCCTGGATAATTTAAAGAGAACTCAAATTTAGGATCTCATCTTGAAGTCAGTTTTTTTCCTTTGTTCTCACTCTAGCACTTCATCCCTGTGATTAGGCCCAGGTCTTGTGATCCTGTCTTCTTTACCCTGTCAGTCCTGCTCTGTGTTCTAACGACCTGAAGTCCATATGTGGGTTGTGGAGCTAAACCACCATGAAGAAGGGAAGTCTATATACCCATACAGCCACATTCATCACAAGTTTCTGTTTGAAGCTTGTCAAACTCATTACAAGACAGATCAGTTCAGTTTCAAATGCACATTTATAAGGTGATCATCTCTATCTGCTAAGTATCAATACAGTAAAGTTAATTTTTGTTTCCGTTTTATCTTTATGATAAAGCTGTTTTATCCTTTTCCCCTTTTCAAGTGAAAAAAAATCTCTAGTTTCATGAAACAGTTGAAAACTAGAGTATGAAATAAAATCTGCTTTTCGTCAGGCGTGGTGGCTCACACCTGTAATTGGAGTTTGAGACCAGCCTGGGCAACATGGTGAAATTACGCCTCTATAAAAATAAAAAATTAGTGAGGTGTGGTGGCACATTTCTGTAGTCCCAGCTACCCAGGAGGCTAAGGTGGGAGAATCACCTGAGCCAGGGAGGTCAAGGCTGCAGTGAGCTGTGATCATTCCACTGCACTCTAGCATGGGTGACAGAGTGACACCCTGTCTCAAAAAAAAAAAAAAAAAAAAAAGGAAGGAAGGAAGGAAAGAAAGAAAGAAAAATCTTCTTTCTAAAAATATTTTGATTACAAAAGTAATGAAACTCCCAGTTTAAAAAAAATCATCCGTACAGAAATGAAGAAAGTGAAAAATGTAATTACCCCATTCAACACTGTTAACAGTGTGGTATGGCCAGGCACGGTGGCTCACGCTTGTAATCCCAGCACTTTGGGAGGCTGAGGCAGGTGGATCATGAGGTCAGGAGATAGAGACCATCCTGGGCAACATGGTGAAACCCTGTCTCTACTAAAAATACAGAAATTAGCTGGGCATGGTGGCTCGTGCCTGTAATCTGAGCTACTTGAGAGGCTGAGGCAGGAGAATCGCTTGAACCCGGGAGACAGAAGTTGCAGTGAGCTGAGATCACGCCACTGCACTCCAGCCTGGGTGACAGAGCGAGACTCTGTCTCAAAAAAAAAAAAAATTGTGGTATGTATAGAAATTTCCTGTACTTAAAATTTTTTATAAGTGGGTATGTATGGAAAAGTTACACTACAGTAAAAACCTCACTGTTTCTCCCAATTACCAATGGATGAAGTTAGTGGATACTTGCATAGTCTTGTCTCATTGGACTTAATGAACATGTGGACTTAGTAATGAACAAATGGGCTTATTAAAAGCCATCTGAGGCCGAGCACAGTAGCTCATGCCTGTAATCCCAGCACTTTGGGAGGCCGAGGCAGGCAGATCACGAGGTCAAGAGATCGAGACCATCCTGGCCAATATGGTGAAATCCCATCTCTACTAAAAACACAAAAAATTAGCTGGGTGTGGTGGCACGTGCGGGTAGTCCCAGTTACTTGGGAGGCTGAGGCAGGAGAATCACTTGACCCCAGGAGGTGGAGGTTGCAAAGAACCAAGATTGCATTGTGCCACTGCACTCCGACTTGGTGACAGAGTAAGACTCTGTCTCAAAAAAAAAAAAAAAAAAAGCCTTTTGAATCCTTTCCTGTTGAGGAGCATCTGTCTTCCCCAGGTTTTCTGTGTGTTGCTAACATCTGATGAATTTCGAACATTAGGCGTCCTCAGGAATGTATACTGTATAATGTTTAATTTTCCCAGAACCTTTCTTTCTCTCCAACAAATACTTCTTCCTAGATGACACGCAATGTAGAGGTCAGCTGAGGTACACAAACCCCACCTTATCCCTTGATTTTTCTTTAAACCACCTACCATTCTCAATTTTCACCATCTGGGAAAATTTTCAAGTGCTCTGCTAAGATTTCTGAAAATGTTCATGGATTTAATTTTAAGTCTCCTTGGCCCCATGGATGATGTCTGTTTCACCCTCATGTCGTCTCAGAATGCAAAGCTCAAACCCATTTCCAGTTCCCACAAGAAATCTCTTCACCCCAAGAATGTTGTATTCAAAGTTTGGAGGATTGCCTCACATGGTATTCAGCCTGCCTGCTACCAGCTCTATGGCCTCCCTTTTCTCTCCTTCCCTTCTGAATCCTATCCCCCTGATATGGTTTTGCTGTGTCTCCATCCAAATCTCATCTTGAGTTGCAGTTCCCATAATTCCCACGTCATGGGATGGATCTGATGGGAGGTAATTGAATCATGGGGTGGTTACCCTTATGCTGTTCTCATGATAGAGAGTGAGTTCTCATGAGATCTAATAGGTTTATAAAGGGCTTTTCCCCCATTGGCTTGGCATTTCTTCTTCTTGCCATCATGTGAAGAAAGATGTGTTTGCTTCCCCTTCCACCATGATTATAAGTTTTCTGAGGCCTCCCCAGCCATGCAGAACTGTGAATCAATTAAACCTCTTTGCTTTATAAATTATCATCTTGGGAATGTCCTTATAGCATTGTGAGAACAGACTAATATGGTAAACTGGTACTGCAGAGAGTGGGGTGCTGCTGTAAAGACACTAGAAAATGTGGAAGCTACGTTGGAACTGGGAAATAGGCAGAGGTTGGAACAGTCTGGAGGACTCAGAAGAAGGCAGGAAAGTGTGGGAAAATTTGGAATTTCCTAGAGACTTGTGGAATGGCTTTGGCCAAAATGCTGATAGTGATATGGACAACGAAGTCCAGGCTGAGGTGGTTTCAGATGGAGATGAGGAACTTGCTGGGAACTGGAGCAAAGGTGACTCTTGCTATGCTTTAGCAAAAAGACTGGTGGCTTTTTGTCTGTTTCCTAGAGATCCGTGGAACTTTGAACTTGAGAGAGATGATTTAGGGCATCTGGCAGAAAAATATTTCTAAGTGGCAAAGCGTTCAAGAGAAAGCAGAGCATAAAAGTTTGAAAAATTTGCAGTCTAATGGTGAAATAGTAAAGAAAACCCATTTTCTGGGGAGAAATTCAGGCCAGCTGCAGAAGTTTGCATAAGTAATAAGGAGCCAAATGTTAATCACCAAGGCAATGGGGAAAATGTCTTCAGGGCATGTCAGAGACACTCGTGGCAGCCCCTCCCATCACAGGCCTGGAGGCTTAGGAGGGAAAAATGGTTTCCTGGGCTGGCCCAGGAGCCCCCTTCTTTGTGCAGCCTCGAGACATGGTGCCCTGCCTTCCAGCTGCTTCAGCTCCAGCCTTGGCTAAAAGAAGTCAATGTACAGCTCAGGCCATTGCTTCAGAGGATGCGAGCCCCATACCTTGGCAGCTTCCATGTGGTGTTGGGCCTGCGGGTGTGCAGAAGACAAGAACTGAGGTTTGGGAACCTCCGCCAAGACTTCAGAGGATGTATAGGAATGCCTGCATGTCTAGGCAGAAGTCTGCTGCAGGGTTGGAGCCCTCATGGAGAACCTCTGCTAGGGCAGTGCAGAAGGGAAATGTGGGGTTGGAGTCCCCACACAGAGTCCCCACTGGGCACTGCCTAGTGGAGCTGTGAGAAGAGGACCATCATCCTTCAGATCCCAGAATGGTAGATCCACTGATGGCTTGCACCATGCACCTGGAAAAGCTGCAGACACTCAACACCAGCCATGAAAGCAGCCAGAAGACAGGCTGTATCCTGCAAAGCTGCAGAGGCAGAGCTGCTCAAGACTGTAGGAGCCCACCTCTTGCATCAGTGTTACCTGGATGTGAGACACGGAGTCAAAGGAGATTATTTCAGAGCTTTAAGATTTGACTGCCCCACTGGATTTCAGACTTGCATGAGGCCAATATCCCCTTCATTTTGGCCAATTTCTGCCATTTGCTGTGGGTGCATTTACCCAATGCCTGTACCCCCATTGTATCCAGGAAGTAACAAACTTGTTTTTGATTTTAGAGGCTTTTAGGCAGAAGGGACTTGCCTTTTTCTCAGATGAGACTTTACTTGGACTTGGACTTTTGGGTTAATGCTGGAATATGCTTAGACTTTGAATTATGTGCCTGTAGTCCCAGCTACTCAGGAGGCTGAGGCATAAGAGTTACTTGAACCTGGAGATGGAGGTTGCAATCAGCTGAAATCACACCACTGCACTCCAGCCTGATGACAGAGGATATATAGGAATGCCTGCATGTCTAGGCAGAAGTCTGCTGCAGGGGTGGAGCCCTCATGGAGAACCTCTGCTAGGGCAGTGCCAAAAAGAAATGTGGGGTTGCAGCCCCCATGCAGAGTCCCCACTGTCTCAAAAATTAAAATAATAAAAAAAAGACTTTGGGGGACTGTTGGGAAGGCAAGATTGTGTTTTGAAATGTGAGGACATGCTATTTGGGAGGGGCCAGGAGTAGAATGATATGGTTTTGCTGTGTCACCACCCAAATCTCATCTTGAATTGTAGTTCCCCCAAATCCCCATGTGTCATGGGAGGGACATTGTGGGAGGTAATTGAATCATGGGGGCATAAGAATCACGGGGGCAGTTACCCCTATACTGCTGTTCTCATGATAGTGAGTGAGTTCTCACAAGATCTAATGGTTTTATAAAGAGATTTTCCCCCTTTTGCTTGGCACTTCTCCTTCCTGCCATCATATGAAGAAGAATGTGTTTACTTCCCCTTCCACCATGATCGTAAGTTTCCTGAGGCTTCTCCAGCCATGTGGAACTGTTAGTTAATTGAACCTCTTTCCTTTATAAATTACCCAGTCTCAGGCATGTCCTTATGGCAGCGTGAGAATGGGCTAATACAACCACAACCCCAGATTCTTCTCTTCATTTATTCAGGTAATGTCTTCTTTTTGAAAGTCAGTAGTTCTCAAAATGTGGTTTCTGAATCTGCAACATTAGCACCACCCAGGAGTGTGTTAGAAATGCAAACTCTCAAGCTCTACCTCAGGTCTTCTGAGTGAGAAGCTCTGAAGGTGAACTGACCAGCACATCTGTGTTTTAGCAACCCCAGGGTTTCTGCTGCATGCTAAAGTTTAAGGACTTCTGCACCCAAACACAAGGTTTACAGTCTTCCCCATGTTTGCCTCTGAAGTAATTTTACAAAGACACGTTTCCCCCAAAAAGGAATCTTTGCACCAGCTACTAAGAGAATAAATATATCCCTATCTTACTCTATTCCAAATCCGTGGTGGTTCCCCCTTCTCTTATAGTAACCAGAAAACCTGCTAGATAAATTCTAAAAGAGCTGTAACATTTTATTATAATACATTTGCTTCTTGCTTTTCTGACTCTTTCTCTCTGATCAGACACCTTCCTTGTTGCTGACCACAGAGGTGGAACCAGGGACCTGACCATCCCCTTGACCACATCCTGTCTGCTGAGTTGCTGAGCCACTCTTGAGTGACCTGGCTGGGTCATGCCTCTGGGTATCTAATAGACAGGGGATCTAATAGGACAGTTAGGTCTACACACATGTAAGAGCATTCGAGGGTAAGATGTGCATGGACTTGACTAGCAAACATTAAGGTAGTTGGAAAGTTAATATAAATTAAAGGAACTCCCATTACACCAACAGGTATCAGCTTAAAGTTTTTGCATTACCTCAGATAAGCAGAAGAGACACGGGAAAGGAAGAAGCATGGCAGCAACCAAAACCCTAACTCCCATGCTGCCCTGGAAGGTCATGAGTAAATCTTCCCAAGAAGCAGGGAATACTATCAGACCAGGTCATGAATAAATTTTCCTAGGATGTAGGGGATATTCCTTCCACCAGAGACTGCTACTCTTTCTCAAGAATGGAAAGAGACCTGGAACTTCACTGGGCTGAGAACCTCTTGGAAGCACAACTGATTCTTTATGGGATCTGAATTTGCCTTCCTGCTCCTACCTCTCAATCTCTCTTCCATCCTAGAAGTCTTGATTATCTTTGGTCATTGCCATCTCTGCTCATCTCTCCTCTTATGCACTCTCAATCCCCTATTTCTCTATTTTTTATTTTCCTCACCCAGTGTTCTACCATTCCACTCTCTCCTAAACTTTCCTTTCAACTGTGACCTTTGGAAAGGTTTCCCAGGCAAACAAACTCCCCCATACACTTCACCTTTTCACTACAAGTTTATTCTGCCTCCAGAAAGCTGGCTTTGCCCTGAGGAATCATGTCTCCTGCAGCTCTTTCCAAGAATGCTGCTTTCTTCCACACCCAGATTCTTGAATAACCCAATCTCACCAGCTGTAGACACAGATGGGACCACATTTTGTGTTTGCTCCTTATTCCTGCAACCAGCAAACCCTCAGACCCCAATGTTTTCCCAGTGATGTGTTGTAGCCTCAGAAGGTGACTCACATGTACTCTTGGTCTTCTATTCTAGATTCTAAAGAGAGTTCACTGCCTCTGCAAGCCAGTAGAGGCTGGCCCTGATGCTGCCCGCAGGTGCTTATGGGTCCAGCCATACAGTAGTCTTGGGTACTGCATAGCAGTGAGGATTCTTTCTCCAACCCTGTATCCCTTAGGTTCCAAAGTCCCATAAGGTCCTTCATTATCCAGTCCCTACAGCTTCTACCAAAACCTCTTGGGGTATTGATTTCTTTCATTTTTCTCTGTCTCTTCCACAAACCCAGGCAACAACATCTTTTCCTCTTTTAGCCCAAAAAAGGTAACAGCATCCATGTACATTAAGAATACAAATGGATGCCATGGATTGGAGCTATTTACAGCCACACACAGCCAGCATCCACAGTGTTATACCCTTAACCTCCCGTCTTCTAGAAAGGACTTAGCCACTTCTATCTTCTAGAAAGGCTCTTAATTTTGGCTTTCAGGACACCACCTCCTTTGACCTTTCTCCTTCCTACCTGGCCCATCTTCTCTTTTGGAACTCCTTCCCTGGGCCCTAGCCTACATGTTGATGTTCCTCTCCTGAGCCCCATTTTCCTTTTACTCCACACATTTCTCTTGGCCACCATTACTCACTGACCATATGGCTTCAATTACTAGATATGCTGAGATTCCCAGATTCATAACTGTAACCCAGACCTCCTCCTCCCCTTCAGAGCCACATATTTACATGCTTACTGGACATCGCTTCTTGGATGTCTTCCAGGTACCTATCATTAGCATGTCCTAACTCATAGTCTTTCCCCACAAACTCTTCACCTATGTTCCCTATTTCAGTGAATGGTACCATCACCCTTCTAGTTGTCCCAGACTAGGGGTCTCTTACTTACTTCTATTTACCTTTCACTACTTACAACCAGTAAGTTACAAAGTCCAGAATCAGGTCTTGACTTCTTGGTTCAGGTCAATATGATTTCCAGTTGGAATTCCTATCAAACCAGTCTCCTCACCTAGGGTTTTGCTCCCCTCTATGGCAGTGCTTTGTCATCTGTTTCTCATCACAGCACACAGAAAATGACAACTTTAGTACAGCACACTGGGATAACAACTTGAGGCCACTGGAGGAAGCTACCAGTTCTGCCTTCTGCCTCAGAGTCTAAAAGGTTGATTACCTTGGCTCAAAGCCTGCTAGTAAGCTCTTCTCTGATTTTTTTCACCCTTTTGCAGCCAAAGTGTTCTCTCTAAAGCACAGACATTACCAGGTCCCAGACTCCCACTTTGGCTCTCCACCAGCTAGACCTTTTAGATCAGACCCCACCTCCCTCTCTAGCCTCCTCACCCCCTTGCCTTCTGCTCACGCCCCCTTCCTCATGTTCCAATCACACCAAAACGACTTGCTGTTATTACCCACAGAAGCCTGTGAGCTCTTGTCTCTAGACTTCCTCACCCTCCCACATCACCCTGTACCTACCCTGAGGCTGCACTCAGCATCTTCTAACAAACATGGAAATCCACCAAAGGCAGGGGCTGTGCCCAGAATTGCACCTGGCACATAGTGAGAATCCAAACACTTTTTGAAGAACGAGTGAATGAATGAATCACCTTTTGTGATAAATCAGTAAGCCAGGAGAGAGAAGCCTGGATCCCTGTTCTGCCACTAACCTGCTAAACCACTGTGGATACCTCTGTCTGGGCCTCAGTCTTCTCACCCATCAAATGAGAGGATCCATCTCTGAATTCCCCTTCCTGATGCAAAGGCCTGTGCACCCCTGGCTCTTTGGATCATAGAAATTCTGCAGTTATAAAATTCTTCACTTTTTTAAAAGACATTTGCTAAAAATGTCTGTATAAAAATGTCTGCATCAGCAAAAATAGGGAAGTAACTAAATGTAAACAGTATTTTTAAAATAATACTTTAAAAAATTCTACATTTAGGGAAGGCAGCAAACCTTGAATTCCCCCCTCTCCCCTGCACTTGGTAGGAGGAGGTAAGGCACTTGACCGTGGAGGAGGACGGGTTTCAAAGTCCCTGTGCCTCCTCTCTTCCTGCTGTGATCCTCTTCTCCTCCTACCTCCACCCTATTCATTTGATTCCAGGAAAGAACAGATTCACTGTTTGTTTCGAGACTAACTATGAAATAAGGTCCATGTGAAGGAGGTGAAGAGGTAGGTAACACAAGGTCTGAGGCAGGCTCTTCAATAAGTCCTTTCAAGACTGTCCTGATTGGCCGGGGGTGGTGGCTCATGCCTGTAATCCCAGCACTTTGGGAAGCCAAGGCCGGTGGATCACCTGAGGTCAGGAGTTCGAGACCAGCCTGGCCAACATGGTAAAACCCTGTCTCCACTAAAAATACAAAAATTAGCCCAGTGTGGTGGCGAGTGCCTGTAATCCCAGATACTTAGGAGACTGAGACAGGAGAATCACTTGAACCCAGGAGGCAGAGGTTGCAGTGAGCCAAGATTGTGCCACTGCACTCCAGCCTCAGCGACAAGAGCAAAACTTCATCAAAAAAAAAAAGAAAGAATGTCCTGATCTTCCCAGGCCATAGTCATCAGACAAAAAGCTTTAGTCATCATGAGGAAAATGAGTTATATATTAGTGCTACACTTTATACTGGGTAGTAACGCTAAATGAAAATGATGCTAATAAATGATCCAACTCAAGAAGAAAGAGAAATGTCAATCTTCCCATGGAAAAGAACCTAAGAAACTCAGTCACTGTTAAGGACCCTTGATCTTGAAATTCTGTTGATGTGTTTAGGATTAAAACCAAGCCTCAAACCAAACTGATTGCTCCTACTAAGGTTTCTGCCAGGTAGAAATTTTACAGTTGAAAGGCCTTGCTAATAGCTGCTCATCAAAATAATGTTAGCCATCAAATGCTGAACCATTGAGTTATTGTGTCCAGTGTGGGCAAAGTGAAGCCTATGCTATAGTATTCTTTTTCATGTATATATTTGTTCTTTAGTTTGAGGGAAACTATCATCATAGTAACCACATACACACATACATCTAGCCCTTCTCATAATCTAAATCTAGGGCAGGTGTGTTGGCTCACGCCTGTAATCCCAGCATTTTGGGAGGCCAAGGTGGGTTCATTGCTTGAGCCCAGGAGTTCAAGACTGGGCAACAGGACGAAACCCTGTCTCTACAATAAATACGAAAAATTAACTCGGTGCAGTGGCATGTGCCTGTAGTCCCAGCTACCTGGAAGGCTGAGGTGGGAGAATCATCTAAACCTGGGAGGTCAAGGCTGCAGTGAGCCATGATCATGCCACTATACTCCAGTCTGGGTGACAGAGTAAGAACCTACTTCAAAAAATAAATAAATAAATAAATAAAATAATGAAATAAAATAAAATAATCTGCCGGGTGCAGTGGCTCACGCTGTAATCCCAGCACTTTGGGAGACCTAGGTGGATGGATCACCTGAAGTCAGGAGTTCGAGACTAGCCTGACCAACATGGTGAAATCCCATCTCTACTAAAAATACAAAAAATTAGCTGGGCATGGTGGCTGTTATCCCAGCTACTCTGGAGCCTGAGGCAGGAGAATCGCTTGAACCCGGCAGGCAGAGGTTGAAGTGAACCAAGATCGTGCCATTGCACTCCAGCCTGGGCAACAAGAGCAAAACTCTGTCTCAAAATAAATAAATAAATAACCTAAATCTATAGACTAATGACTGTTTTTATTTCTGTAGTCCTTTACATTTGTAGGTATATATTTCTTATTGTCATATTTTACCTTCATTCACAGTTGCTTCTTTCTAATGCACCCAATCAATTAGCATTCTGGCATTGAGATTTGATGGCCTGAGAAATTTTAGAAACTTGTCACTTACTGGGTGTGGTGAGAATGAGGAAGGATAGAGAGAAAAGTAGATGAGAGAGAGGAGTGAAAGTTAAAATGAGTTCCTGCTTTGGCAGCTTCTCATTTTGCAATGTGTGCCCCTGGAAAGAAAGTGACTTTTCTTTTGGCTTTAGAGCAAGAGATACTAGGGTTATCTCAGTCAATATATGACTGCAGGCACTGCCTTCCAAAGGTAGCTTCCCACAGGAGGATGGACCCAGAGCTCTGTTTTCTGGGAAGTGGGATGATCAGTCTTCTGGGTTTCAAGAGTTAAAAATGAAAAGCCGAGCAACCCAAGAGGGACAGGGACAGTTTTGGTCCTCCGGGAGTGAATGCCAGAACCAATCATGACACAGAGGTCCCAAGGTAAGGAGTGACCTGCCAGGGACTCACAGAGATGAAGCCCCTGGGCTGGCCCCCTGGGAGTTAACCCCAAGTGAGAGCCTTCCTTCGCTTAGTCTAGCACTAAGGCTGGGAGTATCCAGCCTCGAAGCTTCATTTCAGTCTGATGCCTCACCTGGGTCTGTGGAGCGTTATCTCCCAGCGGACAACAGTAACTGCGGGTGGTCATGGAGGCCCAGCCTTGAAAAATGACCCTGAATGCCAGTGAGACACAGAGGCAGCAGTGGCTGTCTGGACTGATTAGACATGATTGCTTTTCTGGCTTGAGGTAGCAGTCAGCTGACCACATCCTTTTAAGTAGGGCAGGCCCTGAGGTTTTTGGAAAATTGGGAGGGGAAGACATAGATTTTTAAATTCCTTTGGTTTGTGTGAAAGTCCATCTTCAGGTATTTGGAGAGTTCTTTTAAGGTCTCAGGTTCTTCTTGCTGTCACACAGCAAACAACCTATTTGAACAGTCACTATTCTGTGGCAAACCTTGGTGCAGAGTTGGAGGTGAAGGTGTTATTGGAGATGAAGCAGTCTTAGTTTTTGCATTTTATCACAGGTAAATACAATTCTCTGTTTGTTGATCTTTTACAGGACAAGAAAACTGATGAGAGTTTAGGGATAAAGATGGCAGATAGGAGGCAGGACTAGCTTGCAGCTCCTGCTCAGATGGATAAAGCAGCATGTGGAGACTCATATCATGAACTTTTGCTGCAAGAACTACCGCAGGAACATAACAGGAAAGCTGAGAGAATCCACAGACCCTTTGAAGAAACTGGATTACTGCTGCAGGCTCCTTGAGACGCTGAAAAACTGAGTCAGCTTGCTTTCTCAACAGAGAGGCTCGTGGTCTGGGGCAAGTTCTCAGCCCTGGTCACCGGCTGCCTGGAAATAGACTCAGTGCTGTTGTGGGGCACGATTCTTTTTATTTATATTGACATTCTGTTTCATTTCACAAAGGGTTTAAGCCAAATCACCATTTTTTTTTTTTTTTTAAGACAGAGTCTTGCTCTGTTGCCCAGGCTGGAGTGCAGTGGTGCAATCTCAGCTCACTGTGCAACCTCCATCTCCCAGATTCAAGTGATTTTCCTGCTTCAGCCTCCCGAGTAGCTGGGTTTACAGGCGTATGCCACCATGCCGAGCTAATTTTTGTATTTTTAGTAGAGATGGGGTTTCACCATGTTGGCCAGTCTGGTCTCGAACTCCTGACCTCAAGTGATCCGCCCACCTTGGCCTCCCAAAGTGCTGGGATTACAGGTGTGAGCCACCATGCCTGGCCCAAACCACCATCCTTAATGCACAATTTAAAAACCAATTCTTGAAAAATCCATAAGGGATGAAAAAATTATCTGTGAAAACAATTTAAAAAGTTGAACTATCTAGTGACCCATATATTCCCTACCTTCTAATGTTCACCCCCTTGTATAGTCCCCTCACCTGAGTGTGAGTGGGACCTGTGACTTGCTTGTAACCAATACATTATGGCAAAGGTGATGGGATGTCACTCCTGTAATCACATGTTTTATAAAACTTCCTTTTGCCAGCAGTCTTGTTCTCAGTCTCCTGCTGGCTTTGAAGAAGCAAATACCCATGCTGTGAACTGCCTGTGGAGGGACCAACATGGCAAGGACGTGCAGAGAGTTTATAGGAGCTGGGAGCCTACAGCTTCAAGGGAGTGAAGGCTGCCAACAATCCGAGCGGACCTCAAAGTGGACACTTGCTCAGTCAAACTTTAAGAATAACATTCAGCCTTCACCCTGGTGGCAGCCTGAAACAGAGACTCTGAAGCAGAGAACCCAGCTAAACCATGCCTAGACTCTTGCCCACAAAAACGCGGAGATAAACAGATGTTGTTTTAAGCTGCTAAAAAATGTTGAAAGTTTCGGCCGGGCATGGTGGCTGTAATCCCAGCAACTTGGGAGGCCGAGGCAGGCAGATCGCTTGAGGTCAGGAGTTTGAGACCAGCCTGACCAACATGGAGAAACCCCATGTCTACTAAAAATAGAAAATTAGCCGGGCGTGGTGGTGCATGCCTGTAATCCCAGCTACCTGGGAGGCTGACGCAGGAGAATCGCTTGAACCTAGGAGGCCGAGGTTGTGGTGAGCCGACATCATGCCATTGTACTCCAGCCTGGGGAGGAAGAGCAAAACTCCGTCTCAAAAAAACAAATGTTAAAAGTTTAAACTATATGGCAGTATTTTTCAGCAACTCTATATGCAGAATGATTTTCTTCCTCACCCAATTTCCCCAAACATTAAGGCCTCTGCTGTTCAAAAGGGGGCAGGCAGCTTTAAGAAGGGAAGTCAAATGGCAAATAAATAGAAGCGAAGTTTAGCAATAATATTTGAGACATAAAGA
Source organism: Homo sapiens (assembly GCF_000001405.40). NCBI lineage: Eukaryota > Metazoa > Chordata > Mammalia > Primates > Hominidae > Homo > Homo sapiens. The sequence goes on from NC_000003.12 coordinate 160,480,091, forward strand.
AGACAGAACTTGCTAGGAGGGATTTTGTGAGATGACTAACCATGGTCATTGTTGGTAGCCGTCTGTACATTTTTCTTTTCTCCTTTTTCTCTTCTAAATCTCCTTCTCTTCTTTTTCCTTTGCCTCTTTATGTTCCAGAAAATATGCTTAGCACTCTGCAGGTATTTACTACCTCATTTAATCCTCCCATGGCACAGAACGCATGTATTTTCCTCAGATAGAGAAACTGAGGCTCAGACGGATTAAGTTGTTGTTCTCATCTAACAAATTAGCTAGGATAAATAATATATGGAGGTAGGATTCAAACTCAGGCCTGCTGAAGACAGAGGCCCATGTTCTTTCCACCACACTGAGGTCTAAGAAGGGAACCAGAGTTTAAGTGTCTGCAAGTACAGAGATTTGGTGGACAATCCATACTTTATTTGAGGATCTCCCACCGCCTCCTCCCCACTTTTTTCCTACTACTTATAACACTCTATAAGAATTTTGTCTTCAATTCAAGAGTGTTGAAATATTGTTTATTTTATTTTATTTATTTATTTTTTTGAGACAGAGTCTCATTCTGTCACCCAGGCTGGAGTGCAGTGACGTGATCTTGGCTCACTGGAACCTCCGCCTCCCAGGTTCAAGTGATTCTCTTGCCTCAGCCTCCCGAGTAGCTGGGATTACAGGCGTCTGCCACCACACAGGGCTAATTTTTTGTATTTTTAGTAGAGATGGGATTTCACCATGTTGGCCAGGCTGGTCTCGAACTCCTAACCTCAAGTGATCCACCCACCACACCCTCCCAAAGTGCTGAGATTACAGGCGTGAGCCGCCACCCCTGGCCAACCCACTGTTCACTTAATTTCTCCGTGTGCTGCTGGTATTCAAGGCTGAAGTCTGAGGCTGATGTGAACGTAAATGGAGGTTGGGCTCTCTCACCTTGGGCAATGCTCCCAGTGATGTTCCCCTGGCTGGCTGGCTTTCCTCTGACTCCTGGTGGCAGGCCCCTGAGTCTCTGCAATATCTTCTCTCTCCAGTCTTTGAGACTTGGTCTCCGCTCAGCCTCTGAGTGCGGGTGAGTCACCTTGCTCTACCTCACTGAGTCTCAGGGTAGATGTGCTGCTACTAATTCAGTGTTGGCAATGCTGGGGAGCTGTGGGTGTGTCAGGGAAGCGAAATATGAAGACCTCCTTCTGTTGAACCATGTCACTACATTGATATGGCAGCTCTCCTGTTGTGTAGGGCAGCCTGAGAGATGGTGCTTTCCAGGAGCCTGAAGAAAGTTGTGCCTATTCCCCCTTCCTATTTCTTTTCTGTTTCTACTTGAAAGATTTAGGGGAGCTGAGGTGGGTGCCTATTCCCCCTTCCTATTTCTTTTCTGTTTCTACTTGAAAGATTTAGGGGAGCTGAGGTCAGGAGTTCAAGATCAGCCTGGCCAACATGGCAAAACCCTGTCTCTACTAAAACTACAAAAATTAGCTGGGCATGGTGGCAGGCACCCGTAGTTCCAGCTACTCAGGAGGCTGAGGCAGGAGCTTCGCAGGAACCCGGGAGGCAGGGGTTGCAGTGAGCCGAGACTGCACCAATGCATTCCAGCCTGGGTGACAGAGTGAGACTCCATCTAAAAAAAAAAATAGAAAGATTTAGGGGAAAGCAGGAAAAATAAAGATCATTTAGAGAAGCCAAGCCAAGAGACTCTATCTTTCCCTAAACATCCTTTAGGCAAACTGCAAGGGAAGAATGTTTAGGAGCCTTAATAACCATCTTCAAAATCAAACCCAAGACACCGCAGGCCTTGATAGAACGATCTAAATAGTAACCGGAAAATAAGAGCTGCAGTTGCAATGAAAGGTCTACGGGAATAAGTTGGAACATGAGAGAGGTGAGCAGGTCCTGAGGTGGCGCTACCCTTCACATTATCCGCTTGACATTTATGGCAAATTCAGAACAGCAGGAAGGAAGGACTGCAACTGCCAGTAAACAATGACCCTATGCAGACCTTGAGCTCTTCCTCTCACCCTTGCACACTCTTTGGCCTGGACTTACAGTTGCAGCTGTAATGCCCAATGATAAATTCATCTGTAGTCCTTTGTTACAATCAGCTGTAATATAAGATCCATGAGAGGAGGAACTTTGTCTTATTTTATTTACTACTAAATACTCTTAGGGCCTAGGGCCTAGCACAGCACTCAGTAAATAGAAGCCTCAAGAAATATTTGTGGCCTGATTAACTGATTATTTTATAAATTGTGTACTATGTTGAAACTTTTTTATCAGCATGTTCTGTGTTGAAGGCAATAATTCTATAGTGTATTAGCTTACTTAATTTTTTTCCATGTAATAGTTATCATTATTATTATTTTATCAAAGGGCCTTGTTCTGTCACCTGGGCTGGAGTGCAGTGGCACGATGATGGCTGACTTCAGCCTCACCTTCCTGGGCTGAAGTGATCCTCCTGCCTTAGCCTCTGGAGTAGCTGGGACTACAGGTGTGTGCCACCATGCCTGGCCAATTTTTTTTCCTTAATTTTTATTAGAGATGAGGACTGGCTTATGTTGCCTAGGCTGGTCTTGGACTCCTGGGTTCAAACAATCCTCCCACCAAAGTGCTGGGATTGCAGGTGACAGCCACTGCACCTGGCCATACATTTTGAGCTATACAGTAGATATATAACAATTTTTTTATTACAATGCTAGTTCCATTAAAAAATGCTTTTACTGGATTTTTTTATTTTTTGTTTTGCATAACCAAAAAACATAATCCCACAATTATGGCAAAAACATATATGGTCATTGCTATAGTTTGGATATTTGACCCTCCAAACCTCATGTTGAAATCTGATCTTTAATGTAACAGGAGGCATCTGGGTTGTGGGGGTGGATCCCTCCTAGATGGTTTGGTGCCTCCTCGCAGTAATGAGTGAGTCTTGCTCTATTAGTTCCTGCAGGAGTTTCCCTGAGAGCTGATTGTTAAAAGAGCCTGGCAACTGTTCCACCTCTCTCTTCCTTCCTCTCCTGCCATATGATCTCGGTGTGGCCAGCTCCCCTTCACCTTCCACTGAGGGAAGCAGGCTGAAGCTTTACCAGAAGCAGATGCTGGCGCCATGCTCTTGTACAGTGTGCAAAACCGTGAGCCAAATAAACCTCTTTTCTTATAAATTACTCAGCCTCAGGTATTCCTTTATAGTAATGCAAACTAACTAGATGGTCACATTGCAAATATCCAATAAGGCTTTAATTTGAGAACAAAGTTACTAATCTTGGTTTAGTCTGCTATTACATTATTTTGATGCCATTCAATTTATCAAGTATTCATAAAGTATCAATTGTGATAATGAAATATTTGACATTTATAAGATATGAACCCAGTCCTCTCTTCCTGGGATGCCAGAAAGCTGCCCATATCCTTAGGAAATTGCTAAGTAACAATACAGTGAATATATGACTAATATGCTCAAATGAGTGATATTAATGGTGAATGCTCTGGGAACATGAAAGACAAGGGTGAGGTCATATGAACTGTAAGAGACAAGGGAGGCTTCAGGGAGAAGTGGAGATAGCCCTGCCCGGACCCCCTTCTTAGAAGGCCCCGCTCTGACCCTTCTCTGGCCACAGTCCAACAGAGTGAGGAGTCCGTCAGGAAATGCCTACCAGGGCCTGCACTCACCCCCTCTCTTCTAGACCACACTCTGTGTACTAGGACCCCCAGAATTCTGGCCAAACACCCTGAGTCCACTTCTAATGCCTGTATAAGGCCTCTTATGCTGGCATCCACAGCAGGCAAAGGAATGAGTAAAAGGTAGAAAAGAAACTAGGTGGGCCACGGGCCTGAGGCAGAGGGCCAAGGGCTGGCTCTTCCTGCCCCACTACATTTAGGCACAGAACAATAATTCAAAATTAGAACTCCCCCTTCCAGGTTATTTATGAAGTATATTTGTCAAGGTAGGAAGATAGCACACATCTTCTCTTTCAAGTTTTTAGGTTAATTTGTATGATTAAAATATTTAGATATAAGTAACATTGACCCATATTTGTACTTTTGCCCGATCCCCAACAAATGTTATAAACAGGCCTGATCAGAAAGAATGAGGAAAGGGAAGGACTGGTATGGAATGAGAACAGAATAGCTAGTAGAAATGCTATGGACTCCATTCAGGTGTGAAAAGTGAACCTCTCACAGTGCTTGGGATGATGGATAGTAGAAGAAATATTCTTTTTGATGAATAAGAAAAGAAAAGCCCTTACCTGAACTTGTGCATGATTTTGCGAGCTACTAGCTTTCTTTTCAATAAATTCCTTTGCAGCTTAAATCAAAGAGCATATTTTTAAAAAAATATTTTTTAGTTTTTAAAATTGAGACAGTCTCACCCCTGTTGCTGAGGCTAGAGTGCAGTGGCATAATCACTGCTCACTGCAGCCTTGACTTCCCTGGCTCAGGTGATTCTCCCACCTCAGCCTCCTGAGTAGCTGGAATTACAGGCACATGCCACCACGCATGGCTTTTTTTGTATTTTTTGTACAGACAGGGTTTCTCAATGGTGCCCAGGCTGGTCTTGAACTCCTGGGCTCAAGTGATCCGCCTGCCTCAGCCTCCTAAAGTGCTGGGATTACAGATGTGAGCCACTGTGCCTGGCCCAAAGTCCATTTCTGAATTGCAATTAAGACAGATATCACAAGCACACAAGAGAGCCCAGGTATAATAGAAGTGTTCTATAATAACAAACTAAAAAACAAATAAAACTGAGACCAAGCAAAATGTCCAACAGGAGAATAAGAGGTAATTCAGATAATGGTCATTTCAGATAATGAAATACTATGTAGCCTTAAAAACCATGTTGAAAAAGACCATTTTTGTGACTTGGGAAATTATTCACAATATTAGTAAAAAGAACTGTATACAAAATCATACATAGTATAAATAATGTCGTTTGTTTTTAAAAATGCACCATATGCATATTGAAAGGCTGAAAATAAATATACTATAATGGTAACAGTAATTGTTTGGTGGATTATAGACTTTTTTATTACTCTGTATTTCCAAATTATATACAATGAATATATATTACTGTTGTCATCAGAAGACCAACAACTGTAATAAACACAAACACACACATCTGAGGGACAAAGATCTGAGTGAAGAGAAGAGCAGAACTAAGAGTTATCTCCAGAGGATTCCAGTCCAGTATGGTGATGGAACATTTGTGTTTTCTCTATTCTCTCAGGAGAACCTGATGAAATAAATATAACTACATAGAAGAGCAAAAAGGCATAAACGCTTACTTACCAGTGAAGGCTGAACCATTAGATGAGAGGTATCAAATGACTTCAGGAAGATGAGAAGATCGGAGCATGTGGATGGGTTAATCAGAGTGGAGGAAGCCCATAACACAAGTCTAAGTAAGGAAGAGGCTAAAGTAGAGGTGAGAGCTTAGCTTAGTGATGGAAAGCTGAAGAGGCTCTAGGCCAGGGGTGGGCGCTATGCAGAGACAAGAAAGGGGTCTCGGGCCGGGCGCGGTAGCTCACGCCTGTAATCCCAGCACTTTGAGAGGCCGAGGTGGGCGGATCTCTTCAGGAGTTTCAGACCAGCCTGACCAACATGGTGAAACCTCGTCTCTACTAAAAATACAAAAATTAGCCGGGTGTGGTAGCGGGCGCCTGTAACCCCAGCTACTCACGAGGCTGAGGCAGGAGAATCGCTTGAACCCGGGAGGCGGAGCTTGCAGTGAGCCCAAATCGCGCCACTGCACTCCAGCCTGGGCGACAGAGCGAGACTCCGTCTCAAAAAAAAAAAAAAAAAAAAAAAAGGGATCTCAACATAATATACTGAAAGTTAACATCTGGCCTCTTTAACTCCCCTCCCTTCTCATATGTGCATTACTGTAAAAACAATCCATATTTAATCCTGAGGGCAAAAAAGCGAAAGGAAAAAGAAACAAGTGGGCTCTTACCAAAAGAAAATGGTCTGGTTAGGGGGAACTGAGGCTTCCTCCCTCTTTTATTCTGACATTTGAGGCTTCCAGTCTGATGCTCAGCGTCAGGTCCACACACTTTAAAGCAAAGTCTGCAGTTAACATGCACTGGCCAAGCATGCAGAATTCTCTGTTTTCTCAGTCTAAGGGGAAGTTTCTTGGGTAAAGAAACTGACGATCCAGCAACAGAGAAAGCTCGCACTAGCTACCTGGAATAATCAATCTGGTCCTCCTCCCAAAGTGCTGGGATTACAGGTGTGAGACACCGTGTCTGGCCAAAAATGCTTTTGTATTATCTTTTTCTTACCATGGTCCTGTAGTGCTTTAATTAAAGCAAAGCCAAAATAAAATATACTGTGATTACAAAACTACAGAAATAAAACATATTTACATGACTCCTAAAATATACTATCTTATATGAAAATACATTTTACCTATTTTCAGTTAGATCCTTGAAAATTACAGGCCCAATACAAAAATTTGTCTTGAGGCAAATTTCAAAATACTCTTCTTTTATAAAGACTTTAACACTGCCACCTTGTGGCAGCAAAAAGCACTCTTATTTATGTAAAAAGTTATGTGTTTTATTTTTATTATTCATGTGGTTCAAAATTCAGTTTTTAAAACATCATGTGATAAAAGTCTCCGTCCAACCCCGTCCTCTCCATAGAGAATACAATGTTTATAATTTATGTGTATATTCTTCCAGAGATGTTTTAAGAACATTCAAACAAAAATATATTTTTAATACAAATGCTAACATACTACATTGCTATATATTTTGCTTTTTCAATCTTTTAATAGTATTTTGGAGATTTTTCTGTATCAAGACATAAAAAGTCTTATTTTAAAAATAGGTGTAAAATTGTTCACTATATTGATGTTGGTTGATTTAACCAGCACATTATTGATGGTTAGTTCCAGTCTTTTTTTTTTTTTTGAGACAGAGTTTCGCTCTGTTGCCCAGGCTGGAGTGCAGTGGCATGATCTTGGCTCACTGGTTCAAGCTATTCTTGTGCCTCAGCCTCCCCAGTAGCTGGGATTACAGGCACACACCACCACGCCTGGCTAATTTTTGTGTTTTTAGTAGAGACAGGGTTTCGCCATGTTGGCCAGGCTTATCTTGAGCTCTTGGCCTCAAGTAATCCAACCACCTTGGCCCCACAAAGTGCTGAGATTACAGGTGTGAGCCACTGTGCCCAGCCAGTCTAATCTTTTTATTTTCCAAATGATGCTGCAATAAATAAATTTGTATGTCATTTCACACATTTTAGGAAAAGTACATGTATTTATAATTTTGATAGATTTTATCAAATTTACCTCTCCTGAGTTTGTACCAATTTGCACTCCAAACAGGAAGATATGAGGGTACTGTTGTCTTATACCAATGACATTTTGTTATCCAGACTCTTGAGCTTTAGCAATTTCATTAGAACAAAAATGGTTTCTTGCAGTTTTAATGTAAATTTCATTTACTATAGGGGAGGCTGAGTAAATTTTCATATGTTGTAAGACCCTATATTAGTTTGCTAGGGCTGCTGAAGCAAAGTACCACAAACTGGTATTACTTTAAATAACAGAAATACATTGTCACATTCTGGAGGCTAAAAGTCTGAGACTGAGGTATCTTGCAGGTTTGTTCCAAGTGGTGTGAGGAAGGATCTGTTCCATGTCTCTGCCCTATCTTCCAATAGGTTGCTGGTAGTTCCTGGCATTCTTTGGCTTGTAGAAGCGTCACTCTGATTACTGCCTTCATCTTCATGTGGCCTTCTCCCTGTGTGTTTGTGTCCAGATTTTCCTTTAATATTTATTTTTACACCTTTCTTTAAGGAGACCAGTCAAATTGGATTAGGGCCCTCCCTACTGACTTCATTTTAACTAGATTCATTTAACTAGATTAAGACTCTATTTCCAAATAAGGTCACATTCTGAGGTACTGGGGGCTAGGATTTAGACATATGAATCTTAGGGGGAATACAATTCAACCCATAACAGAGCCAATTATATTTTCTTACATTTTCTGTTGACATAATTTATCTATTGAGTCTTTTAAAATTGGCTGGGAATGGTGGCTCATGCCTGTAATCCCAGCACTTTGGGAGGCCAAGGTGGGAGAGTTGCTTGAGCTCAGGAGTTTGAGAACAGCCTGGGCAATATAGTGAAACCCCATCTCTACAAAAATTAGTCAGGCATGGTGGTTCGTGCCTGTGGTCCCAGCTGCTCAGGAGGCCGAGGATGAAAGATCACTTTAGCCGGGAAGTGGAGGTTGCAGTGAGCCGAGATTCTGCTACTGCACTCCAGCCTGGGCAACAGAGCAAGACTTTATCTCAAAAAACAAAAATAAATAAATAAAATAAAATTGATGTGTAGGACCTTTTCACGTTAGAAAAATTAGCCCTTTATCTAGGATAATTAGAAATATCTTCTCATTTGCTTCATTTTGCTTATGAAGGTTTTCCTGCATAGAAATTATTTTTTATGTAAATAGATTTTATCAATTTCTTCTTTATGGCTTCTGAGTTTTTGTATATACCCAGAAAGGTCTTCCCCATGTTGCAGTTGTATAATAATTCTTGCAGGGCTTTCCACTAGTACTTTATAATATTAGTGTTTGCTTTTATTCATTTGGATTTTTTTGTCTGGTAGGATATGTGAGGTATAAAGCCAATTTTCTTTCTGGATGTCTATTCAGTTTTCCATTAATATTTATTGAATAATTCATATTTCCCATTATTTGAGATGCTACCTTTAATACATGGTATATTCCTATGCTGGGTCTAATCTGGATTTTTTAAAAAATTGGCTCTAGTGAACTATTTATTAATGAGCCAGTTCTATGCTATTTTAATTACTGAGAATGTATATTTTAAAACAAAGCTAGTCCCCCTTTTCAGAATGTTCATGAATTTTTTTTCTTTTAAAAGATCAGCTTAGGATAACTGACATCTTATGTCTTTTTGTTTGAGAAAATCATATAACTTTTGATTCAAATCTCCATTTGTGTTCAACAGCAGCATTTAAAAAATTAAGCTGGGTGTGGTGGTTCATGTCTGTAATTCTAGCACTTTGTGGGAGGACTGCTTTAGCCCAGGAATTTGAGACCAGCCTGGGCGACATAGCAGACCCTGTCTCTACAAAAAAAAATTTTTTTTGAGATGGAGTCTCGCTTTGTCGCCCAGGCTGGAGTGCAGTGGCGCAATCTCGGCTCACTGCAAGCTCCACCTCCCAGGTTCACGCCATTCTCCCACCTCAGCCTCCCGAGTAGCTGGGACTACAGGCACCCGCCACCACACCTGGCTAATTTTTTGTAGTTTTAGTAGAGACGGGGTTTCACTGTGTGAGCCAGGATGGTGTCAATCTCCTGACCTCGTGATCCACCCACCTCGGCCTCCCAAAGTGCTGGGATTACAGGCCTGAGCCACCGCACCCAGCCTACAAAAATTTTTTAAAAATAGCTGGGTGTGGTGGCACACATCTGTAGCACCAGCTACTTGGGAGGCTGAGACGGGAGGATCACTTGAGCCCAAGAGGTCGAGGCTGCAATGAGCCATTATCACACCATTGCACTCCAGCCTGGGTGACAGAGTGAGACCCTGTCTTAAAAAAAAAAAAAAAAATTAAGCCAGGCAGGGTGGCTGGTGCTTGTAATCCTAGCACTTTGGGAGACAGAGTGAGACCTCATCTCTAAAATACATACATATATATATATATATATATATATATATATATATATATATATATATATAGTAAACATTACCCTTCTTATCATACAGTTCTATGAATTTTGAAAAATGAATACGTAACTACCACCACAATCAAAATATAGGATTTGTTCATCACCCTCAAAATTCCCCTTGGGCCTCTTTATAGGCAATCTCTCCCCTTCCTAGTACATGGTAACCACTGACGGAATGTTCTATCCTTATAGTTTTCCCTGTTCCAGATTGTCATATAAATGGAATCATACAGTATGAAGTCTTTGAATTTGGGTTCTTTCCTTAGCATAATGCATTTGAAATTTATCTATGTTATGTGTATCAGTTTTTTACTGATAAGTAATAATCCATTACATGAATGTACCAGTTTATCCATTCACCAACTAAAGGAATTTTGAGTTAGTTGTTTCCAGTTTGAGATTATGAATAATGCAGCTATAAACATTCACATCCAGATTTCATGCAGACAAAGTTTTTACTCCACCTGAGTAAATACCTAGGAGTGGAATTGCTGGCTGTAGGGCAAATTGCATGCTTAACTAAGAAACTGCCAAACTGTTTTCCAAAGAGAATGGACCATTTTGCACACTCATCAGGAATGTATGAGAGTTCCAATTGCTTTGTATCTTTGTCAGCACTTGGTGTTGGCAGTTTTTAAAATTTTAGCCATCTAATATAGGTGTGTAATAGTATCTTGTAGTTTTTATTTGCATTTCTCTCATGATTAATGATGTTAAACATCTTTTCATATGTTTATTTACCATCATATCTTTTGTGAAGTGTCTATGCAAATTTTTGCTCAATTAGGTTGTTTTCTTAACTGAGTTTTAAGAGTTTGTATATTGAGATTAAATTGATTTCCTGCAGTATTAAAGTTTTCTTCATCTTAATCTGGTACTTTTTTTTCCTTACTATGTTGCCCATGCTGGTCTCAAACTCCTGGCCTCAAGCGATCCTCCTGCCTTGGCTTCCCTGGGATTACAGGCATCAGCTTCCTCGCACAACAATTTCTTATAACGTTTATTCCTTGGATGAAATTCCTACTGTAATTACATTTTCTTTTCTTTTTTTGAGATGGAGTCTCACTCTCTCGCCCAGCCTGGAGTGCAGTGGCGCGATCTCGGCTCACTGCAACCTCCGCCTCCTGGGTTCAAGCAATTCTCTGCCTCAGCCTCCTGAGTAGCTGGAATTACAGGTGCCTGCTACCACACCCGGCTAATTTTTGTATTTTTAGTAGAGACAGGGTTTCACCATCTTGGCCAGGCTGGTCTTGAACTCCTGACCTCATGATCCACCCGCCTTGGCCTCCCAAAGTGCTGAGATTACAGGCGTGAGCCACTGGGCCCAGCCATAAATACATTTTCAATTCTTCTATACAACACATACATGCATACATTGCTGTGGAAGTGGCTTGTTGTGGAAGCATCTGCCACTGAGAGAGCGTGGCCTAAAAGCACAGGAGCCAGTCCCTGAGGACAACTGGGCTACAACGGTGAACAGTAAAAATGGACAATGGGAACTTTAAAGAGTTTTCCTGCCACAACATAGTCTGTAGTGTCACCCTAGTGCTCTCTTTTGACAAAGCTTAACACTGTGCCAGCTAGTAAAGGAAAAATACTTACACAGTTCAGCTCCAGTGTCAAAAAGTAGGGCAAAGAAGAGTGGATTTGGAGATGGTGGGGCAATAAACTGAAAATAGACACACTTCTCTATTTTGTGTCATCCCTCTTTTCTAATTCAACTATTTCAACCCCTATTCAGGACCCCCATCTCACACCCAATTGCTCTAAAAGCTTCCTAATCCATCTTCCTGCCTCTATTCTTATAATATCTTCCCAAATCCATCTTCAACAAAGATGACAGTGATTTAAGAGTCCAATTTTGAAAATAATATTCTCATACTTAAAATTCCTAAGTCCCTCCTCCTAAACAAAGCATGTTACATGTTGCTTGGTCTGCCACGTTCCCACCACTACCTGCTGTGAACTTTTAGACTAAAAATTATTCCATTTTTCCCTTCCCTGACATTGCTCACAGAGGAATGCTCTTGTCTCCACTTCATTTTGTTAAGTCCTGAGTCACTCAGGAGGTCCTACCTCCCCCAACTCTGGGCTAAGTATCCATTCTCTTTCTCCTCACAAATCCATTTATTTAATCATCTAAAGAATATTTGTGCTCTATGTTCCAAGCAATGTGATATATAGTTCCTGTTATAATCTAGTAATGTATGAATTTTAATTGTGAACTTCAATGTGCTCTAAAGAAAAGGAATGAATTCTGAAATTGTATTAAATGAGGAAGAGCTGAAAAGCCAGTGCAGTTGAAACACAGAGCAGAGTGGTATGTGCGAGAAGTAGTTAGAGAAGTAGGCAGGGGCCAGAAAATGAAAGACCATATCCATGTTAATGATTTTTACTTAAATCAAGGATATGTGAGCACAAGTTACTTGTATTAAGGAACTGTTCATTTTTAACAGGGTTGATAATAGTACTGTAGTTACGCTTAAAAAGTTTTTTTAGAGATACATGTTTGGGATTTGCTTCAAAATAATCCTAGGGAGACATGAAAGGTGAGTGGGCTGGTGACGAAACAAGCTGGACCATGTGTTGATGATTGTGAAAACTGGGTGATGCATACAGGTGGATTATTTTATTCTAATTTTGCATATGCTTGCAATTTCCAATAATTTAATCAGGAGAAAAATAGATGGGTTTTATTCTAAGAAAGGTGAAAAGATATGAACAGTAAGAATGATCTGAACACTCAGATTTGATTTCAGAAAGATCACGCTGTCTTCATTGCAGACATCAGAGGAAGACGGTCAGAGTGGCTGTGAGAGACCATCTTTTTGTGTGTGTGTGTGTGTGTGTGTGTGTGTCGGAGTTTCGCTCTTGTTGCCCAGGTTGGAGTGCAACGGCGTGATCTCAGCTCACTGCAACCTCCGCCTCCCAGGTTCAAGCCAATTCTTCTGCCTCAGCCTCCCGAGTAGCTGGGATTACAGGCATGCGCCACCATGCCCAGCTAATTTAGTAATTTTAATAGAGACAGGGTTTCTCCATGTTGGTCAGGCCGGTCTCGAACTCCTGACCTCATGTGATCCGCCTGCCTCGGCCTCCCACAGTGCTGGGATTACAGGCGTGAGCCACTGCGCCCGGCCTGTGAGAGACCTTCTTAACAGACTTACAATGGTTCAAGAAAAGAGATGATGGTCAGACTAAGGAGGTGGAAATGGAAATAAGTGAAGGAATGCAAGAGCCATTTTGGAGAACTTTAGGGTGAGGGCAGGTGACATCCACTCAGATAGGGAACAATGCAAGAGGATCATGTTTGGGGGTGGAAGAGAAAGACATGAGCTTAATCTTGAACAAGAGTTGTGGTTGCCTTTCAGATAAGTGAACATTTCAAGGAGGCAATATGGAGATTTCAGAGAAAGCCAGTACTCAATTAGGGATCAGTAGTATGTCACAGATGATCACTGAAGTGTGGTCATCATAGAATAAAAGAATAAAAGAAGTTTGAGAAGAGAAACTTGGTTGAGGCTTGAAAAACTCTTAACATTTAATGACCAGGGAAAAAGATGTGCTAGAAAGGAGACAAAATTGCTGGCCAGGGGTCTGAGGGCATAGGAAGGTGGCAGTGGTTAGAGGAAAAACAATGTGGTGTTGTGAAAATCTAGAAGGGAGTCATGAAGTGCCTAGTGTTTGAGTCAAGATGAAGACAAAAACTGCTCACTTAATTAAGTAACATGTAGGCTGGTGATTTTTCAAGGGCTTTATGGAGTGATGGGGGCAAATCAAAGACCGGGATGGGTTGAGAAGTGAATGGAATTTGAGCAACTGGAGAGAACAAGCAAATTTACATGAACTTTGGCTGTGATAGTAAGGGGAGGATGTAGTAGCTGGGTGCTGAGCTTTAAGATAACAAAAGTTTCAGCATATTTGAATGTTAGTGGGTACAATCACATTGAAGGGGCATAGTTGAATATAAAGGAGAGAAAAATCTAATTCACAGTGAGAGATTCCTAAGTAGCAGGAGATAGGATTCAAGACACTAAGACTGCCTTGGTTATCAGGAAAGCTCCTCTAATGGAACAGTAAGGAGTGGGGTGATATCTAAATGGGTTTCTAAGCTGGAAGTGAACTAACAGAGTTCCTTTCATAAAGTTTCTCTTTGCCACTGCCCCCCACTGAAATAGGAAAGGGCATCTACTAAGAGGGGGAAGCAAGGAGTTATAGGCTTGAAAAAATTGACTTCTAAATAGTTGAAGAAAGTTTGAATTTGGAGGTAATGAATTTACAGATACCAAGTCTAAATTTTGTGTGTATGCCATCAAATGCTCTGATGCAGTACCAAAGCAGTGGAGTTTGCTTAATGCATCATGTACATCTATCATTGCTTTTATCATGCTTTCATTTACCATTTATTTATCACTTCTTTTTATTTGCCTATTTATGACTGTGTCTCTCCCAGCAAACTAAATTGAGAGCGCTTGCTACATTTAATTGGTTTGCTATCCCTAGCTCCTGGTTTACTGCCTAACCCAATGTAGGTTCTCAGATATTTGACAAAGGTAGAAATGAATAAAGCTTCTGCCTTTACTTGCAACAAACTTTAAAGGGAATTTCCCCTAGATGCTATAAATGAGTGTTTATTATCTACCTATAATTATTTTGCATGCTTTACATGAATTAACTCACTTAAGCCATATGAGTAGGTACTATTACTATTTTCCATTTTTTCAGATGAAGAAACTGAAGCACATAGGGATAAAATAACTTCACATACATAAATAAACCAAAGCATTCTAATAATTTCATACTATAGCTGACTGACCAAAACAGCAATCACTTAACTTTGTGGTTTGGATATTTCCTTGTAAAATATCTTATTATAAGTTATTTCAATAAATCATCCATACAGTATTTCCAAAATATAAACTGTATCAATAGTGTTAGACAATATTAGGTTACCTCTGCTTCATAATATATATAACTGGTATCTGAAAACCACACAAGGATCCATTTCAATACCCTTATGGATGTCAGATATCCAGACCAGACACTGGGCAAAATATCAAAAGTGAGGAAAAGGAAATAAGGAAATGGGCATTCATCTGGCAAGCTATGAAGTATCTTCCCTTTCTATCGAAGGCTTTCTAAAACTCAGATGCAATGAGACAAATTTAAAAACTGTAGATTGAAGGCTTTTAGAGGTAGTCACTACAATCAGTTCATCTGAGAAATTGCATCATTATCACAAGCATTTATTGAGTACCCATAGAACTCATGGTACCTTCACGGTGTTTACAGAACTTTGCTTATATGCCGACCTTGCCCTTAAGGAGCTTACAATCTAGTGGAAAGAAAGACGGAGAAACTCAGATGTGATAGAGCAATGAGTGAACAGATACTATAGACTGAAAAATAACCATAAATGTAAAACACATACTGAAAAATGAGGGTTAATGGGGATGGCAAGGATGATAGGTAGGCCTGGATATACTCCTGACTTCTTGAAGGAGTAAATATCTAGAATATTCAAGGACGTAAAGTGCGGTTGAGAAAGCCAGGATGCAAACAAACATTTCCTATCTGCTGTGTATTTTCTTGCTCCCTGCAGCTGAGAATTGCAAAAAGAAAACAGGGATAGAGATAATGGGTAAAAACTTTTTAGTATTCTTTTAGTACTTCTGTTTCTGAATTAGACCGAACAGTCACCATGTAGGTAACTTAGCTATCCTAGATCATCCTAAACTGGTTAAAAGGAAGATTTTAAAAACTAGCTTGTCTATATGAGTTCTATAAACATATGTAATTTTACCTTAACTAAAAGGTTAGGATGACTAGGACTGCCACTATGCTAAAGACCACTCAACTGAATATAATACTGACATGGCAGAAGTGCGAGTTTTATCAGTGATACACATTGTGTACTGCATTGGGGGCTTACTAGATGTGTGGCGGAATATACCCATTTATGAAGGCAGCACATCGGCAAGTAAAAATGTAAGTGAAGGTAGGAAATACCTAGAATACATGATGTTTTATGCAGCTGAACAGGACAACCCTGAAAAGACAAGAATTATGGTAATACCAAAGTGACTAAGGTTGTCTTGATTCCCCGCCCCCACCACAATTATGAATCAAAAGATGGAGTCTTTTTTTTTTTTTTTTTAAGGTAAATACCCTCTTTAGCTGAGTCCAAGACTTTGGATATTAGATTACTGTACCTAAAAAGAGTAAAATGGTGGCCAGGCGGTGGCTCACGCCTGCAATCCCAGCACTTTGGGAGGCCAAGGAGGGTGGATCATCTGAGGTCAGGAGTTCGAGACCAGCCTGGCCAACGTGGTGAAACCCCATCTCTACTAAAAATACAAAAATTAGCCGGGCGTGGTGGTGCACGCTTGTGGTCCCAGCTACTCAGGAGGCTGAGGCAGGAGAATCGCTTGAACCTAGGAGGTGGAGGTTGCAGTGAGCCAAGATGGCACCACTGCATTCCTGCCTGGGCAACAAGAAAGAGTAAAATGGTAACTATGCACAAAGGATGGGGGAAAGGTGGCTCACAGGGCTTAAACATCAGAGGAATGGAGAGGACAGGACAGTGAGGGAATTATCTGGAAGGTAGGTAACTGGATTGAGAACCACAAAAAGCATGTAGATTTAAGCAGATTACGAGTCATTTTAAACAGCTGTTTCAAAGTAAGAGTAAAAACAGGCTGGAGAAAATCTTGGGTAATATTAGAGTAACATAGTCTAGGATAGGAATCCATCAGTTATGGAGATCAGAGGTAAGATATAGTCAGGGAAATTAGGATTCATGCTTGAAGAGTAATAGAAAAACCTAAGTGAAACAGGTTATTGGAATTTTCTTTATGAAGAATAAAAGTGGAAGAACTGATAGTCTGGAAAGGTGAAGTAATCTGGAGTAGGCAGCTACAAAAGGTATAAAATTTGTGGAGAAGGCAAAAATTGGGGCAGAAAATATAAATAACAAGGGAGTACTGCAGTCCTCTGGTGGGAGGTAGATCATAAAGAATCTGTAGAACCATTTACTTTTCCTCACAGTCAACTGCTCTTACACCCAGAGCAGTAGCTGTCAAGTCAATTTTATTGAAAATACACTGGACTTGGACATCCTGAGTCAAACTGCCATCACCTAAAGGGCCTGGATTTAAAAGGAATTTTCAAGATTATTGTTAACTTCTGGGTTAAGTGTTTAGGGAAAAAAATGTTAAATCTACTTTTCTTATACATGATTGGTGTGCTTAGTTTTTTATCAATTTGACACTACAGTCCAAATTTGCTTCTGATCACACTAGAATAGTTTTACCAATGTTCATTATTTTTCAACTTCCTTTATTAAGAATTAAGGCTGGTTGGGCGCAGTGGCTCACGCCTGTAATCCCAGCACTTTGGGAAGCCGAGGTGGGCAGATCATTTGCGGTCAGGATTCCAATACCAGCCTGGCCAATACGGTGAAACCCCATTTCTACTAAAAATACAAAAATTAGCCAGGCGTGGTAGCGTACTCCTGTAATCCCAGCTACTCAGGAGGCTGAGGCAGAATTGCTTGAACCCTTGAGGCAGAGGTTGCAGTGAGCCGAGATTGCGCCACTACACTCCAGCCTGGGCCACAGAGCGAGACTGTGTCTCAAAAAAATAAAAATAGAAGACTGCACTAATGCCACCAACGTGCATATTGATTTGAAGGCATCTTGCAGCAACTTTTAAAAATTATTGTACATATATATTTAAAAGCATACTTTATTAATGTGCTTATTAAAAAGTTTAGGGAAAACTTTAAGTGTTCAAAATGTCAAGTTTGTTAGGCATCAGTTTGTTAGTGTTTGGGAGTATTGCCTCAGATATCTGGGCAAAATTTTTTCCTCCCATAATATTAAATTATTGGCTGACAGTTAATGAATTTTGCCAATAAGTAAAATAATCAAGAAGTTACAAAAAGGATAAGATACTCAGCTATCTTGGCCTTCAAAACGCCAATGGTGGATTCTAACTGAAATTTTATATATAAATGGTAGATAATCCACCAAACCCGAGGAGTTAACAATTAAAGTTGGCCTATTTATAGTTCACTTTAATAGCTACAATGGAAGATTCAATTTTGGAAACTCAAAAAGGTCAACTAATTTCAAAACTCTTAGGCAAGCTTCTATAACAATGTTACCCATTCCTTAGTAAACAAAAAAAATATCCAAAAAGCTACATTCACATTTTTTTGCATTGGTTCACAAATTTAAATGAATTTAGATTACCTTTAGAATAGTAATTAGAAGCCCTGGGCAGTATGGGAGTTGAGATGTGGGCTTTATTTGGCCCTTAGTAGCTGTGTGACCTTGGGCAAGTCACCTCAACAACTCATCATCTAAAGGGAAGGGTTGGGACAGACTGTAATTCATGGACTCTTATGAATCCCCTAAAACTGTATGAAAAACTACCATGTATATACACTTTTTGGGGAAGCTGGTCCAGTTTTCATTAGGTTCTCAGAGGCAACCTTGATCCCCAAATAAGCTTGCTATGATAACTATATAAGGCTATCACTTGTAAATTGTTCCAGTTCTAAATAGTTGAGTCCTTGTCATAGGAAGAACTCTTAAGATGGCTCCCAAGATTCCCTGGTATACATACTCCATATAACCCCCTCCCTTGACTGTGAACAGGATCTTTGAATATGATGCGTATCACCCCTGTGATTGGACTACAATGCAGGGCAAAGGTGAAGGGATTTTGCAGGGGTAATGAAGGTACCTCATCAGTTTGGCTTTGGGTTAATCAAAAGGGAGATCACCCTGGTGGGTAGGTGGCCTGATCTAATCAGGTGAGACCTTTAAAAAAGCGCTTAAGGCCTTCCCTGAGATCAGAGATTCTCTTGCTGGCCTTGAAGAAGTTCCCATGATTTCTTCAGTTGCTAGGCAATGGATTTTGCCATATGTG
The DNA here is from genome assembly GCF_000001405.40 of Homo sapiens. Taxonomy (NCBI): domain Eukaryota; kingdom Metazoa; phylum Chordata; class Mammalia; order Primates; family Hominidae; genus Homo; species Homo sapiens. The sequence continues at coordinate 160,498,714 of NC_000003.12, forward strand.
CATAAAAGAGGACCCCCTAGCTTCAGATAAGACTGCAGCTCTGGCTGACACCTTTATTGCAGCCTTGTGAGACCCTGAGCAGAAAACCTAACTACACTCTTGACCTACAGAAATTGTGAAATAATGTATGTTGTGTTTTAAGACACTAAATTTATGGTAATTATACCAAAATTACACAGCAGTTATTCTCTAAATTCAAAATTTAGCTTAATCTCTGTAACTTTTTCCTTGAGGAAACTGAGGCAATGGAGAATCCAAAAAGGGTGCCCCCATAAATTACTGTTACAATAAACCCAGTCATTTTACAATGCAGTTATACCTTTAAAGAAACAAACAACTCCTCACCCTATGAAGTGCTGCTGAGGTAAGCCTAAACTAAATGATACACTCCCTCTCCCCAAAATTATTCTAGATCCATTTTTAATGATTCATAGATAGCTCTAATTATAGAAATGCTCCAGGTTTGGTCCAGAGCAATGTGGACCAATGGAAAGTATTATTTCCACCATAACACACAATTACTGAAGTCTTTGAAAATTACAAAGGAAATATATTTAAAGATAGATTTTAGACTAGGGCGTCTCACACACCCCTAATATAACATTCTTATTTTTACAGCACTTGAGGTGGTCTCAATGTTCAAAAAGACAGTTTAAGACATGAAACGTTAAGAACGTTTAGCTTATTAGGCATATTATTCTATGCCCCCATCCCCATCAGAAATAAGCCTGTGTTAAAAATGAAACAATTTCCTAGATCACTGGAGAATTAAAAAAAAAAAAAAAGTGTTTAACCAGGTAACCGTGATGAACTGTCAACTGTACTGAATCAATTTCAGAGACAGAAAAGCCCTTCCCAGAATTTCTACTAGAAAATCAATGTTCTATATTAGGCTATAGATGGAAATAAAATATTTAAACGATAAGGTAGTCCTTATACCCAGAGATATTAATATCACCCTTACCTATTTTCCATATCACTGTTCTATACAATAATTTGTATATAAAATTTGTATACAAGCTCATTGGCTTACTTTGAATCCAATATTTTTTACTAAAAAACACAAATTATGTAAAGCATTGCTGTGTTCACCTTCCAATTACTGAAACCTTCTGTACTATGCTTTGTATACAATCCATCATTTGGAGCTATATGTTGAAGATATAGCAATACTCAAAATATAGTTCAAGTTGTCTCGGTCTGTTTTACTGGAGAATGAAGGAAAGTTAAAACCTTGCTTTGGATAGAGAGAAAACTGAAGCACTGATGGTGTCAACTGGACAAACTCAGTGGGCTAAAATATTAATATGTCCATACTGAAATGACAGAACCAAAGAAATTTCTTATTATGCTGGTTCTAGGTAAAAAGACAGGAAGCTAATGTAAGCCATTGAATTATACTCTAACTTTATAAAAAAAAAAAAATCCACACACCACACACACACACCCCATGTAAAACATTGCTTTAAGTTTTAATGTTTATTTCCCCAAGACAGCCTAGCCTGCACTCTACTTGGATAAATTTTACAAGCTAGTTTTCTGCTGCTTCTAGTTTTAAACTTTAACCATGTTTCTGATGACAAGGAATGCTGCAAAAATACTCTAGTTCAACAAAGAGTTATGATCACAAAATAATTTTTATCCATTCTACAGTGTTTCAGAATTACCAGTTGATTTTTAAACACAAAGTAGATATAGATGCTAATGGTGGCTAATCTGGTATGTTTCTTATAGCAAACTGTTGTTCATGCAACACTTGTGCTCAAAGGGGAAGGCACAGGATTTCCTACAATGAGCCACCTTATAAAGAGTTCTTTTTGTACAAATTAATTTATGTCACATTTAATTTAGTGTGCATAACCTCAAAACTGAGGTATTATTCCAATTTATAAAAACCACTTGCATAACTTTTATGCAAGTTTTAAAAATACAAAGTTTTCTCCCTAAAGTGGCTCAAAATAGATTGTTCATGGCTGCCTACATCTAAGATAAAAAGATTCTAAAACAATTGAACAGATTAGGCATATTATTAAAGGTGTTCAAACCATTACTTGATTTGTACATCTACTCAAACCTCTTCATCGGTCTTTATTCAGCAGTACATATGCACCAAATTCCATTTTAGAAGTTTCCATATCATTTTCATAGAAAACAAAGTTTGAAAACAAGTAACATTTAAACACAGCACGGTATTCTACCACAACTGAAACTTTTTTCTTCTTCTTCTTTACAGGACTCAACAAAATCTAAAAATGAACTATGCTGTAGATTTACCTCATGCAAAGATCTTTATGTTATCTCTGAAAATGAAAAGGATGGCCTTTTAAGCACATTTTACTGTTTTATACTATTATGGCAACTTGTGTACTGCAACACAGTCTATTTTGAGGGAAATTTATGATTTTTTTCATGCAAAAATCTACACAAATTAGTTTTGATGATATGGAAAGCTTTTCATAGCATCAAACATTCATCTGGTGCAAATGCACAGGGAAACCTTCCTGAAAAGTTTTCTGACTTGAGAAGCAACTAAAAAAAGGCATACTAGGTAAAGTAAATAAAAACTAAAAAAAAAGAAAAGAAAAGCAAAAAAGAAAAAAAAAAGGATTGGGTGGGGGGAAGGAGGTGGGAAAGGGGGAAACAGAAAACACAGGCTGCAGAGTAAACCAATGTCTGCTGCTAAACCAGTCTTTGTTTTCATGTCCAGTGTACATTAACACTTATGATCTCATTTTGATGATTTACTAGGTTATCAGCCCCCTGAAGGTGAATCAAGCTTGCATGCGTTCACATACAGCACCACAACCACGCTCTCGTACACAGTCACTCCAGGACTAGGAGTCTGCTTCATGAGTGAAGAGCCCTAGATTTCAAAGATGAACCTGGCTCTCCATCACTGAGCCAGACATTCATTCAACATTGTCCATTCACACACTGCTTCATAGCAAGGCCTGGGCTCATTTTCCTTTGACTTATATGGGCAGCCTATTCTCTTTTATGCTTACAAGGCTTGAAGATGACGGTACTGCACTTTCCCCTCAATTGATATAGAGTAAGTCAATGTTCTTTCTCAGGCACTGACGATCTGTGACCTGTAGCCCTTTTTACTTTGAACAACCTAAATAAGCATTCATGTAAAGTTTTCATTACATTTTGCCACTCATTCTCACTCGCACCCACTCGCCATCTTGACCTCATTTGGGCATTTTCTGTGATTCCAAATGAAATCTTCACATTTTCTTTCCCGATTTAATGCAGCAGCAGATCCCATGAGCCAAGCTTGATGGATCAAACCTTTTTATATATATGTATATATATATATATATACACACACACATATATATATATATATCTCAGTGCTGCATTGTACCTAACTTCCACAACATCTTTCTAAAACTGGAACCCTTCTGTTGGTACATTGGCAGATGAATTGAAACCAAATGTTCCGCCTTGAATTGCCTCTGGAACAAGGCTAGGGTCTTCATCAATCTAGGTGAAAAAAAAGAAAAAGAATGTGATAATTAGTTTTAAAATATATATAAACAGTATTATAGTACTAATCCCATTACCCTTAAAAAAAGGTCTGGAGAGATGATGAATGCCAACACTGTCTTACCATCCTTTAGAAAATTGAAACAGTTTATAGAAGGTTTTTTTTTTCTTTCTTTCTTTTTTGAGATGGGGTCTCACTCTGTCACCCAGGCTGGAGATGAGTAGCACAAACATAGCTCATTGCAGCCTCAACCTCTTGGGCTCAAGTGATCCTCCCACCTCAGCCTCCCGAGTAGCTGGGACTACAGGTGTGCACCACCACGCCTGGCTAATTTTTGTATTTTTTGTAGAGACGGAGTTTCACCATACTGCCCAGGCTGGTCTCAAACTCCTAAGCTCAAGCAATCTGCCTGTCTTGACCTCCCAAAGTATTGAGATTACAGGTGTGAGCCACAGTGCCTACCCAAGACTTTTTCTTAAGGGATGCCAAAATGAGAAAAAAGAGAATATGTAAGACGGGCATTTTCCAAAAGAATGAAGGAACAGTAATGATGGCCCTAAGTCTCAAAGAGAGGATGCAAAATTTGGTCTCATTACAATTTCCCTTAAACCTGGGCAAGTACAGCTAGGCGCGGTGGCTCATGCCTGTAATCCCAGCACTTTGGGAGGCTGAGACGGGTGGATCACCTGAGGTCAGGAGTTCAAGACCAGCCTGGCCAACGTGGCGAAACCCCATCTCTACTAAAAATACAAAAATTAGCTGGGCATGGTGGCATGCGCCTATAATCCCAGCTACTTGGGAGGTTGAGGGTGGAGAATTCCTTGAACCTGGGAGGCAGAGGTTGCAGTGAGCCAAGATTGTGCCACTGTACTCCAGCCTGGGTGACAGAGCAAAACTCTGTCTCAAACAAAACAAAACAAAACAAAACAAATCACAAAACAAAAAAACCCCGGGCAAGTACATAAAGACAATCACATTAAAAAAAAATCTAATGCCACCACTTTTGGAAAGTGAATCTTTGGTATATCTTTCAATAGCAATTAGAGACAAATGGTATTTGGGCTTAAAATAGTAAAATACAGATTGAGTATCCCTAATCTGAAAGTACAAAACAAAAAATATTCCAAAATCTGAAACTTTCTGGGCACCAATATGATGCTCAAAGGAAATGCTCATTGGAACATTTTGAATTTCAGATGCTCAAGTGGTAGAAATAATTCAAATATTCTAAAATTCAAAAAAATCCAAAATCCAAAACTGTTCTGGTCCCATGCATTTCAGGTAAGGGATACTCCACCTATAATAGTTCTGCTAATAATGGTTATTATTATTATTATATACATTATTCTATATGCTTTGCATCTAAAGGCTCCTTTTGGAAATTCCACAATATTACAAACCTGTAGTGTACTTCCTATAACTATGTATATCATCTGAATTATTCTTTTCACAATCTAAGTCAAGAACGAAAACTACATGTTGAGGTATTAGAAATTATGAGGCTATTACAATTAGTCACCAAATTGCAAATTATGATTTTCAAAAATCCAACTTCAAGACATACGATCAAAGTTACTCTTAAAAGAATATGCCAGGCTGGGCGTGGTGGCTCATGCCTGTAATCCCAGCACTTTGGGAGGCCAAGATGGGAGAATTGTTTGAGTCCAGGAGTTCAAGCTCAGCCAGGGCAACATAGGGAGACCTTGTCTCTACAAAAGACTTAAAAAGTTATCCGGGCATAGTGGCAAGCACTTGTAATCCCAGCTATTTGGGAGGCTGAGGTGGGAGGATCACCTGAGCCAGGGAGGGGGAGGTTGCAGTGAGCTGTGACTGCGCCAATGCACTCCAGCCTGGGCCCCGTCTTTAAAAAAAGAAAGAAAGAAAAAAAACTTTTCTTAATTTTATTTCTGGTTTATTTAACTGGCATTATATTCTAAATAGGACTAAGCTTAAACAACTGTAAGTAAATAGTCTATAATTTTCTTTTCTAATATTGTCCTTGTCAAGTTAATGTTCAAACTATACATACTTAACAAAATGTTTAATAACATTCTATTCTTTTTGATAATATGGAAAGGCATGCAGTAAAAGACTTATTCTTTGAAAAGCTGAGAAATCATTAAAGAAATCCTCTGGTGGCTGCACTGAACCACTATAAAATTTTCTAAGGAGCAATTGGTTTAATTTTAGATTTACTTTTCCAAAGAGGAAATACTAAAAATAAGTTAATACTTTAATTTCCACTACTATTACTAACAATCTGAAGATATTTTTGTATACTATACCTTACATTATATAGTGCCTTACCTTTTTATTTCCATCTTATTTATTTTCGTATTTGTTTTTGGCCATGAAATAAAAACAGTGACAACCCATCAAGTGTGGATTAACTACTGTCATAAAGAACTTATTACAGGATATACTAGTATCACTGTTTTGTTTATAAATATGGTATGCTATTAACAATTTTAAAAAATGAGAACTATAAAGACACCAAGTGAAAATAAAGTCTGACTCATCTCGTTTGGTCAAAAAAGTCCTTATTTCTTGCCATTAGAGCTAATATGCCCTGAAGGGATCTTAAAATATTGAAATATTTGTTTTCAAAGCAGGTGACATTACTGTCATACATCTATTTTAATTCCATTCCAAACAAATACACATGTATGTCCCCCAGCTTACTATATATATTACTTTATCCAGATCTATGTTTATATATAAAATTAAGAAAACTACAAAATTATTAAATACATCATCTGAAGAGAAGAACTGATCAATGATCTCATAGGCCAATTTGTAGATGTCTTCATTTTCATGATTTTGAAGTTGTTCAATTTTCTCCAGCCCTGCAAGAAATTTTGCAATGTGAAACAATAGTAATATTTAAAGAGCAGTGACAAGTTAGAATAATCTTTGGAACACATAATCCAATTTCTGAATCGCAAATTTTTTGAATTATAATTTTTGGGAATTTAAAGGTGAATCTTAAATATAAAAAAATTTTATGCACAAAGATACAGCATATTTATCTTAAAATCAACAACCTGAGTGTCTAACTGCTTGTAAATGTACAAATAAGTGTATAAATAAGTAATGAGACATCTGCCTATTCATCAGAATACATAACCAATGTTTATAACCAGCAATAACATGTAAAATTCCATTTAAGTAAAAAGCGGAATCTTCCTACTTTCCAGCACCTGCCAAGTTTTTCTAGTGAGCACGTATGAAAATAAATTTAAAATACTGGTGATTAATAAATATGATGCTTAAGATACCTGTTAAGTTTACTGGAAAATGATGAAGATCTAACACAGTATTTCAGGGGAAAAGAGAATTTTCCCTGTAAACATTAATGAGTTTAAATTATAGGCAGAAACATTAAAAAGTATATACTTAACTTGTTGATACACAAATTGGATCCTGTTTTACTTTAGAGGAAAAATAATTTTAAAGTCTTTGAAAAAAGTGAAATTGCCCCTTCATGAGTGTACTTCCTCTATCCATTTCTTAAATGGAGAAAGTTATCTTAGGCTCACTTCTCACCTACACACTCATTCTGGTGATCTTCCCATTAAAAAATCTGGCTACTACACATAGGCTGAGGACTTGCAAATCTATAGCTTCATTTCTTTTCTGAGCTTCACATGCATAAAACTAAAATGCTTGTGTAATTCTACCAGGAAATTTCATAGCTACCTAAAACTCAAACTGTCCAAAACACAATTTGTTATTTGCCTTCCTCATTTAAACGGTTCATCCTACAGTTGTATTCTTATTTGGTGATAATCAACAATAGCTTGAAATTTAAGAGAAAGCCCAAGTTCCCCTTTCCCTCAATATCCCACAATCAAACCTCAAAAACTTGAAAGTCCATCCACTGGACTTTAAATCTCCTCATCTCCCCTTTGTCTCTATTATTACTGCCTTCATTTATTGTGGCTTGGCCACTATATACTTTATTTTATTTTATTTTTTTTGAGACAGAGTCTCACTCTGTTGCCCAGGCTGGAGTGCAGTGGCGTGATCTTGGCTCACTGCAGCCTCTGCCTCCTGGGTTCAAATGATTCTCGTGCCTCAGCCTCCCAAGCAGCTAGGATTACAGGTGTGCGCTACCACACCCAGCTAATGTTTCATATTTTTAGTAGAGACGGGGTTTCATCATGCTGACCAGGCTGGTCTTGAACTTCTGGCCTCAGGTGATCTGCCCGCCTCGGGCCTCCCAAAGTGCTGGGATTACAGGTGTGAGCCACTGTGCCCGGCCATAAATACTTTCTTAACTGGTCTCTTCCTGCCTCCTTTCTCCAAAGGCTTCATTCCCCAGATATCCATGTTCCACCTGAATGCACCCCATCCCCTAGATGAATCACCAATGGCCTGCCACTCCTATGGCACAATCCACTGGGGATTCCTGGGTCTTACCTCCAGTGAGGTAGGCAATGTTCAAGAACTTACATTTTTACTTGAATGTATAAAGATATTTTAGTAATTAAAATGTTTACAAGTTAAAAAAATCAAGTAGTAAAAATAATTAAGTATGCCTATTGTTATTTTTTGTTACTTAATCCCTAATTAGTTCTGTAACACTATTCCCCATCTCTTGTTCCTAACTCGACAGTTATAGATTTTTTTATTGTTGTTGCTCTATGAGTCACTTTAGTAACTTTAAATATATCTATTTCTTACTACATTAATTTTGAAGCCGCTCACCATTCCCATTTAGTTGAAGTTATGGGTTCTCCTACTTTTGCAGTTACCTCTCTTTTCATTCACTTTTCAACTTCTGTCAGAAATACCTTTATATTTATGCTTATCCAGATTGATAACACACTGTGTTACACAGCCACATTTGAAATTTTCATGTTCTGTCTATATATTAACTCTAAGACTTGAAAGCTAATATGTATTGTTTACATTCCAGGAGGCTCTGGTACATGGCCATGTTTCGAAACTATTGCCCTAAAGAATAAAACATCTACTGTGCCATAAAGCTTGTTAAGATTCACAGGAGGTCGGGCGCAGTTGCTCACACCTGTAATCTCAACACTCTGGGAGGCCAAGGGGAGTGGATCACCTGAGGTCAGGAGTTCAACAGCAGCCTGACCAACATGATGAAACCCCGTCTCTACTAAATATACAAAAAATTAGCTGGGCGTGGTGGCAGGCGCCTGTAATCCCAGCTACTCAGGAGGCTGAGGCAGAAGAATCGCTTGAACCTGGGAGACAGAGGTTGCAGTGAGCCGAGATTGTGCCATTGCACTCCAGCCTGGGCAACAGAGCAAGACACTGTCTCAAAAAAAAAAAAAAAAAAAAAAAGCCTTCATAGGAGGCTGGTTACTTCTCCAGCTTTGTCTCTTCATAGTTTCTACCCCATACTGTGTGATTCAGCAACACTGAACTACTTATAATTTGCTGAATGCTATTTCTGACCTCAGACTTTGCTCATGGTGTTATCTCTGCCTGGAACACCTTTCATCCCTTTTTACCTTATTAATCCTTATTCATCTCTCAAAATCCAGCTCAGGTGCACTTCCTGCTTCTTCCAGAATGGATTAGGCATCCCATTTTGTTGTACATTTCTATTAGGGTAATTAGCACATTAAATCAGTTCATATTTATCAAGACTAGACTACATGCCTTGAGGGCAAGGACTGTGTCTTGTTTACCACTGTCTTCCCAGTAACTTATCACAGTGCCTGTTCAATATATGGCAGCAATTCAGTTACCTAAGCATATGCAAGAGGCTGAGCAGGACTGCACATATAGAATACAATATTTACTTTATTCTGTTACTTGAATATCTAAGACAGAAAAATATAGATGTGCTATATTAGTCGGCAAATAAAGGTAGTTACAAAGAGAACATTAAGATGTGGAATAAGAGCTTATAATAAACTTACCTCCACATTCTTCTATAAGATTGCCTATGGTTTCTGCCTCATCTTCAGCCATTTTTAATATATTACTTAGTCCATCGAGTACTACTTGCACAACTTGTGCATCTTTTACAGTCAGCAAGTTGCAAAAAGGTGGGATAACATTTTGTTGGATAAGGTAAGCCACCTGAAGAATAAAAACAACATAAAATAATGCAATATAGGTAAACTTTGTGTGCCATGTTATCTCACTGGAATAATTCTGATTTTGAAATTTCGAGTATAGAAATATGACCTCATCTCTCTCATGTTAAGTGTGCCCACATTATTAATCTAACCTCCTTTTCTTTTAAATTTAGTTTCCTTTTTCCCGAACTTAGAAAAAAACAACGTAAAGTTAAAATAAAGGAATCACTCAACTTCATATTAAACATTTCTTTGCCATAAGAAATACTTCCTTCAAAGATTTTTCCCTTTAAGAGTAAGAAATTATGAAATCAGTTAAGGAGGCTGTTAATGGAGGCTGTATGCTATTTTTAATTTAATTAATTAATTAATTAAATATAGAGAGATGGGGTCTCACTATGTTGCGCAGGATTTATTTATTTATTTAATATATAGAGACGGGGGTCTCACTATGTTGCCCAGGCTGGTCTTGAACTCCTGAACCCAAGAGATCCTCCTGCCTTGGCCCCACAAAATGCTAGGATTACATGCATGAGCCACTGCATCCCGCCTGGATACTAGTTTCAAAAAACTACAATGGCTCAATGTGACAGCATCCAGTGGCTCACATGTGCCTGGCTACCTCTCAATTCACTATTCTATTGATTTCACAATATTTTCCAATGATTTCAGTATTTCATTAGTTATAATTTCCATGCATTATATTAATATTCCTGTTCTGCTCTGTATTTATGTGAATTCACTGAAAACCACCAGTCTGCAGCCTTTTTGTTACAGTTATCAATTTATTGCTATTCAGCTCTAAATTTGTTCTTTTTACCTACTCTGTGAAACAGATCTAACCTCTTTAAAACTGTTTTTCCTTTGCCAGTTGGCACAATGTTAAGCTTTGTCACCCGCACGACCTGAGAGTGGGTGCCTCTTTCCTAGGCATCTTACATTCCTCACCCTAGTTCCTAAGTCCTAGCCATCTGGTTGAGCTTTTAATTCCTTGTTTGGTTTGCTGCTGATGAATTTGTTATTGTTGCTGTCTTTTTACTTTTTGTTGTTGTTGTTCATTTGTTAGGAGAATGTGTGATGCAGTTTCTTCCATATTAACTTAAGAAGTCTGTTCATTCCTAATACTGTTAAAAAAACAAAACAAAACAAAAAACTCCTGACTATAGGGGCCTCAATTTTACCATGGATTAAAAAATTCTTGTAGGCCAATAAATTGGGAAAAAGAACACTTCTATGAAGTATGACGAAAGGAAGTCAAGGTGATACTTCTATGTGACAAAGAAAGTTATATACCTGTTATATAAAAGTTAGTACCTGTTATCTTGCTCTTATTTTATTTTTTTAATAGAGATGTGGTCTCACTGTGTTGCCCAGGCCAGTCACAAAACCCTGGCCTCGGGTGATCCTCCAGCCTTGGCCTCCCAGGGTGTTGCTATTATTTTAAATTATAACTTACTCAAATCTAAATCAATATTACCTGTACTTTTATTTTACCAGTTTTGAGAAATAAATTTTAAAAAGCTCAACTTACTTGATCTTTCCTTCCACTAATTGTTAAGTTACTTATGGCCCAAGCAGCTTCTTTTTGAGTGCCAAAATCCCCCTGTAAAAAGGCAAAACAAAGGCTATAAAAATTGCCACATAGAGTAAACTGGAAAAAATGTTTGCTGTGATGATTTTTCAACTGCTTATTTCCCAAGGTCTCCTTTTAGTCTTTCTGTATATATCATTTTTTCTTATTAAGACAGGTCTTTGAACTATTCCCAATCTACCCTAAATACATGGAGACACCTTTCTGTGAAATCTCCTGGAAACAAACTGAGTTGATATTATTATCTAATATTATCAGATTAAATGAAGTTGATGATAAAATGAAATAAAAATAGTAAAGAAAAAATTTAAAAATCTACAATTTCACTACAAAGTCACGTAAACGAACATATTCTTTTACACACAAAGCTTTTACACACAAAAATGATACCCACCATTAATGAAACTATGATAAAGATGTTATACATTGCCTTTTCAAATATGAAGCGAAGAAATATTTAAAAGTCATTAAAAAATTCATATACATAAACTTCATAATCTCATTTTTGAGAATTTACCAAGAAAATAACATAAAGCAGAGTAATAATATCTTTCTATATATGGTTATCACAGCACCATAATAGCCAAAAAGTAAAAACAACTAAAATTCTCAATAAGCATAATTGTCTAATTATGGTAAATCTACTGAATAAGCAACTATTAAATATTAAGACAAGTGGCAACCTGAAAAAATGCTTATGATGTATTAAAAAACCACATAAATAAAAGAAATGCAAATTAAAATATCCATATCTCCTTTCATATTTATCAGAATAAGAAAATCTAAATATTTGTGTGTGAGGCTGGTAGTATAAAATGGCATAATTCTTATAGGGGAATTAGCCCTATAATAGCAAAATTTACATATATGTTTATCTGTAGATCTAGTAATCCCAAATATAATCGGGCAAAAACATCAAAAAAAAACTTACAAGCTATTCTTTTTTTTTTGAGAGGACCTCGCTGTTGCCTAGGCTGGAGTGCAGTGGCGCAATCTCGGCTCACTGCAACCTCCACCTCCTGGGTTCAAGTTATTCTCCCACCTCAGCCTCCTGAGTAGCTGGGACTACAGGAATGCACCACCACGCCTGGCTAGTTTTTGTATTTTTTTTGGTAGAGACACGGTTTCCCCATGTTGGCCAGGCTGGTCTTGAACTCCTGACCTCAAGTGATCTGCCCGCCTCAGCCTCCCAAGTGCTGGGATTACACGTGTGAGCCACTGTGCCCAGCCACAAGCTATTCTTTTATTTATTTATTTATTTTTTGAGATGGAGTCTCGCTCTGTCACCCAGGCTGGAGTGCAGTGGCGCAATCTTGGCTCACTGCAAGCTCTGCCTCCTGGGTTCACACCATTCTCCTACCTCAGCCTCTCGAGTAGCTGGGACTACAGGCGCCCACCACCATGCCTGGCTAATTTTTTGTATTTTTAGTAGAGATGGGGTTTTGCTGTGTTAGCCAGGATGGTCTCGATCTCCTGACTTCATGATCTGCCCGCCTCAGCCTCCCAAAGTGCTGGGATTACAGGCGTGAGCCACTGCACCCGGCCACTATTCTTTAAAGTACTATTTAACAACAAACACTGGAGACATCTCAAATATCATCATTAATAGATTGACTTCATACATTATAGTGCATCCGTACAATGCAGTACTATGTAGCTATGAAAGGAATAAGAAAAACAAGGAATAAGAAAAAAAAACAAGGAATAAAGAAGCTCTCTATATAGTGCTATGGGACTGACATTTTTTTAAGTACATTACTGATGAAATATATTCTAAGGGCAAACAAATGTCAAAGAAATCTTAAAAGTACATTCAGTAGTCATGTTGTCAGGGGCAATACGGCTTTGTTATTTTTATATATATATATATAAATATATTTGCATCTCTTTTGTCTCATGCTGAAAATTAGGAGTTTTTTATGGTCTTTAGGATATATATCATCAATGATGTACTTAAAAATAATGTATATTGACATGTATCCACAGATCTATACATACCAAAATGTAAGAAAAATAAGTAATTATGCTAATGTTTTTAGGAAGATTTTCAGCATAAAAGAGATGTAAATATAAAATCATAGGAATAAAAATTAAAAACCCTGTTATCTTAAATATCCAATAATATTTAATAGCTCCCTTTCATTCATGATTCATTTTTTATGAACTCTCATGTTCCTGAACTCATCATCTTTCACTTTCTACAATGCCTATCATTTATTTTGTTGATTCAGGCCTAGAAAAAATGACAACATTATAACAATGATCACCTTTATAGCTGAAATATGATCCTTAAACACCATTCTCTACAAAACAAAATCAAGATACCATAGAAAAATAGTTAATTCCAGTTCTAGATCAGAAAACATGTAAGATAGGCCTGGGAATCATGTCATATCCAAAAGGTGTAGCTCTCAAAAACTAGTGATAACATAAAAGATACAGGTCACCAATTCTAAGAGGTTCCTGTTGGTCAGGAACAAACAGAGTATCAAAAAGAGTAACAACTAAAAGGTATTAAAACTTGCAAAATATATTTTAAAAATTCATAATTTCCAAATGACACTAAAAAAAAATCTACTCTGGTCTGCTTTCAAGGTTATTAGGGAACGAGTCATTCTAAAAAATGACTGATAAGGACAAAGAATCAAACATTTATCTTGCCTATCCTAAATGAACTGTATTTCAAAGTATTAATAAACAATAGCTGATAAAGAAATGCTCTTGGCCGGGCATGGATGGCTCACACCTGATCACTTGAGGTGGGGAGTTGGAGACCAGCCTGGCCAACATGGTGAAACCGCATCTCTACTAAAAATACAAAAATTAGCTGGGTGTAGTGGCGTGCGCCTATAGTCCCAGCTACTTGGGAGGCTGAGGCGCAAGAATCGCCTAAACCCGGGAGGTAGAGATTGCAGTGAGCTGATATCGTGTCACTGCACTCTAGCCTGGGTGACAGCGAGACCGTCTAAAAAAAAACAACAAAACAAAAAACAAGACAAGTTCTTTACTAAAGAATCATGGCCAATACACAAAGAATGACGGAATTAGAAAGTCACCATTTTGCAACTCCTAGTAAAACAAGGGATCCTAACAAGGATCATCAATGGCTACCTAAAAACCATAGGTGAAAGATTAATGGATAACTTTATAACCATCAGCTGGAATAGGCTGTAACACCTCAGATCACTCAACAATCTTAATATCACTACATGTAAGACAGACTGTGTCTCCTCATGTGAATCATTAGGAAATAGAGTTGTGCATGACATATTCTTGCCTAAAAAACTGAACTCGATTTACAGGAAACACAGAGAAACAGATTTATCTTCTCTTTAATTACAGATCAGTGTTCAGAACCCTCATGCTGTGATTGTTTCTTCTACTTTGTGGTTTTTTTTTTTTTTTTTTTTTTTTGAGACAGGGTCTTGCTCTGTCACTCAGGCTGGAATGCAATGGCATGACCATGGCTCACCACAGCCTCAACCTCCCGGATTCAAATGATCCTCCCACCGTAGCTTCCCAAGTAGCTAGAACCACAGGCGCATGCTACCACACCAAACTAATTTCTTTTTTAAAAAAAGTTTTTGTAGAGATGGAGTCCCCCTATGTTGCCCAGGCTGGTCTTGAACTCCTGGGCTCAAGTGATCCTCCTGCTTTGGCCTCCCAGACTGCTGGGATTATAGGTGTGAGCCACTGCACCCAGCCTCATGCTGTAATTGCGATAAACTGTTTCTCCCAAATGCTAATATGAGCATGAGAGATGATATGGCATACAATAGCATACTTATTTGCTATTTGATTTTGGACAATTTATTTGTCTATACCAGGGTTTCTTCATCTATCAAGTGGGAATAATCCCTAATCTTATAGGCTTAATGTCATTCAATGAGGTAATGTATGTAAAGTGCTTAGAATACTATGTAAGCATTTATTATCAACAGTAACGATATGAAAGTTTAGTATGGCCTAGGATAATGGCAATTTTGGTAAAAGAATGATACACAGAAAGGGCTAGGATTTGCCCCCCACCCCCCAAAAAGTTTCTTGTATATAAAAATGGCTAGGTTCAAAAGTCGTAATGTTAATATTACTTTACTATATTTATGCCACTGTATGGCTTCTAATTAAGCAGAAAGTATAAATTCACATAATGTCTCAGATTTAAATCCCCTTCCCCTTACATCAGATAAATGATACATATAACATGATTTTCTTACCTTATCCAAAAGGTGTATTATCATTGGTACAAGATTGGCATCAATTACTGCCTGTACCTGCTGCTGATTTCCTGCAGTGATGTTGGAGAGGAACCACACTGCTTCCTGTAGAACAAGAGCATTTGAATATTTCTCATTAAAAAATAAAATCTGCATCTGAACTAAGTAAAAAAGCATTCACTACACTGTCCCAATGATTTTACTACGAAATGAGCTCCATAATAAAAATCTCAGGAATCTCAATTCCTTTACACCCCTTTCCATATTTTCTTTGGACAAACAGCTAATGGACCTAATTCAAATCACAATGAACTAACCCTTCGGAAGAATTATTGAAAACAATGCTCCCAAACAGTGTGGCTCAAAAGAAGCTTGGCTGAACAAATTTGAATGAGCAAATATGAAATAATGAATGAGCAAATATGAATAATGAGTATAATACAAATACAAATCCTAAAACAGCTGTAAATAAGATTCAGTGCCCTTCCCTCACATAATGTGCTTTATTCTCTATTCTATTCTGATGAAGAATCTTAGCCAAAGTAGATAAATATCAATTATCCACAACAATGGAGACATAAAAAACAAAGTGCATTGTTTTAGTATACTTATTTGTAATAGTCATTCACTGCATAATTTCTCTCAAGGAAAAGTGGAACCAGATATTTGATTGTTTTATTGGCCTATCTTAATCTTTTTATGTTACCCTTTACATCACA
This sequence comes from Homo sapiens, assembly GCF_000001405.40. NCBI lineage: Eukaryota > Metazoa > Chordata > Mammalia > Primates > Hominidae > Homo > Homo sapiens. Next base: position 160,514,796 of record NC_000003.12, read on the forward strand.
GTTGGTGCTACTTTTGACAAAATAATGGTGGCCTTACGCGTTATAATCATAGATAACTAATAAGTTTTACTCTAAAAAATATTAGTATTAGCTAATGTATACTAGGCTCTTTTGGATCAGATCACAGGACCATTTTAATGAACCTGTTAGAGATTTTAGGGTGCCAGGCTAGTTAGGTGAGCTGTTCTTGGGTTATAATCATTGGCAATGTTGTAATCAACAACCCATGTTATTTCTACAACAGCCTCAGATGCACTCCAATATCAGCATCACCAGTCAGTGCCCCCTTTCCATAGCCACCACAAGCACACACACATGCATACACACTCTCTATTAAGTACCTATAAAACACTAAACTTATAAGAATTACATAATATACATATTAAAAATTTCCAGTCATACAACATTCAACACCCAATTATCTCTATTTCATCATTTCCAAGAGAGCCAAAATTGCACTTTTCATAACTGGTTTTATGTATGAAAAAATTATTAATGCTTGTTATGGAGAGTAAAATTTTTATTTTCTCTTGATGTCTAAATGACAGTTTGTATTAAGAATCAATATTACAGACATTTCTAAGACTCTAATTTTACAAATAGAAACTGTTAACATTTTAAGTGCTATCTATTAAGTAGTATTTAATAGTACTTACTTTATTAATTTTCTCTTTGGGATGTGTCAGGAGTGCTGGGAAGTGTGAAAGAGCATCACAGTTCAAAACTACTTGTGTTTGCTCATCAGTTCCAGTAACAATGTTGCCCACAGCTCTAAGTGCAGCAGTCTGAAATGCACAATGAGATGACATTCTATGTGAAATCCTTTTTTTTTTTTTTGAGACAAGGTCTTGCTCTGTCGCCCAGGGTAGAGTGCAGTGGTGCGATCTCAGCTCACTGTAACCTCTGCCTCTCAGGCTCAAGTGATCCTCCCACCCCAGCCTCCAGAGTATCTGGGACTATAGCAGTGCACGACCCTGTCCGGCTAATTTTTGTATTTTTTGTAGAGACAGAGTTTCACCATGTTGCCCAGGCTGGTCTCGAACTCCTAGGCTCAAGGGATCTGCCTGCCTCAGCCTCCAAAAGTGCTGGGATTATAGGCATGAGCCATTGTGCCCAGCTGAAACACTCCTTATTAAAAGGCATGTTAGGTACCTTATAAAAGACAAATGCATTCATTCACTATTTCTTCCAACAAACCTATTCTTTTTTGAGACGGAGTCTCACTCTGTCGCCCAGGCTGAAGTGCAGTGGCTCGATCCTGGCTCACTGCAACCTCTACCTCCCAGGTTCAAGCGATTCTCCTGGCTCAGCCTCCTGAGCAGCTGGGATTACAGGCGCGTGCCACCATACCTGGCTAATTCTGTAATTTTTTTTTTAGGAGAGATGGGGTTTTGCCACGTTGGCCAGGCTGGTCTCGAACCCCTGACTTTAGGTGATCTGCCTGCCTTGGCTTCCCAAAGTACTGGGATTACAGGCATGAGCCACTGCACCCTGCTCCAAGAAACCTATTCTTTTTGAGCACTTAGCATCAGGCACTGATGTAGGAACAGAGATGTGAAGATAGACACATGTTCCAGCTCTTACAGAGCTTATATTATTGTAAGAGAGGAGTCAATAAACAAGAAGGATAATTTTAGATAGTGCCATAAAAAAAAAAAAGACAGAACTTTAGATTTAGTGTTGAAAATATAAAAATAAAAACAGCTAGGTGCAGTGGCTCACGCCTGTAATTCCAGCACTTTGGAAGGCTGAGGTGGGTGGAACACTTAAGCCCTGGAGTTTGACACCAGGCTGGGCAACATGACAAAACCCTGTCTCTACAAAATATTAGCTGGGTGTGGTGGCACGAGCCTGTAGTCCCAGCTACTTGGGAGACTGAGGTGGGAGGATTGCTTGAGCCTGGGAGGTCCAGGCTGAAGTGAGCTGTGATCATACCACTGCACTCCAGCCTGGACAACAGAGTAAGACCCTGTCAAAAACAAAAAGACAAAAAACATAGTGCCTTTCTGAAGGAAAGAAGATACCTGCCTAACATGAGATTTCACTATGGTATGAATTTGAATTATCAATTATTTTTCTGTGGTTGCATGAGGTCATTTCCTGTTAAGTAAAGCTTTTTACTCCTCTAATTTTCCTTTCTACATGACAAATGATCCAAATTTTTTAAAAAATTGAAATAAAATTCATATAACATAAAATTTACCCTTTCAAAGTGTACAATTCAGTAGTTCTTAGTATATTCAGAGTTGTGTAACTATTACTAGTATCTAATTCCAGAACACTTTGATCACCCCAAAAAGAACACCTGTATCCATTAGTGATCACTCCCACACTGCCTTCATCCCTAGGTCCCTGGAAGACACTATGCCTGTCTCTAAGATTTTGGCTATCTTGGGCACTTCATATTAACAAAATCAAAATGTATTTGGCCTTTTTTGTCTAGCTTCTTTCATTTCACATAATGTTGTTAAAAGTTCGTGTTACAGCATGCATCAATACTTTGTTCCTTTTCATGACCAAATAATATTTCACTGTGTGAATGTATCATATTTTATTTAACCATTCATTGGCTGACATTCAAATTGTTTTCATTTTTTGGCTATTACAAATAACGCTGCTGTGAATGCTTGTGTATAAATTTTTGTGTGGATATGCATTTTCATTTCTCTTGGGTATGTACCTAAGAGTAATTAATTGCCAGTTCATATTGTAACCTTATGTTTAACTTTTTGAGGCACTGCCAAAACTATATTCCAAAGCGGCTGTACCATTTTATATTCTCACCAGCAGTATATACGAATTCCAGTTTCTCACACCCTCACCAAAAGTATGTTATCGTCTTCCTAACTATAGCCATCCTGGTGGGTGTGAAGTAGTATCTCACTGTGGCTTTAATTCCCTTTCCTTAATGACTAATGATGTTGAGCTTCTTTTCATGTGCTTACTGACCATTTGTTATATCTTCTTTAGAAGCCTGCTTACTCAAATATTTTGCCAAGTTAAAAACTGAGTTGTCTATTTTTGAGTAGTAACAGTTCTTTATACATTAAATATTTTAGATGTAAATCCCTTTGCCAATACATAATTTTCTAATACCTATTCTCTTCTATTCTATGGGTTGTCTTTTCACTTTCTTGATGGTGTTCTTTGAAGCACACACAAGTTTGTAAGTTTTGTGAAGCCTGACTTATCAATTCTTTTTCTTTGGTTGCTTGTGGTGTCACATCTTAGAAACCACTGTCTAATCTAGGGTCATAAAAATTTATGCCTGTATTTTTCTTCTAAGAGGTTTAAATTTATAGATTTTATATTTAGGTGTTTGATCTATTCTGAGTTTTTTTTTTTTTTTTGAGACGGAGTCTCGCTCTGTCACCCAGGCTGGAGTGCAGTGGCGCGATCTCGGCTCACTGCAAGCTCCGCCTCCCGGGTTCACGCCATTCTCCTGCCTCAGCCTCCCGAGTAGCTGAGTAGCTGGGACTACAGGCGCCCGCTACCACGCCCGGCTAATTTTTTGTATTTTTAGTAGAGACGGGGTTTCACCGTGTTAGCCAGGATGGTCTCGATCTCCTGACCTCGTGATCCGCCCGCCTCGGCCTCCCAAAGTGCTGGGATTACAGGCGTGAGCCACCGCGCCCGGCCTATTCTGAGTTTTTGCATGTAGTATGAAGTGGGGTCCAACTTCATTATTTTACTTGTGGATATCCAGTCGTTCTTGCCCATCTGTTGAAAAGGTTATTCTTTCCCCAATGAATTGGCTTGGCTTCCTTATTGAAAATCAACTTGGCCGGGCGCGGTGGCTCACGCCTGCAATCCCAGCACTTTGGGAGGCCGAGGCGGGTGGATCACCTGAGGTCAGGAGTTCGAGACCAGCCTGGCCAACACGGTGAAACCCTATCTCTACTAAAAATACAAAAAATCAGCTGGGCATGGTAGCAGGCACCTGTAATCTCAGCTGCTTGGGAGGCTGAGGCAGGAGAACTGCTTGAACCTGGGAGGCAGAGGTTGTAATGAGCCGAGATCATGCCATTGCACTCCAGCCTGGGCAACAGAGCAAGACTCTCACACACACACACAAAAAAAGTAAATCAACTAATCATAAAATGCATAGGTTTATTTCTGAACTCGATTCTATCTCATTGATCTGCATGTCTATATTTATGCCAGTATCACAAAATTTTATTTACTGTAGCTTTGCAGTGTTTTGAAAATGAGAAGTCCTCAAACTTTGTTCTTCTTCAAGATCATTTGGCTATTTCTAGGCCCCTTATATTTCCATATGGATTTTAAGATCTGTTTGTAAAATTCTGCCAAAAACCAAAAGCACATGGGATTTTAATAGGGATTGTGTTTAATCTGTAGACAAACTTGGGAAGCACGGTCATCCTAACAATATTAGACAATCCATGAACATGAATGTCTTTCCATTTATTTAGGTCTTCTTTAATGTTTTCCAAAAATGTTTTGTAGTAGCCTAGCTTCTTTAACAAATAAATTGAAAAGAGGAAAGATAAAAGAAAGGAGAAGAAAGTTGCACAGTAAGAGGCTTAAAATATATAGCAAGCAGATGCAATGTGTGGTCTTTATCTGGATACTGATTTGGTAAAATTGTGAAAAAATAATGAAGCAGTAAATAAAATCCAGATACTGACTGAATATTTAACATTAAGGTTTTAAAAAGTCTACTAGTGGTATTGTGGTTATGTTAAAAAAAATAGGCGGCCGGGCGCGGTGGCTCACGCCTGTAATCCCAGCACTTTGGGAGGCTGAGGCGGGTGGATCATGAGGTCAGGAGATCGAGACCATCCTGGCTAACAAGGTGAAACCCCGTCTCTACTAAAAAATACAAAAAATTAGCCGGGCGCGGTGGTGGGCGCCTGTAGTCCCAGCTACTGGGGAGGCTGAGGCAGGAGAATGGCGTGAACCCGGGAAGCGGAGCTTGCAGTGAGCCGAGATTGTGCCACTGCAGTCCGCAGTCCGGCCTGGGCGACAGAGCGAGACTCCGTCTCAAAAAAAAAAAAAAAAAAAAAAAAATAGGCTTAAATTTTAGAGCTGCAAGCTGTGTAAAATGATATCTGGAATTTGTATCAAAATAAATTTGGAGGAGTAGAGGTACAGAGAAAAAAGCTACATGGGGTTCCATTACACTATTTTATTTTATGAAATTATGGCATGAAAGTTGAAAAGTATAAGAAAATCTCTATAAGGTGTCAGGTAGAGTAGAGAATTTCAACTTTCTTTGAGCACTGGCTAAAGGTAAATTCCAAGCCCTACAGATCCTTAATGAAGTCCATTATGAAAACTGAAGATTATTTCTGGAAAAACAAAAAACAAAATACAAACCAAAATTCTGTACCAAGACATAAGTACCACACAAAATAAATACAAACTTAAGGATAAACATATGGCAAGAATATTTAAGATAAGTCATAAATAGCCTTAAATGACAAATTATTGTTTTTTCTTTTTTTTTTTATTGAGATGGAGTCTTGCTCAGTTGCCAGGCAGGAGAGTAGTGGCGCAATCTTGGCTCACTACAACCTCTGCCTCCTGGGTTCAAGTGATTCCCCTGCCTCAGCCTCCCGAGTAGCTAGGTCTACAGGCACATGCCACCATGCCTGGCTAATTTTTTTTTTTTTTTTTGTATTTTAGTAAAGACAGGGTTTCACCATGTTGGCCAGGATGGTCTCAGTCTCCTGACCTTGTGATCTGCCCACCTCGGCCTCCCAAAGTGCTGGGATTTCAGGCGTGAGCCACCATGTCCAGCCAATTATATTAATTCTTTCTGTATTTAGCTAAGTGTTCCTTCTTTAAAGTGCTTTAATTTTAAGGTACAGGGTCTCTAATCTGACTATGTATCAGTATCACCTGAAGAGCATTTTAAAGCTCAAGTTTCTAAGAAATATTTTCTGAAACAGAAATCTCCAGGGGTTGAGCAGGAGAAATTAAAAACAGCTCCACACAGTTTATTTTGATGTTCAGGCATAATGACTTAGGCTACAGACTAACGGTTTCTCTTATGCGATTATTGTACTTTACAGATTCTAAGCCATTAGCAGATTAAAATATACTATTTACCTCAGAAAGGTAGAGGGAGCTTGCTGCGTCTCCCCCATTACAACTGTAGCTTAACAGCTACTGCTTATATCTCTGAGAACTTCTCACACTCTGTTTTTGGCTCTTTCTAAATGCAAATTCTTTGGGATAAATATTATGTGAAAGAATTTAAACAATAAAAAATAAATTTAAATAAGTGAAAAGCAACAATTTAGAAAGTCCCTAAACAGCACATTTCAGTAGAGTACCCTTATTTCAGCACCAATGAAGATAAGAGTTAACTAAACTTGCCAGGTGAGTAAATAAGGATGGTTGGCAAGGAAGAAAAAAAAAGAAGTAGGGAAGTGAAAGAGGAAGAACAAAAAGAAGAGGAGTAGGAAAAAATAAGTGTCTGTCAATACTTGTTTCAGATGCCATGCATGTTGCTATAATGAACTTCCCTGGTCTACATTAAAAATCAGTAATCCGGCCAGGCATGGTGGTTCACACCTGTAATCTCAGCACTTTGGGAGGCTGGGGTGGAAGGATCATTTGAGGCCAGGAGTTCAAGAGCAGCCTGGCCAACATGGCAAAACCCTGACTGTATCAAAAATAGAAAAAAATTAGCTACACATGATGGTGTGTGCCTGTGATCCCAACCACTCAAGAGGCTGAGGTGGGAGAATGTTCCTTGAACCTAGGAAGTGGAGGTTGTAGTGAGCTGAGATCACGCCACCTCACTCCAGCCTGGGTGACAGTGAGACCCCATCTTAAAAAAAGAAATTAGTAATCTACAATGGCATCTTATTATTTATTTTCCCCTTTCCATCACAGATTTGTTGTTATGCTAAGAATATACTTTAAACTACTGAAATTGTCCATCTTTGAATGCCATGCTTAAAGCAATTAGTGGTAAGAAATACTTATAATTTAACTAAGAACAAACTTACCTGAACTTTAACTTCCTGGTGGCTGAGCAGAGGAACCAAATGAGGAACTATTCCAGAGTCTATTACCATCTGTATTTGTTCATTGCCAGCATCAGTAAGGTAAGAGAGGGCCCAGACTGTGTCTACCAGTATCTAATGAATAAAATAAAAATTCAAACAACTTTTAAATATTTTCTCATTTTAGTAATTCTTGACCAAACAACCATTCTAAAATTGTTCAACTACCTTCTTCCTTCTTTTCTTCTCTCAGTTTAATTCATTGGAATCTGATCGCTACGGTATTAAACATCATCATCTATAAATGTCTGTACTAAGACGTACATCTTTTAGCCATATTCAGGATTCTGATCCCAGATTAGTATCCAATCTTAGTTCACTAAGATACACACGCACACTACACAGCTCATAAAACAGGAGAAAAAGACATTCTCTTTCCCAAAGGCTGAGGGATAACAGGTCCAAAAACATTGTGGCTCATGTATAAAGCTGGAAAGACTACATGTATCCAACATGCACAGTTGTTCAAAACATCTGGGCTAGATGAATATATTCAAGGAGTTCTCTAGTATTGTAAGTACCATGTAGATATGCCTAAAGCCAATAACCCAAGTATTCATATTGTAGTATAAAATACTTTAATCTTTTCCAACCAGTTTGTTTTGCCTTACAGAACTGGAGACAACTTTTTTTTTTTTTTGAGACGGAGTCTCGCTCTGTCGCCCAGGCTGGAGTGCAGCAGCGCGATCTCGGTTCACTGCAAGCTCCGCCTCCCGGGTTCATGCCATTCTCCTGCCTCAGCCTCCCGAGTAGCTGGGACTACAGGCGCATGCCGCAACGCCTGGCTAAGTTTTGGCATTTTTCAGTAGAGACGGGGTTTCACCGTGTTAGCCAAGATGGTCTCGATCTCCTGACCTCATGATCCGCCCGCCTCGGCCTCCCAAAGTGCTGGGATTACAGGCGTAAGCCACTGCGCCCGGCCAGCAACTTCTTAAATAGTGGAAGTCCCCTACAGCTGCAGATCAAGACATTAAAATAATCATAGGTCAATCTGTGAGACCTGTAATTAAAACAAAAAATACGTACTTCACTACAGCTGCTACTTATGAAAAAAAAAAAAAAGCCTGTGTAATCAACTTCTACTAAGTAGCCTACCATTTTTTTTAACGATTACATCTTTAAGTACAACAGGCCATGTGTTTGATCTTTCCTAGTACGTTAGGTCCTAATTAGAAGTTATGACCAAAGGGCAGTATGACAAACAACTGTAACTGCTGCAAATAAATACACAAATTATTGACAAAGACATGGGAATAATAATTGTGCCTAAAACTACTTCCAAAGCCTTTCCAGAATATGAACTCTGTGTCAAGACAAGCTGGAGAAGTGTAAAACCTTTAAAACAATAAACTAGGCAGGGAGTAGTGGCTCACGCCTGTAACCCCAGCACTTTGGGAGACCAAGGCAGGTGGACTGCTTGAGCCCAGGAGTTACAGACCAGCCTGGGCAACACGGTGAAACCCCGTCTCTATGAAAAACAGAAACAATTCGGCATTGTTTATTTTTTCTTGTTTTTATGACCCTGACTTTAAAAAAATCGTAAAACTGTAAACTAATGTTATGCTTAGGACACCCAAGAGAAAATAAAAAAATAAGATAAAAAAAACCAAAAAGACACCCCGAAACTCCTAAAAGGTGAAAATAATGCTTTGCCATTGTTTCTTAGGAAATTCAAGAAAGCTCTAAGGATATTTCTAATGTAAAAAGAAGACATCAAATGAGAGTTCGCACAGGCTGGGTGTGGTGGCTCACGCCTGCAATCCCAGCACTTTGGGGGGCCAAGGTGGGTGGATCACGAGGTCAAGAGTTCAAGACCAGCCTGGCCAACATAGTGAAACCCTGTCTCCACTAAAAAATGCAAAAAAATTAGCCAGGCGTGGTGGCGGGCATCTGTAAACCCAGCTACTCGGGAGGCTGAGGCAGGAGAATCGCTGGAACCCAGGAGGCAGAGGTTGCAGTGAGTGGAGATCATGCCACTGCACTCCAGCCTGGGAAACAGTGCGAGACTCTGTCTCAAAAAGAAAAAAAAAAGAATTCACATAAAAAAATGGTATCAATATATGTGAAAAAACCTAAATTTCAATTTGCAAATGTAACTGAGTTTCTTTTCTGGAATATTAACATATGCTAAAATTTGTTGACATAGGCCAAAAATTTCAAGTTACTTGCTCATAACTGTATATAAAAGCTAGATACATGTTTTTAAAGGACATGTCACTAATATGCTCAGATCAAAATCATAATTCAAATCAAACTTCTAACACATTATTTAGTAAGCAATATTATTTGTTAATCATGTTACTAAAAAGAACAATGTAAACAGGCTTGAGAAATTCTTCAAGATACATCAAAGGCAAGAAAATGGAGTCACAGTCTCATCTAGATTGGAGTAAATAGGTGGAAAGAACACAATCTATCTCTAAATAAAGTCAACCAAGATGTCTTGTTTTCTAGTAGAGGTATAAACTTTGAAGTTAAATCTTTCTTGCCAATCGTTTTATTTATTTATTTATTTATTTATTTTTGAGACAGGGTCTTGCTCTGTCACTCAGGCTGCAGTGCAGTGACATGATCACAGTTCACTGCAGCCTTGACCTCCCCAGCTCAGGAGATCCTCCTGCCTCAGCCACTGAGTAGCTGAGACTACAGGTGCACATCACTATGCCTGGCTAATTTTTTGGTATTTTTCATAGAGACAGGGTTTCGTCATGTTGCCCAGGCTGGTCTCGAACTCCTGCACTCAAGTGATCCTCCTGCCTCAGCCTCCTAAAGTGCTGGGACAATAGGCATAAGCCACCACACCTGGCCTCTTGTAAATCTTTCAAAGCAAAATATTGAAATTCACAATTTAATCAAAGAACTTGGCTATTAAGGAGCCAAAACCAAAAATTACTTACACATTTTTTAAGATCCTAAACTATCTGGGGCTAAAAACAAACAAAAACTCTACCACAGAGATCATGTTCATCTAATGAATTTTATATATTATGTCACTGTTTGATACAGTAAAATTCTAATTTTAATTTGTTCCATACAAATTAAATTCTGGCCAAAAGGCATAGGCCTTTAAATTGTAAAGAAATGAAGCAGCTTGTCCAACACTGGTCACCATGCCAAACTGTTTTTAAAGAACCACATGAGTTCCTGATTGTTGCTAAACATTTCATTCATGTGTTTTCCCTTACCCATTATATTCCTGGTTTCTCTAACACACCAAAGGCTGGTCTGGCTTTTACAAGCACTCAGGGCAGTTTTCCACCTCATTCATACTCCCTGAGTTGCTTTTTCCTCTGCCATCTGTGTTAGTAAAAATAAGCAAAATATATTTGCTATGTTTAAAATCTTGCCTGCACTGATTTTTTTTTCCTGTTGTTTGGATAATCAAGTTATCTTGATAAATGAAGCCACTGCCAGTCACTGTAACTGAGAAATAGAATAAAAATGGAATTAAAGGGCAATTGATGTCCATGGTTTGGTATGTGTATATGAATACAAATCCATGCACAAACATTTTCCTTTTTCATCTTTCAAAAAACAAAAATAGCACTATTTGTGTGTGCTTTCATTGGCCAAACTGTCAAAATGACCTTCTGTAAAAAGCACAAGAACAATTAAAGACATGATCTTAGTAAGAGAAATCACCACTATCTGGCAACTTTAAAAACTTTTAATGTCAGTTTTTATAACACTAATATATACACATACATACAATATTGTCCACACCAAAATAACAGTTATGCTTGATTTCTTAACTGGTATTATATTTTGTGATATAGATAAACATAGAGTAAATATTAAAATATTATAAAATAACTAATCTAATATAAAATAACTCTTGAAATGGGAAAATCTGATAGTATGCTGACACAATGTGTTAGTATAATATTTCTCCCCTATGTCACAGGGGAAGCCCTAGAAATACATACATACATACATAAATATATAATAGGACACATTTACTCACATTTACATCTGTGTGATGAATTAAAACACAAAGGGCTGGAAGAATCTGAGGAGAGAAATATGTAGATTTAAAAACATACACAAATAAAAAATATATATATAATGGTATCTCTTTTAATTTTTTTTTAAAAGTGTTTACCTCCTGAATGGTTTCCATTGGTGGTGGTGGGTCTTTGTGGCGACATAAGTTGACCATAACCCAAGTAACATTTCTTAAGAATGTTATAGGAATAGATGGACTTATGAAGGAAAGTAAAGGTTTCACAACTCCAAGACTTATGACATAATCTCTACACTGGGGCCCATCACCTGTAGAAAAAAAGGATTAATTTACTCAATAAAACATACTGACAGTAAGCATTTTCAGAAAACACAAAGCACTGGGAATATGCTGCTTCATGTATTTTATCCAGATACACTGTTCAGTTTTAGACAATAACAAGCAGGCTCACATTCAAGGTCTCTGAGCCAAGAGAGGCAACATAAAGTGATAAGGTATTCTTTTGCACATTATTCCCATCTTCAGCATTTTGCTGCTCACTTAATTAAACTGCTGCTTTTAACTTCTCTCTCAACAATACTCTTGGTTTAACAAACTTTCATGTGATAAAAAAGATGTATCAAGAAAATATTTGTTGAATTTGTACTTATGATCCCGTATCAGAGCATCAAGGTTATGAACTATAAATTACTCTATACACTTAGAAAACTATGTCAGAAGAAAAGGGTGAACCAGTGCTAGAATAGTGGTTCTCAATGTGATTATTGGGCTCTAGCTCAGGCCTCCTGAAGCAGAAACTCTATGGGTTTGGAATTCTGTGTTTTAACAAGCACCCCATGTAGTCCTGATTGCATGCTAAGGTTTGAGAACCACTGCTGCAGAGAACTGCCAAGTTTAATTTCTGTATCTGAAGCATCACTGCAGTTTCTAATATGAAGCCATGTTGAAATGTTACCATAAGTGAAAGCACCTTCCCTTGCACTATAATATCTGGAGATAAAATGTTTGTTCTTTTTGCATCTTTATATTCATGTTAATTACGGAATGTCACTGGAATAAAAAAATGAAAGATCAAGATGCTGTATAATAGCTCTAAATCTAACATTTGGTATAAAAGCAAAAGAGTGAGGGAGTCTGGATATAGAAACAATAGCATTCCTAATAGTATAAACCCAATGTCAAGAATGGTTTACAGAGAAATTCTCCCTTAAAAACTCATAACCACTCTTTACTTTCATGTTGGCCCTGTATAAGGGCAATAAAGAGATGGCATATCAAAGCAACAATGATTATTTCCATGCAAGAATAAAGAATTTGGCAAAAATAATCTTTAGAATCATTCTCCTTCACTAGATTAGCAATACCCCTACAAACAGTACCTCAGCCCCCACTCATAACTGTTAGGTCTCTGAGCTATACTGGGGCACAATACAATTCAGATTTTTTCCATCCTTTACTGGAGAATAGTTCTTTGAATTTTTGAGTTTAGGCTCTAGTTAAAAAAACAAATCCTTGAAATATCAGAATTGTCTTTATTTTCCTTACAATTATTTATCAGAGAGAACCTGAAAGTTATAGTAATCACAGTGTTAAATATTTAACCAGACTGTCAAAAGGCTATGGTTATGTCTTGTTGATTCATGGTGACAGGAAATAATATTACTATATTTTATACATTACTAAATTCTAATGTACTGAAGTCTGCAAGAGAGAAAAAATTTCATTTTAGACTCTTCTCAGAACTGTCATTACGGAGAAAAATTATTGGTTTAAGTTTTGTCTTTTTTCTTGTTACTTTCTTTGATGGAGAAAGCTGAGAAATAAAAAGGGACCCCACTGATCAACATGGGGGTTAGGGGAAGAAAAAATGGATCCTAGCATGAGACAGAAGGTCTAAATTGTATACATCTTGCATAATTATTCAAATAATTAAGAGCTAACTATATACCAAAAAAATGGTATCTTAAGCAACAAAAATTCTATTTACTATGACTTTATGCTTTTACAGTAATACAGTTCAAATTTCTGTAAGCTATTTCACAAAAACTAGTACTGAAGGCAAACTGTTTTCTCTTTTGGATTACTAGTAGCTATTTTTATTACTTAGTATATGATAACAATTTTTAGACTAGTATTACAAGTTTTATACAAACCTATGATATTTCCCAATGCCCACACTGCTTGCTCACAGACATTCTGATGGGGTGAATGGAGAAGCCTCAGGAAAAGTGGCACAGCATCTGATGGAAGAAAAAATAACAATACTTAAGGTTGAAGATACCATAAACCAAAAATCAATCTTTATTTTTTTGCTGAGACCTCAAAAAAAAGGGAACCTATAAAAATATACTTAAAATATAACCTCATTAAATGAATTTTATTGGAATAGCATCATTGGAAGAATTTTGACCAGTGACTATTTACTCAGTATCAAAATGAGTTATCCAGACAAGTGTTAAATTAGGCTTGTGAAATTTCATTAACAATTAAACCTGGAATTAATTTCAAGATTAATTCCTTATAGATTATCTGTAGTTTGAAAAAAAAAAGTACATTATTGAAGTAACTTTTTTTTTGTTTTTTTGAGACGGAGTCTCACTCTGTCATCCAGGCTGGAGGGAAGCGGTGGAATCTTGGCTCACTGCAACCTCTGCCTCCCAAGCTTCAGTGATTCTCCTGCCTCACCCTCCCAAGTAGCTAGGACTGCAGGTGTGAGCCACCATGCCTGGCTAATTTTTGTATTTTTAGTAGCGACAGGGTTTCACCGTATTGGCCAGGCTGGTCTCAAACTCATGACCTCAAGTGATCTGCCTGCCTTGGCCTCCCAAAGTGCTGGGATTACAGGCATGAGCCACTGCACCCGGCCTGAAGTAACTTTTGAACACAAATTTATGTTAACAACATGTGGGTCTTTAAGACAGGCCAGTGATTCCTGGGCCATGTGGGATCTTCCGAATCAGAAAGTGATTCTGTTACTCAACAGGATGGGAAACAGAGATAGGTCTGTATCTGAACAAAATACTGCACTGAACAAATGATTCTTCTTCTTTCCTTCTGATATTACTTTAAAAAGCACTATTTAAGTATATGTAGCTCAATCATGCTTGTAATATCATAAAAGGTAATTCACTTATGGGTTTGTTTTTGAGATAGTGCCTTACTCTGCTGCCCAGACTGGAGTTCAGTGGTGTCACCACAGGTCACTGCAGCCTTGACCTCCCCTGGCTTAAGTGATCCTCCTACCTCAGCCTCCTGGGTTGTTGGGACTATAGGTGCATGCCACCAAGCCCGGCTAATTTTTTTTTCCTGCATTTTGTAGAGATGGGGTTTTACCATGTTGCCCAGGCTGGTCTCTAGCTCCTGGACTCCAGTAATCTGCCTGCCTCAGCCTCCCTAAGTGCTAGAATTACTGGCATGAGCCACCATGCCCAACCTCATTTATTTATTTATTTATTATTTTTGGTATATTAAAGCAGACTAGCAGGGTCAAAAAAATTCTAAGCCTCTTTCTAATCTTTAGAGAGCATACATAACAGAAAGGAAAAAGTGTGAGAGGGAATAAAACATTGTTATGAAACCAAAAATTTTCCTAAGAGTCAGCTATACAAAACCAAAAAACCACAATAAAAACCACCTGAACCCAAAACCAAACCAGTTTTAATAGGATGTGAGGTAATTATCTTTTCTAAGTAATATTACAACATAAGTGTCTACAGTAAAATGATTATTTGGATAACATCTTTGTTCCCCTTCAAAATGTACAAATTAGTGCTTACATTTTTAATAAGCTCAGAGAAGTATGCTGCTTACATATTTAAAGAGGATTTTAAAAGTATCTTCTTTAAAATTATTAATTTCTTTGTTTGGTAGAACAATCAAATACTATTCATGAAGACAATACACTCGGGTTCTTACTTCCAATAATTTTCCACTTACATTTCTTGAAACAAAAAAAAGCAATCCTATTATAATAACAATGAAAAAAAAATTCGAGCCATTCTTTCAACTAGGACTACTTTATAGAAGATTTCTTTAAAATATATGATATGGCCGGGCGTGGTGGCTCACACCTGTAATCCCAGCACTTTGGGAGGCCGAGGCAGGCGGATCATGAGGTCAGGAGATCGAGACCGAGACCATCCTGGCTAACACAGTGAAACCCCGTCTCTACTAAAAATACAAAAAACTAGCCGGGCGTGGTGGTGGGCGCCTGTAGCCCCAGGTACTTGGGAGACGGAAGCAGGAGAATGGCATGAACCCGGGAGGTGGAGCTTGCAGTGAGCCGAGATCGCATCACTGCACTCCAGCCTGGGCGACAGAGTGAGACTCCATCTCAAAAAAAAAAAAAAAAAAAAAAAAAGAGAAAAATCTCATTAAGAGAGGCTGAGGCCCGGTGTGGTGGCTCATGCCTATAATCCCAGCACACTGGGAGGCCAAAGCAGGTTGATCACTTGAGCCCAGAGTTAGAGACCAGCCTGGGCAACATGGTGAAACCCTGTCTCTACAAAAAACACAAAAATATTACAAAAATTAGCTAGGCACAGTGGCACATGCCTGTAGTCCCAGCTACTTGGTGGACTGATGCGGAAGGGTCTCTTGAGCCTGGGAGGCCGAGGCTACAGTGAGCTGAGATTGTGCCATTGTATTCCAGCCTGGCCAAAAGAGTAAGATCTTGTCTGAGAAAGAAAAACAACAACAACAAAAAAACAAAAACAAAAAAAGAGAGGCTGAGAGGCAATGTGGCAACAGGAAAAACTCCTTTATTTCTACTGATGTCCTATAAATAAAGTGTAACAATAATAATGTAATCTGCTACTATAATTAGGAAATGTTCTCATATTTAGAAAGGAATCAAGTGAATTTTTGGAAATACAAAAAACATCAGTCACCAGAATAAGAAGATTAAAGTAACATACTTAAGTTGACCTATTTCAATAACTACGTAGTAGCTATTATTTTATAATTTAAATTGCCATAGTCTTTTGGGAAGATCACTATTTTTTACCGACTTCTTTTAAAAAAAATCACAATTATGTTTATTAATAACCAACTTACTGGACTGAACTACTGCTTGAGTTTGTTCAGAAGTTCCAGATGCAATGTTTGTCAAAGCCCATGCAGCTTCAAACTGTAAAGAAGGACTACAAAAAAAAACAAGTATTTTTAAACAGCAGGGATTTTTACATTGGGCCAAATATCTAACCATTCTTCCTTCTACCATTTAAAATGCATTAAATATTTTGTTTCAAAAGTTATCTATCCATCCAGCATATTTTTTTAACCCTCAACAACTGTTTAAAACATCTCTTCAGTATAAAAAGCATACAACCTCCTCCAGCATCCTGATTTTTAGTAAGAAATCTTTTTTAAGATACTTGCATACTACTCCCCAAACAGTTTTCTCAAGTACCTATCTGGTCAAACTAGTTCTTGCCAATTTTCAAAGCATAAAAGTTAAATTTATCATTCTCAAGTTCCTTTTTTGGCTACTACCTTCATCTCTTGGTGTTAACAAACCTTGCACTGCTTTTCACTTTGACTTTTCAACTCCATCCCATAGCCCTTTTCTTCTTTCTTTAAAGATCAAACTAATTACTAGAGTCTTGTCTTCTCCAAAGGATACATTCTAAATTAAAAAAAAAAAAATAAATAATGTACTCACTTGTCATCTCTTTCAAGACAATGGACTAAAATGGGCAATATTCCAGATTTTATTAAGTCATCAATTGGTGGATTTCGATCACTGGACAAAAGCTTCCTGTAAGAGATAAAAACACTCCTGTGAAACTTAATAACATACAATATTATGATTAAATATAAATTCATATTTGACAAATATTAACATAAATCTGAATATTTGGTACAAGTGCCTTCTCTGAAATTAACAATTTATATAATGCAACCTTTTCTCTAAATTTATAAAAAGATATACAAATTAAATTTATAGAGATGACAAATAATTAGAAAAATAAGAATGTAGATATGAACCACTTTACTACCTTTTTTTTTTTGAGATGGAGTCTCACTCTGTTGCCCAGGCTAGAGTGCAGTGGCACAGTCTTGGCTCACTGCAAGCTCTGCCTTCTGGGTTCCAGTGATTCTCCTGCCTCAGTCTCCTGAGTAGCTGGGATTACAGGCGTGCGCCACCACACCCAGCTATTTTTGTATTTTTAGTAGAGACGGAGTTTCCTCATGTTTGCCAGGCTGGTCTTGAACTCCTGACTTCAGGTGATCCACCCGTCTTGGCCTCCCAAAGTGCTGGGATTACCGGCGTGAGCCACGGAGCCTGGCCACTTTACTACTTTTAATGGTACAACATTATTATTCCCTCAGTAAAGTCCTGATTGTGACTTATAAAAAGAAAACTAATTTTTAAAAAATACATGTTACTTTTGGACATAATTTTGAGTTCAGAGAAAAAAATGGGCAGATTTCTTCAACACAGCTTTTACCTTGCTAAGAAAGGAATTAAGAGGTCACCAAAATATCCAAAATTATTCACACTAGGTCACAAGAGAGTCAAATGACAAAAGCAGGTAGTCTGCTGAAATATGTTATAGCTGATATTAGTCCCTAATTCTTCCTTCTACTTTACACACCAAATTTAAGGCCATAAAAGTTCAACAACATTTTCATCTCAGCAACTAAAGAGAAATGGAATAAGCACAGCAACTGATAGGAAAACAGCCAGAGAGATGCTAGAGAATCTGAGGTAAAAAAGACAGACACATCACTGCTCTCATGGAGCTTATAAGATAAAAACAAAACCTAGTGTCTATTTTCACATGTGGGAGACTACAGGTTTAGCTGATAAGTCCTCAGTGTGGCCTAATCATATCTTTACCCACTGGAACACCCTGTATTACTATATAAAAGCAATGTTTATGAAAGCTTAACCAAATCATTTCCCTATATAAACTATGTGATGGCTGCTTATTTACTACCTTTATCAATGTAAACTCCTTGACCTAGCTTTAAACTACTTCACAAGTTGGCTCCATCTTATAACTAATCTTATTCTGTGTAACTAAACAATAGGTTAGTTGTCTGTCACAGCATTTCAACTGAAATAAGACTGAACCTATCCTAAACCCCTCACTTGAAATGCCCGGTCTTCTATGTATTCAAACTCTATTCAAAGTCCATTTCAAGTTCTATGTTTTACATAACACCATCTTTGAATTTCAAGAGGATTTATACAGCATAGCCCTACGTTTGGTGCTATCACTACTTATTTTTTTTGAGACAGGGTCTCAGTCTGTCACTCAGGCTGGAGTGCAGTGGTGCCACCTTGGCTCACTACAACCTCTGCTTCCCAGGTTCGAGCAATTCTCCCACCTCAGCCTCCCAAGTAGCTGGGATTACAGGCATGTGACACTACACCCAGCCAACTTTTATATTTTTAGTAGAGACGGGGGTTTCACCATGCTGGCCAGGCTGGTCTCAAACTCCTGACCTCAAGTGATCCCCTGGCCTCGGCGTCCCAAACTGCTGGGATTACAGGCGTTAAGCCACCGCGCCCAGCCCCCTATTTTTTAAAATACAGTTTTGCCTTTCCAATTAGCTTATAAAGTTCTTAAAGAGAAAGAATTATACCACATGCTATTTCCTCAACACATGGCACAGTGCTTAGCATTAAGTGGAAATTTAAAAAAAAAAAAAAAACCACTTCGAAGAAGTCTTAACCCAGCCTTCTCAAACAAGGTTTCATGAGATCAAGGGTCAAAATTTAATTTAAAAAATTTTTTTTACACTTCACTGAGGATATTTTAGAAGAGAAATGTCTTTTATTCTTTACATAATGGTGAATAATATAATTTTTACAAAATATAATATAAAACCAGTTTGGTGCCACTGTCTTGATTTGCATTAAGGAGCCCGCAATTTTACTCACAGTTGCTTTGCAATACCAGTGTAAACATTAACACAGTGAAAAAAAGGCAAATGAAGTCTTAGAATTATTTTGAAAATCAGTTTGCTCTTGCATACCCATGAAATTGTCTTGGAATCTCCCAGTGATCCACAGATCATACTTTGAAAACCTCTTAGGGTACACTGGGCTTTAATTTTCTTGCAGATTGCATGTTGAGAAGAACTGTCCCAAAACTATCCAATATTCAACTCTGACAATGGTGAGCATAATCGATTTCTTAATCATTCTTCCTATAAACATTAATTTGCTATTTTGCAATGTGAATGGTTCTGAGATTTTTCTGCCTACATAAAGAATTCCTCTCTAAGAAGTTCTTTTACCTCTGGTACACAATACTGTAATTTTATAACTTCCCTATCAGTTCTAAGTTATTTAAGGTGAATAAACAAATACTGGAAAAGTCTAATAAATATAAAACAGATTCGTGCAGCACTGGATAAGGTATTGGATAGACCTACAAACTTTTTCCACTTTCAAATTCTGTAACTAGGATCAGTTTCTTACTTGTCTCTTTCCTACTGATAAACTCAACATAGGGTGTTATTCTTATATTCATAAATATACAAAGCAACCACTAAATTGCATTATGATACAACCATGTCTTCCCCAACCTATTTATTAATACAAAGGTCTCAGTAATAGATTTTTCTGCCTCTTCCCTTAAAATATGAGAGCATAGGTTTTACAATAGAAATGTGCAAAACAGGCAGGGTATGGTGGTTCACGCCTGTAATCCCAGCACTTTGGGAGGCTGAGGCAGGTGGATCACAAGGTCAGGAGTTCAAGACCAGCCTGGCCAAGATGGTGAAACCCTGTCTCTACTAAAAATACAAAAATTAGCCAGGCATGGTGGCGGGCGCCTGTAATCCCATCTACTTGGGAGGCTGAGGCAGAGAAATGCTTGAACCCGGGAGGCAGAGGTTGCAGTGAGCTGAGATTGCGCCACTGGACTCCAGCCTGGGCGACAGAGTGAGACTCCATCTCAGAAAAAAAAAAAAAAAAAGAAATGTTCAAACAACTTGGTATTTCCTACCTGGAAAGACACTGGGAGTGTATGCAGTCATTAATCTCTTTTTTTTTTGAGATGGAGTTATGATTCTCCTGCCTCAGCCTCCCAAGTAGCTGGAATTACAGGTGCCCACAACCATGCTGGGCTAATTTTTGTATTTTTAGTAGAGACGGGGTTTCAGTATGTTGGCCAGGCTGGTCTCAAACTTCTGACCTCACGATCCGCCCACCTCGGCCTCCCAAAGTGCTGGGATTACAGGTGTGAGCCACCTCGCCCGGCCGTCATTAATCTTAATCTACATCTACTTGTCTATGTACACTGACATAGTAACATTATAATTCTGGATTTATTGTTTGATCAATATGAGGATTGTGAGAAGAATTAAGATACCTGGTAAGGATCTGAAGAATCTGACTTTATAAAATTAAACCTATTCATTAGTAAAAGGTAAAGCTTTACAAATAATGTTTTTCTCTTACTCTATGGCATTAATTTGTTAAATCAACTTTCCTTGGCATCTGTATGCATTATGTATATTAAACCTTCAGTGTACACTTTCAACTAAAAATAAAAATTGTTTAAAAAACTGTCACCAATTTTAATATTCTAAACCACAGAATTAAAAAAATAAATTTAGTTGATCTATTACTATTTACTATTGTTTGTCATCAAGTTAAATTTGATTAACAGGGACTACTCAATAGTAAAAATTCAAAATAGAACCCCTGTGTAAGTTGTAAAATCTAAACATGTCTTCCAAATTCAACTTACCTAGCAGCTTGAACTGCACTTAATTGAATTCCTTGGTTATCACTTGAAGCATTCTATAAAAAATAAAATAATTTATGATGTAAATATATCACGATTAGCTGTTGAGGACAAGAAATGCAAATGAAGAGAGGGAAAAAATCCAACTTACTTGAACAATAGCTTCTAGAGAGGTATTTTGCTGGGAAAAAAGTTAAAGAGAAAACTCAGTTAAAAAGTCACCTTAAAATTCTCTTATTAATGTGAAATCTTTCACTCGTACTTTTAAGTTACCAGAATAACAATAACAATGACTTACCACTCTATAATCACCATCTATATCAGAGTCTTCACAGATATCTTCATGTGGTACATTCCTTCTCTTTAAGAGATGTTCATCTCTTTTATTCTTAAAAAAAAAAAAAAAAAAAAAAAAACCAAACAGAGAATTTGAGTTAAAAAGAAAACCTGAATACTTTCATACAAAGCTCAGGCAATCCTGTGCCTAAAAACTGAAATATGAAGTGCCTTTTAAAAGTAAAATTCAAATGTAAAAAATTAAACCAAACTGTGAATTAACCACTCACGCAACACTAATTTGAGTCCCAGTTCCCAAATATTACATTTTTAATGAACCGTGAACTATGTAAAAACAAACAAAACAAAACAAAAACAAAAGTTTGACTAAAAAATATAGTGTACAGTTTAAGCCAGAACCAAACACAAATATTTATTTAAAAGTACTAAACCATTTTATACATGATCTGGGAGCTCCTCTTTACCACCTAAAAGCAAAGTCAAAGCAGAAGTTGGGCAGTTCAAAGTTAGACAAAAACCAACAATGTCTTACAAAAATCAAGGGCCATTTCAACTTCACTTAAAATGCTTGGAGCAAATTTATAAATATATTCTCAACTATAATACTTAAAAGTTGAAGAAGTTTGCAACAAGTTCTTTTCAGGGACTTACTACTGCCCATTAATAGCAGAACTATTTAATACAACTGTATCTCAATGACTTATACTTTAAGTTCTTTATATCTGTTTTTGCATAATGAACAAGTAACTAGTTGTATCCTTTCAACTTCAAAAGCCTGTCAAATTTAGTCAAAATCTCTCCTTTTTCTAAAGAAAAATGCTTAGCAGTTGAGATTTTAAAAAGTTTAACTAAATTTAGTAAATAAAATTTAGTTATACAATAGGTTATACATTTTACCTAAAAACATAATATATATTTGGCATCTTGTATATAATGCTATAATGTTGTTAGAATTATGCTTAGAAGTACCCAATATTAATCAGACTCACCTTCCTTAATTCAACTACAACTTCATTTCGTTGTCTTCTCATAGTCTACAAAAAAATTAAAGGAAAATATTTTTAAAATCACCTCAAATTCCATTATCCAGAGAAAACCACTATTAACATTTCAATATACACCTCTAATCTTTTCTTTTAGCCATATGGATATAAAGTCAAATCTTACTCATAATAAAAATCATACTATGTAGATGATTTTCAATCTTCATTTCCCATTCATATTGCAAAACATGAAAAATCTCTTTGAAATTATTAATACAATATTGGCTATATCACAATTTTAAAAACTATAATATAAGGTTTATAAAAATACAGAGGTACAAAGAATAAAAGAGCCCATAATCTCACCCCTCATATGAACCGATGATATTACAAAAAATAACACACGTACAAGATTAGTAAATTCAACTATTTAAAAAAAAAAAGCGAAAAAAAGCCAAAGGAGCCCTCCTGCTCACCCACAATTTCCTTATCTCATAGAAAACACTGTTAGATTTACCATGATTCTGACACGTCTATCTATCCTGTTTTTTACCTTGTTTTGGTTTACTTTGTTTATAGAACTTAGAGATATTCCATGGTGGTGTATAAAGACCTATTTTATTATTTTTCATGGTCACCCAATTTTCTATGGCACACCATGGCCATTCTTTTACTTTTAAACATATTTTTCTCATTTTTTAAGTTACTTACTACAGGCATGTGTGTTCACTGTAAAACATTCAAATGTTCAGAAACAATATAAGTTCAATCTGTTTTTACATACAGGTTCACCTTATTCTTTCTAATGACTGTGTATTACGTAGCGGTAACAACTCAGAAAGTCATACTAGATGTCTAATAAATATCACAAACTTAAATCCAAAACTGAACTTTTGATCTTTAATACACTCCACCTGCCATCTCAGCAAATGGCAACTCCATCCTTGCAGCTGCAAAGACCAAAAACCTTGGAGCCATCCTTGATTATTTTTCTCTCACATTACATATTCAATCTGTCAGCAAATCCTGTTGGTTCAACCTTCAAGACATACAATCCAAACACATATCACTGCCTCCTCTGCTACTATTCTGGGCCAACGTACCATTATCTCTCAACTAGATAACTGTGAAAGTCTCCTAACATGTAGCCCTCCTGCTCTTACCCTCTGTCTTCCTCCAGAGTCTAGTATAATGACAGCAACCAGAGTAATCCTCATAGGAAGTCTTAATTTTTATGTGCCATGGACTCCTTTGGCAGTTTGGTATAATCAATGGATACTTTCTCAGATAGTGTTTTTAAATACAGACACACACACACACTATATATATATATGTATATATATGTATGTATATATGTATATATATGTATATATGTGTGTATATATGTACATATATATACATATTTAGTTACAAAGGAAACTATCTTGATACATAAATGTAAAAAAAAGAGCTGTAAATATAAAAAAATGTAATGTAAGTGCTTCTTTATTATCACATTAAATGGGATCTAGCAGTGGGTCTAGTAACTACTATAACTTCAAAGTAATGACGACCATAAATGCAACAAAGAGGTGATTTTTATTGGTGGTAACAGTCACAGGTAATTCTAATATTACTATGGTTAACTGGCTACATTGAGTGAAGGAAACACTGCTTCAGTTATAAGTTAGTGAAAATAAAGATGTAATTTCTTCTAAATTCCAGGGGCCCTCCTGAATTCTACCCATAGACTCCAAGGAAGGAAAGGTCCAAGGAATCAGTAAAAAATATTTTGTAAAAAGTCAGATCATATCATCCTCCTGTTCAAAAATATCCAAAGACTCTCACACGCTCCACTTCGGACTTAAAAGCCCAGTCTTTACAGTGGCTTACGTCCAGTCAAATCTTCCCACCTCATTCCTTCCCTAAATACCACTGCTTGGACCTTAGCTCCTACCATTATCTTCATTCATTCTGCTATACTCACACCAACTCTGCTATTTCTCGAACACACTGTAAAGTCTCTTGTAGCAAGGCCTTAACTAATACACTATACAGTAACTTCTCAGAAGATGGACTCCAAAGTCAAACTGCCTGGGTTCAATTTTTTTAGCCATACTACTTACTAGCTCTCTGCACTTCAGTTTCCTTATCTATAAAATTGGGATAGTAAAAACACCCTCTTTACAGGACTGCTGTTAAGGATTAAATCAGCTAAAATATGTAAAGTACTTAAACTGTCCCTGGTACACAGCAGTGTATGTGTTAGCTTAGTATTACTGCTGCTGCTATTTCCTCAGTTTGGAATGCTCTTCCCCTACTACCTGCAGTGCTCAGTTCCTTACCTCTATGGGAAGGCTTTTCCCTTCCTGACCATCTGCCAACTCTCTATTTGGGTACTTTCTCTCTCTCTCTCTCTTCCCTGCCTTATTTATCTCTATACCATTTATCACTTTCTAATATACTATGCAACTTTATTTGGTACAGATATAGATTTTTTAAAACACCAGGAGTCAATGTTAAAATAACAAAATAGGCTGCAAAATGAGTAAAAATAATTAGCTAAATACTACGGTAAGTGTTAACATCTATCTCATATAATCATTATAGCCTTATGAGGTAAGAATAAAACAACCCTTTATTTCTTTTTAAAAATAAGAAAACTGAGGCTTAGAGAAGTTAGATTGTTTGTCCAAAGGTGGCTAGGATTACAACCCAGACAGTCTCACACAAAGCCACTTAACCACTAAGCCATATTGTTTTCCACACTTCTCGAAGTCAGAGTTCAAGTGAATTGGAGAGCCAATGGTTCACACTAAAGCAAAAGTAGTATTACCAACACAATGAGCTTTGCATAATATCACAATATGAAATCAATAAGCAATTCTAGTAACAAAAAACTATGACCTATGTCTCAGGCACAGAAAACAATATCTGTAGGATGCATTACTTAAGACTGTTCAACAAATAAATAAGGTAGACTTCTGAGGGACTGGGTATTTCCAGTCTAAGGAAAGTTTTTATTAGCAATCACTTCATCTAAAGTAGGAGGATTAAGGTATAATGGGCTTTAACTTCTTTTCATTAGAGCATACTATTAAATAAATCCCAAACAACTACATACTGCATATTTACATAAATGTTTTGTTTACTCCAAAAAATTTTCTCCCATTATATTACATCTCATTTATTAAATCCAGAGATTTACGAAAAATTTTCTTTTTCTTTTCTTTTTTTTTTTTTTTTGGTGAGACGGAGTCTCACTTTGTCGCCCAGGCTGGAGTACAGTAACGGGATCTCGGCTCACTGCAACCTCCGCCTCCTGGGTTCAAGCAATTCTCCTGCCTCAGCCTCCTGAGTAGCTGGGACTACAGGCTCATGCCACCACGCCCGGCTAAGTTTTTGTGTTTTTAGTAGAGATGGGGTTTCACCGTGTTAGCCAGGCTGGTCTCGAACTCCTGACCTCATGATCCACCCGCCTCGGCCTCCCAAAGTGCTGGGATTACAAGCGTGAGCCACCGCGCCTGACCCGAAAGATTTTCTTTTTACTTGATACTCATTTGTTACAACAAAGTCTGGAGGTTTTTTGATAATTTGAAACTACTAATAAAGCATTTATCAAACCAACTTAGCACTGTAGTAACAACATAAGACCAGGCTATTACCACTTTCACAGAAACTTTGCAAAATAAGAGATTTGACAATCCCTTCATTATAGAGCAAGGGTTTTCTTTTCCTCTCCAAGGTAGAGAATGAATGAACTGGTAGAAAGACACCCTATGCACCACAGCCTGGCAGCATTTGGGCATGTTTTTTACTCCAAACAATAGTTGTTCTTCGGGACCCCATGAAAGGGATATATAAGACTTCTAAGCCTGTCCTTAAAGAGCAGGCTTTGTATACTACATGAAAATATATTAGTTGTGAATTCACATGACTTACACTGATGCAGTAAGCAGTGGTGTCAATTAGAATTCCAGAAAGCTGACAAACTGGCCAAAGGCTTATGTATAGGCCAGAGAGCTATATAAAGGACAGCGACTGTAAGTGGGGGAGGTTGAGGACTGTTGCTGCTATTTCCTCAAAGGAGGTGGGTAGAGTTTAGGCAGATCACTCAGGTATTTTATATTTCTTTGCTTGTCAAACAGTTATAAAATTATAAATTCAGGCAAAAGGGGATAAGAAATTGACAAAAAATTTTAAGCAAGTCAAAACAGAATGCTAGCTCTATTTAAAAGGAATGCAGTTTGTGTATTTAATGAACATTTACTATGCATCCATCACTGTATTAAGCACTAGGGACTAAACACTTACCCTGCTTTAATGAGGTGTAGATTCTAGTATTTTCTTTCCACTTAATTGCTCCTTAATTTCTGATTAGTGGCTACTTGATTCCTGCTAATTTTCAAGTCAGTTTTACCAACACATGGTTTTTCTTTAAAGCCCTAAAAATTGTTAGTTTAAAATATGACATAGTAATTACTGTACAATTTTGGATATTTTAAATTTTCTTGAGCAAAGTTAGGATTTAGTTAGGACTCAATCTCACTAGAGAAAAATGTTAAAGAAAATTCTTTCTAAATAATACAAAGATAAGAAATACAATGTCTTCATTTTATTTCACCCAGCCTGACTTTCATTGATACCTTGGGAAGGTTAATACTTAGGTAACAGCACTACCAAAAAAAAAAGAAAATAAGAATTAAAAAATTTGTACAGGCACGAGAGATCTTCTGTGTGGTGACTAGGATATATTCTAAAACTGAATTGTGATAATGGTTGCATAACTATGAAAATTTACTAAATATCATTGAATTCTACACTTAAAATTGGTGAATTTTATGAGAGGTAATAAAGCGGTTTTTAAAAGTTATATACGCGCACACACACACACACACACACACACACACACACGCCTTCCCTCCCCAACATGAGTTAACAGTATTACTAATTTAGAGACTCCTGGAAAGCATTCATTCAAACATTTATTAATCACCTAATTGCCAAGCATTAGAAATACAAAGATGGACCAGACACTGCATATCTATGCCCTTAAGGAGGTAGCACTCTTCTGATACAGAAATATAACTTAGTAAAATAGTAATAAGGCCCAAACTTAGCAAACAGCAAGTGCCAAACACCATTCTAAACATGTTACTTGACTGTACTTATTTAATACACGTATTAATAACATGCACACAACGCACTCTGACAGTAAAGAGGGTAATTACTAAAGATAACATGTAAGCTTAATTTTTAAGACTGAACGGCAATCCATTTAGAGAAAGGCATTCCAGGTAGAAAATATAGCATGTACAAAAAGAGAGAACTATGAAAGATGGCATGTGTGGAATCTGCTGAAGAATATCAGAAGCCAGAAATGAACAGGTAGGCAAGGAGACAAATCAATCACATAACATAAAGCTAAGCTATACTTTCTAGAGAAAAGTGAGTTACTGGTGATTTCAACCCAAATTATCATCACAACCCAAACACATTTGGTAGGTAAAACAG
Organism: Homo sapiens; assembly: GCF_000001405.40. Lineage (NCBI taxonomy): Eukaryota > Metazoa > Chordata > Mammalia > Primates > Hominidae > Homo > Homo sapiens. Next base: position 160,542,283 of record NC_000003.12, read on the forward strand.
TTGTTCAACCCGATTACATGGTGAACCAAAAGCTAAAACAGCATAACTAGAAAAGTATGTTTTCCTATTTCTTATTTCTCTCTCTCTGCAGCAGCAACCATCATGGTGCTTATTCATGCCTTTGTCAAATAGTATTTATGTTGGCAAACTGCATGTAATTAGCAAATAAATTACATTATGACAATAAAAGGGAAAGTTTAAATGCCTAACACTGTTAAATGCTTACTCAAGTGGGTCAATAATTAATATCTCCTAAGGATAAAAACCCATATTACAATCCTTCATTTAGAAAAGTTCATTTAAGAAGTAAGTTTAGTTCAAATTTTCAATCTGTAGATTTATTTCTCACAGGTAGCACTTATTAACACTAGTATTAAAGGCCTGAAGTTCTACTAGTGATGGGCAAAAGTCTTCTCAAGCAGAATCAAGTTCTTATCTCTTTAAGAAGTGATAAGATTAATGGACACTGAGCATAAGTGAAGAGAAGTCTGAAAATACATTGAGTGTAGGAGGTCAGACTTAATCTAGGCAAGCTATTGGAGCAATATTAAGAAATAATTCTAGTCTATAGATTCCATACTTTAAAATGATCCATATCTAAACTGTAAGCATTGAAAATTTATTAGTACATAAATATAATTTTTAAAAATTGCCAAAATGTAAGAAACTGTTAGGTGTTAACTCCAAAGAAAAGGATTAGAGTTTCACTATCTCTTCAACATTCAAACAACAGGAAAATGTATTAAATTAAAAAGTTATACATGTCTATTTGGAAAAGTCACAAAATAAAGAAGGGAAAAATCTGAATTCCCAGAGTTCTCTATATTCTTCTATCTTTTGCACGAGGTTACATATGATAGAAGAGAAAATAAATGCATACATCTCCTCCCAGGATGATTTCCTAGTATATGGTTATACTACTCTACTAGCATATGGCTACTAGTCCCAGCTCTACCTTTAATGAAATCATAGGCAAGTCACGACCTTTACGGGTATTAATTCCTTCACTTGTAAAGAGAATTCAATGGATCTCTGAGATCTTTTATGCCTCAAAAACTGTATCATTTTTTTCCCCCGAGACAGAATCTCACTCTGTCACCCAGGCTGGAGTGCAGTGGCGCGACCTCAGCTCACTGTAACCTCAGCCTGCTGGGTTCAAGTGATCCTCCTGCCTGGAGTAGATGGGACTACAGGTGTGCACCACCAAGCCTGGCTAATTTTTGTATTTTTGGCAGAGACAGGGTTTCAGCATGTTGGCCAGGCTAGTCTCGAACTCCTGACCTCACGTGAATCACCCACCTTGGCCTCCCAAAGTGCTAGATTTACAAGTGTGAGCCACCATACCCAGCCAATTTTTTCAACTTTAGAAAACAATGTCAAAAAATATGTAATTGTCATTTGTAGTTACTATGCATGGCAATGTAGTTTCTATGCTAAGAATCATGAAAAAGTCATAACTCAAAATTATAAACAAGAGCTATTTTGTGGCTCTGGTACAGTTGCTTGGTGTTTTCATATCTTGCACTTCTCTTGCCTTAAGTTATGCTGTGATGCCAAAAGGACATGGGAATCCTTGACCTTTTTTTTTTCCCAAGATGGAGTTTCGCTCTTGCTGCCCAGGCTGCAGTGCAATGGCGCGATCTCAGCTCACTGCAACCTCCGCCTCCTGGGTTCAAGTGATTCTCTTGCCTCAGCCACCCGAGTATCTGGGATTACAGGTGCCCGCCACCACGCCCAGTGTGGCGTGGTATTTTTAGTAGAAACGGGGTTTTATCACATTGGCCAGACTGGTCCTGAACTCCTGACCTCAGGTGATTCACCTGCCTCGGCCTCCCAAAGTGCTGGGATTACAGGCATGAGCCACTGTGCCCGGCCTCCTTGACCTTTCAATAGCTAGTTTTGGTAGCAGAGACAATTACCAAACTGTGTGTGTGTGTTCATGTATATGTGCGCACTGGCAAACAGATGGTGTTCAACAGGGAAAGAAAAGAGGTTAGAAATGACCATAGGTTTGGTGAGACACATATAACCTTCTCAGGGTTGGGAAACACTGCAAGATAAACTTTCAGAATCACTTATAGAAGGCGACTGAGGACAACCTATAAATAAATCTACTCTAGTAAACAAACACATATATAAGTTTTATATGAGCACAAAGGAAGGTACTCTAAGATTAATGGGTTATAAGGGAATTGATCAAATGCTACCAAGAATGATCACTTCTCTTCAAACTCCCTGCCAAGATCATGCCAGCATGGGTGACAGAGAGAGACTTTGTCTCAAAAAACAAAAAACTTTGAATCCTTAACAGAAGAAATAAAATTTCACAAACTGTTTGAGTGACTTGAAGAAAACTCAACTCATGGGAAAAGACACTGAGAAAAATTACCGAAGAAGAGTAAGAGAAGAAATGAGATATACCCAAATTAAGAAGGTCAATAGAACCCAAGCTTTTATATTACTGCTTGAAGGAATCTGATTTCTCTGCTGATTTGGTGCATTTTCAGATGAGAAAAATAGTTTTTTTTTTCCCATTTACAAAACTATACCAAATGTGTAAGCAAGAGAGATTGAGGAACATTTTCCTTCTATGTTATAAGAACATAATAAACTCAAACTCATGGTTTTCTTACGGAAAAATTTAAGCAAATAGTATTATAGGATTTTGTAACTGGAGAGAATAGAAATCATTTAAACTATTTCATTTTATGGAGAAAGGAACTATGGCCCAGCGACTTCAAGAATACCAAAGCTTAGATATCCTGGATCCAGTCCAATATTCTTTACACTGCATCACATTACTTTTTCATTCTAGGTCTACTTCTATTACATATTCCTTCAAATAAGCTATTTTTCCTTCTCTTTTTCTCTTCAGTGTTTACTTTCAAAATATTCTTTTTCTTTGTGAACTTATGTCAAAGACATTAAACTTAGCAACAGAAAAATCTTCATTGAAAGGTAAATTACTGAATTACTTTGCCAAAGCACTATTTTAAAAGCCCTCTAGTTATGTTCACATACTAAACAGATGTATGCATGTGCATAGGAAACCATTCACCCAACACATGTTTACTGACCACAAGTGTTCTGAGTGTTAAGGAGAAAACAGAACAAAATGACAAAATCTCTGTCTTCATGGCATTTATTGCATTTTAGTGTGAAAGACTGTAAATAAAGTTAAAATGTATAGTGTTTCAGTGGTATTAGACAGAAAAATATAAAGCCAGGAAGGACATTTTTAAATAAAGACCTTGAGAAGAGTGATCAAGCCAGGTGGATAGCTGACATGCAATGAACAAAGAGGGGTAGGAAATGGAGGCTAGCCACTGCACAGATTTTGGCATTTACTCGAAGTGCGCTAGGAAGCCACTGGGGGATGAGCAAAGGAGAGAGGAGAGACATGTTCTGATTTAAAAGAGAATTACTCCAGCTGCTGTGTTGGGAATATACCACAAGTGCAGTAATCCCAGCAACAGATAATATCTTGGACCAGAGTGGTCGCAGTGGGGATCATAAAACATAATGAGTCTGAATATATTTTGAAGACAGAACCTGCAAAATTTGCTAACAGACTGGATAGAACTGTCAAGGAGAGGAAACAATGATTTTACGGTTTTTGATCCAAACAACTGAAGGATGGAACTGCCATTTACTGAGATGGGGCAGACTGACTGATCAGCAAGTTTTGGGGGGTAATATCACTTTTAGATCTAAGTTTAAGGTACTGATAATGCATCGAATGAGATGTCAAGTAGTCTGTTGAATCTTGAGTTCAAGAAAGAGGCTGAGACTAAAAATATCAATTTGGAAAGTTGTCAGTGTCCAAATATTTAAAACCAGATCACCAGATGAGATTATCTGCAAAATGAGCATAACCTGAGGCACCACAAAATAAGGGGTACAAGACTAAGAGAGAAATCAGTGAGATAGAAGGCAGTCAAGAATCTGTGCAAGGCCAGGCATGGCAGCTCACACCTGTAATTCCAGTACTTTGGGAGGCTAAGGCGGGTGGATCACTTGAGGTCAGGAGTTCAAGACCAGCCTGGGCAACATGGCGAAACCCTGACTCTACTATAAACACAAAAATTAGCTAGGTGTGGAGGTGTATGCCTGTAGTCCCAGCTACTTGGGAGGCAGAGGGAGGAGAATCGCTTGAACCCAGGCGGCCGAGGTTGCAGTGAGCCGAGATCGCAACACTGCACTCCAGCCTGGGTGATAGAGCAAGACTCCATCTCAGAAAAAAAGAAGAATCTGTGAGAATATGGAACCAAGTGAAAATATTATTTTTTAAGGAACCACAATCAACTACATCCAGTGTTGGGGATATGTCAAATAAGATGAGGATTACTAAACGTACATTTACTTTATAAACTAATATGGTTAATCACCAACCTTTGTTTGGATAAACAAAGGTTCCGATATCGCTCCCCACCCCTCATCTACTGAATTCTGGTCTGTTTCTGCTACCATTATTCCCATCCCTGCACACTATTTAATATGCTTAAAATACCACTCAAGACTTAGAGCTTCTAACCCACGTCTCATTTATTGTGGTATAGTACTGAACTGAATAAGTTACAAAACTAAAACTGAGCCCTGGTATCTACAAAACATTAAATTTTCTCAAAATGGAAATGAAACTCACTCTCCGGCCCTTCTTTGGTCTCTTAAGCCACACTGCAAAGCGATTCCCATTTCTGGTGATGTTTCCAGGGTGAGCTTTTGACTAAATCTGTGTAAACTGACCATAATGGTTCCCTTCAACTAACTAGTCAGTGGAGTATGTAGGCGACATGTGCAATCCCAAATTAACCAATTCTATAAGATGAATTTAAAAAGTCCAACTATGAAATGTCAAATATACAAACAAATTTCATGACATCCAATGTATTAATGTTATCTTGTCATATTTGCCTTTTTTTGAAGAAATAAAAATCTTAAAGTGTTATGAATACTGCTAAAATCTCCCTTTATTCACAATCCTCTCCTCCCCTTATTTTTCTCTGCCAAATGCAACCATTTTCCTAATTAATTGCCTGATTAGATTCTCATGGGTGTTTTGGTGTTTCTACTGCATATCACCAATTTTATATATTTAGGATTTTTACAGGAATGACACCATGCCACACAAAAGACTACTTTTCAAGCAGTTTTAGGTTTACAGGAAAACAGTAAAAAGTACAGACAGTTCCCATATATTCCCTGCCCCCACACAGGCAAATCCTCCCCCTACATCAACATCCTGTTACCAGAATGGTACATTTGTTACAACTGATGAGCCTACATGTACTATCACCCACAGTCCATAATTTACATTAGGGTTCATTCTTGGTGTCGCATACTCTACAGGTTTTAACAAATGTATAATGATATGCATCCATTAGTATCAAACAGTATTTTATCACTGCCCTAAAATCCTCTGTGCTCTCCTTATTCATCTCCCTCACCCTCAACCCCTGGCAACTACTGATCTTTTTACTGTCTCTATAGTTTTGCCTTTTAAAGAATGTCATATAGTTGGAAGTATAGAGTATACAGTCTTTCAGATTGTCTTGTTTCTTTTAGCAATATGCATTTAAGATTCTCCATGTCTTTTCATGGCTTAACAGCTCATTTCTTCTTAGCACTGACTAATATGCCATTGTCTGGATATATCACAATTTATCCATTTACCTACTGAAGGACACCTTAGTTGCTTCCAAGTTTTGGCAATTATGAATAAAGCTGCTCTGTGTGGACATAAGTTTTGAACTCATTTGGTTAATTACCAAGGCGTGCTATTGTTGGGTCATATGGTAAGAGTATGTTCAGTTTTGTACTGCCTCTCAAAGTGATTGTACCATTTTGCCTTCCCAACCAACAATGAATCAGAGTTCCTGTTGCTCCACATCCTCACCGGCATGTGGTGTTGTTAGTGCTCTGGGTTTTTTTTTGTTGTTGTTGGTGGTGGTGGTAATATATACATAACAATAAAATTTACTATCTTAACCACTTTAAAATTTAGAAAATTTCAGAAAAACTGTAGTAAAAAACACATAACATAAGCTTTACCACTTTAACTATTTTAAAGTGAGTTCGGCAGCATTAAGAATGTTCATATTGTTGTGCATCAAATCTCCCAAAACTATCCTGGTCTTGCAAAAACGAAACACTACATCCATTAAACAACTCCCTATCTCCTTCCCTCTATCCCCTGGCAACCATTATTCCTTTTCCTGTTTCTATGCATTTGCCTATTCTAGGTACCTTGTATAAGTGGAATTATACAGTATTTTTTTGTGTGTGACTGGCATATTTCGCTTGGCATAATGCTTATGGTTCATCCATGTTGTAATATGTCAGAATTTCCTTCCTTTTTAAGTCTAAATAATATTCCACTGTATGTACATACACATTTTATCTATCTATTTTATACATTAAATAACCTTTTGCTTCCACTTTTGGATACTGCAAATGCTGCTACTATAAACTAGAGTGTACAAGTATCTTAGTTCCCGCTTTCAATTCATCTGGATATATACTCAGAAGTGGAATTGCTGGGTCATATAATAATTCTATTTTTCACTTTTTGGGAACCACCATCCTGTTTTTCATAGTAGCTTCACCATTTTACATTCTCACCAATAATGCACAAGATTCTGAATTCTCCACATCTTCACCAACAGTTATTTTGTTTTTGTTGTTTTGATAGTAGTCATCTTAATGGGTGGGAGATGGTATAGTTGCTTTGATCTGCATTTCCCTAATGATTACTGATGTTGAGCATCTTTTCATGTGCTTACTGGCTATTTTGTTTATCCTCCTTAGAGAAATATCTTTTCAAGCCTTTTGCGCATTTTAAAATAGGGTTGTTGGTTTTTGCTATTGTTGAGTTTTAGGAGTTCTTTATATATTCTGGATACTAATCCTTTATCAGATACATCATTTGCAAATATTTTCTCACATTCTGCAGGTTGTCTTTTCACTCGATTGTTTCCTTGGCTGCACATCAACTTTTCAGTTTGATGTTGTTCCACTTGTCTATTTTTGCTTTTATAGCTTTGCTTTTAAGTGTCTTATCCAAGAAATCAGTGCCAAGACCAAAGTTATAAAACTTTCTCTATTTTCTTCTAGTTTACCAGTTTCAGATCTTATGTTTAAGTCTTTTATCCATTTTGAGTTGATTTTTGTATATAGTACAAGGGTCCAATTTCAGTCTTTTGCATGGTGGATATCAAGTTTTCCCAGCACCGTTTGTTAAAGGACTATCCTTTCTCCAATGTGTAGTCTTGGTATCTCTGTCAAAGATTATTTGCCCGAATATGCAGGGGTTCATTTCTGGGCTCTCTATTCTGTTCCACTGTTTATGTCTTTATGCCAGTACACCATACTGATTTGACTACAGTAGCTTTGTAATATGTCTTTCAGTCTGGAAGCATGAGGTCTCCAGGCTTGTTCTTTCTCAAGATTGTTTTGGATATTCAGAGTCCTTGTGGTACCTTATGAAGACTGCTTTTCCATTTCTGTAAAAAATGCTGCCATGATTTTGATAGGGCTTGCAATGGAATATTTAGACTGCTTTGAGTATCATGGACATTTTAACAATATTAAGTTTTCCATGAACATTGGATTGTTTTCCATTTGTGTTTCTTTCTTTCAGCAATGTTTTGCATATAAGCCTTTCTTTTATTTGGTTAGGTTTATTCCTAAGTATTTTTTCTGACACTATTGGAAATGAGATTTTCTTAATTCCCTTTTCAGATTGTTCACTGTTAGTGTATAGAAACAGCTGTTTTTTTGTATGTTGACTTTGTATCCTGCAACTTTGCTAAATTTATTAGTTCTAATCATTTTTGTGGAATCTTTAGGGTGATTGTGTCATCTGTGAACAGAGATAATTTTACATCTTTGTTATAGATTTGGATGTCTTTCATTTCTTTTTCTTGCCCAACTGCTCTAGCTAGGGCTTCTAGTACTATGTTGAAGAGAAATGCCAAGGGTGAGCATCCTTGTTTGTTTTGTTTTGAAAGAGTCTTATTCTGTTGCCCAGGCTGCAGTGCAGTGGCAGTCACTTCAGTCTCAAAATCCTGGGCTCAAGCAATCTTCCCCCCTCAGCCTTCCAAGTAGCTGGGACTCCATGTGCATGCCTGCATGCCTGGATAGTTTTTATTTTATTTTTTCTTTGTAGAGACAGGGTCTTGCTATATTGCCTAGGCTGCTCTCGAACTCCTGGGCTCAAGTGATTCTCCCACTGAGGCCTCCTTCCAAAGCACTGGACTTATATGCATGAGCCAGCACACACCGCCACTGCCTTATTTCTGATCTTACAGGAAAAGCTTTCAGTTTTTCATCACTGAATATGTTGTTTGCTGTGGGCTTTTCATATATGGCCCTTATTATGTTGAGATAATTTTCTTCTATTCCTAGTTTGAGTGTTTTTATCATGAAAGGGCACTGAATTTTGTCAAAGTCTGGTACTGAACTTTTCCTCCATCAACTGGTATGACTGTGTCATTTTTGTCCTTCAGTCAGTTAATGTGGTGTATCATACTGATTTTCATATGTTGAACCATCCTTGCACCCCAGGCATAAATTCCACTTGGTCATGGTATGTGATCCTTTTAATGTGCTATTGGATTTGGTGCACCAGTATTCTGTTGAGGATTTTTGCATCCATTTTCCTCAAGGCTACTGGCCTGTAGTTTTCTTTTCTTATAATGTCTTTTTCTGGTTTTAGTATCAGAGTAGGGCTGGCCTTGAGTTTGGAACTCTTCCATCTTTTGAAAGAGTCTGAGCAGGACTGGCATCAATTCTTTAAATGTTTGGTAGAATTCACCAGTGAAGCCAATGATCCTGGGCTTTTCTTTGTTGGGAGATTTTAAATCTCCTTACTACTTATAGGTCTAGTCAGATTTACTATTTCTTCATGATTCAGTATTGACAGGTTATGTGTTTTAGGAATTTATCCATTTCATCTAGGTTATCCAAGTTGTTGGCATACAAGCCACACATATCCTTTTGTAATACTCTTTTCTCTACAAAAACATATGAAAAGTAAAAACACTGTCTTACAGAAGAAAATATCAGAATATAGGTACATAAATAACTGCTCTAAGAGTTCAGGAAAGGGAAGATTCATATGAATTGATGTGATTAGTGAAAACTTAACTGAGTTGTGGAGGTTTAAGTTCTATCTGGAAGCACAAATAAGAAACGGCAAGGTAAAGGGGAGACTAGAAGGTGTTTCCAGGAGAGACCCAACAAAAGCAAATACAGAAAAAGCAGAACTGAATGTTAAATGTGAGGTGGGTTCACTTGCCTGAAGTAGAGAGTCAGAGATGAAGTTAGTTGGATGGGGAGTTATCAACTAAAAAGGTAAGAATTAATTTGGACAAGTAATTTCACTTTTATACCTTTACTAGCATTTATGCAGCAAACACTCAAATATCTGTTAAACCAAATTGAGAGCCTGAAATGCCTAGCTAATTAAGAACTTTTCAGTGCCTCTTAGAGATAATAGGAAGCCACTGAAGGTTTCTGGGTTGAGAAGTGAAAACAGCAATGATGTTCTGGGAAGTTTACTGAAGTAACTGTATTCTAATGGTTCTCATCTGGGGTGAGTTTGCCACACAAGGGATATTTGGCAATTTCTGAAGACTGTTCTTGGTTGTCACAACTGGGGGGGGGGGGGTGATGTGCTACTGACATCTAGTAAGTAGAGGCCACAGATGCTGCTAAACATCCTACAGTGTACAGGACACTCCCCCATCCCCCAACAAATTATCTGGCCCAAAACGTCAATAGTGCCAAGGATGAAAACCTTTGCTGTATTCTAATGAGTTACTCTCATGAGAATTCAAATTAAGTTCAAATATGTTTGGAAAAATGTACACATGAAAAAGGAAACAATCCAAAAGACTAACAGTAGTGAGAATATGGAAGATTATTTTTATTTTTCCAAAAAGTGTTTTTACAATGATCATGCATTACTTCTATCAAGAGAAAAAATTGACTTAAAAATTCTGACTTCATCACTACGCAATCTATACATGTAACAAAACTGCACTTGTATTCCATAAATTTATATAATACACAAGATAACCTTAAAAATAAAAATTCTAATTTAGTTACTAATTCTAATCAGAGTACCCTCCTGTTTTCTTAAAAAAAAAATTTCATTTAATTCCCTCAAATATTTACTTAAATGCTGACTACATACCAGGCTCTGTAATGAGACTTAAGAATATAGTGGTGTACAAAATAGGTAAGTTTCAGGGAGCTTATAGTCTGACGGGAGAAACTAACATTGAGTAAACACACAAATATATCATCAGTGCTCTTAAGGAAAACAGGGGGGTTTAACTTGCAATTAACTTTTTCAGGAATGGCCTCTGTGAGTAAATGACTTTGAAGCGAGATTCAAAGGATGAGAAATAACCATGTAAATGAAGGAAAGAGACGGGGACTGGAGGCGCAGAGAAAGCATTCTCACAGACAGAGCAGCATGTGTGAAGGGGTGAAGAGGAGAACACCACTAATGTGTTAGTGGAATTAAAAGAAGATAAATGAATAAGAGTATAAGTAACTAAGGCAGATAGTAGAGTGAGACGGAGAAGTAGACAAGGACCAAATTTGGTATGGCCTTGAAGTTCTCAGTAAGGAGTATGGAAGCTAAATGTGGTCAGAAGCTAATGAAGCAGGAGAGGTGAGAATTGATTTACTTTATTATTATTATTATTTTTTAAAAAACATGCAGGTTATTTTATGAACTGGAGAAAGGCAATAGCAGAAACAAGGTAACCACTCTGGAGATGAGACAATAATGCTTTGCCCCAGATTATGACAGTGAGTAGAAAGTTAACAGGAAAGTAAGAACGGAGGTGGACATTAACTAACATAATGTCATATTTACCACCTTGTCTAAAAGAAACTGCTCTTTCCGGGGGTGCTCCTGAAGAAGCAGTCAAATGATGTTACACTTCTCATGTGATACCCCTATACTCCTCACACCACAGAAGACTGGTAGTGGGAGTTGGGAAGAAAGCACCTGACTCGGGAAAAGCCAATCCGTAAGCAGGCCAGGAGTAAAAACAATCTGCTTCAGCTTGGGCACAGCTTATTAGCTCAGTCAGATTATCTCTTAGTAATTTAACATAGAATTACGTAAAGACTAAGACAGTCAGTAGCAAGGGAAAATAAAACTTAGCAGCTGACAGCAGCTGGCAGAGCAGAACTTTGCAGATCCATGAACACCTACCATCAAGACAATCCTACCTGACATGTCTTGGATAATATGAGAACTGGTCCCTGAACTTCCCTAACATCCCTACTTGACCTAGTCTGAATAAGGATATGTTCCTTGCATTCTTAAAAGCCTAGTTCAAAACAAGTCCCCACTAGGATAGGATTTTAATTCTACAGATGCAGAAATGGAGGCTGAAAAAAATTATTAAACTTACCTAATGGCAAATAACGAAAGAGATGCAATCCTAGGTGTTCCCACATTAAAAATTAAGCTTTTGCATAAATCTCAAGGAGATATCAGATACAAAACATTTAGGCTTTTCTTCCTCTTCAAACTTAAGGTGTAATACTCATTGTAAATTTGAGTTTAAGAAAGAAACATAAGGAATCTAGCTCAGACTGATTGAATTTACCCACAGAGCCAGCTTAAGGCTGACTGAGAGATCTTACAGATCTGGACCTATTAGAATGTAAACTTCATAAGAATAGGAACTCAGCCTGCATTATGTAGAACCTCCAATACAGATGCTGAATAAATATTTGCTTAACAAATGAATTCAATACAGGGAAGGGTAGAAGGGAAAGTCAGTGAAAAAGAGCTGCTTAGAGTTCAACTGTGACCCCCAAATACTGGAAAGTTGTCACAACTCCCACTCATCTCTTACGTTTTCTATTGTTGTTTTTAATATTAATGTAACAGCTTTGAGATATAATTTACATACCATATAGTTCACCCATTTAAAGTATACAATTCAGTTATTTTAGTACATTCACAAAGTTGTGCATTGAACACCACTATCTAACTCCAGATGACTTTCAACATCACAAAAATCAGCCCCATACCCACTAGCAATCATTCCCCCTTTTCCCTCTGTCCCAACCCCTGGCAACCACTAATTTATTTTCTGTCTCTATGGACTTGCCTATCCTGGACATTTCATATTGTGATACTGTGAAATATTTGGTCTTCATCCCATTTCCAGACATACAACTTCTAAAATCCTTAAAATCTATGCAGTGATGAGTGTCTTTTGAAGGCTAATGAGATGACTGGTGACTCGGGGGGGCCCTAGATAGTTTCAGGATGAGGGCTGATCACTGGAAAGACCAAGACATGACTAGAGAATTGGCACTTTCAGCCCCACCCTCCAACCTCTGGGGAGGGAAAAGGGGCTGAAGGTTAAGCTGATCACCAATTGTTAATGATTTAATCAATCATGCCTACATTATGAAGTTTCCATAAAAACTCAAAATGGGTTCTGAGAGCTTCTGGATAGCAGAACACATGCTGGTGCCTAGACAGCATGGAAACTCAGTGCCCCTTCCCGCATACCACATCTGGCTGTTCATCTGTATCCTTTGTAATATAGTTTATTTTAAAAAATCAGCAAACATAAGGAGAGTGCTTCCCTGAGTTCTGTGAGCCATTCCAGCAAGCTAATTGAACCCAAGGAGCAGGTAGTGCGAACTCTATGTATAGCCAGTCAGTCAGAGGCAGAAGACATAACCTGTGCTTGTGATTCCATCTGAAGTGGGGGACACTCCCATGGGACTGAGCTCTCAACCTGAAATCTGATGTTATCTCCAGGTAGACAGTGTCAGAATTAAATTGAATCAGTGGATACCCAGCAGGCGTCCGTTGCAGAACTGACTGCTTAGCTGGTGTGTGGGGAAAAACCCCCACACATCTGGTGTCAGAAGTATTGTGTTGAGTGACTGTATGAAAGGACAGTGTAGGAAAAAGAGTTTTTAGTTTTATTTATTTATTTACTATATCCTCTCAAATATAACTGGAATTATAGAGTGTGATCTTTTGTGACTAACTTCTTTCAGGCAGTATAATGTTTTCAAGGTTCATCCATACCGTTGCATGTGTCAGTACAATAGTCACCCCCTTATCTGCACAGGGTGTGTTCCAAGACCCCCAGTAGATGCCTGAAGCTGCAGATAGTACTGAACTCTACATGTAGTATGTTTTTTTCTATGCCTACATATCTATGATAAAACTTACTTTATCAATTAGGCACAGTAAGAGATTAATAATAATAAAATGGAACAATTATAACAATATATTGTAAGAAAAGTCATGTGAATGTGGGATCTCTTTCTCTCTAAATATTAATATCTTGTTGTATCACATATTCACCTAGTTTCTGATCACAGTTGACTGCAGGTAACTAAAACTGCAGATAAGGGTGAACTATTATACTTCATTTTATAGCGGAACAATACTCCATTGTATGCATATACCATACTTTGTGCATTCATCAGTTAATGGGTATTTGGGTTGTTTCCTTCTTTTATTTTATTTATTTAAATTATTTATATTTATTTATTATTTTTGAGAAGGAGTTTTGCTTTTGTTGCCCAGGCTGGAGTGTAATGGCCCGATCTCAGCTCACTGCAACCTCCACCTCCTGGGTTCAAGTGATTCTCCTGCCTCAGCCTCCCAGGTAGCTGGGATCACAGGCATGCGCCACCATGCCTGGCTAATTTTGTATTTTTAGTAGAGACGGGGTTTCTCCATGTTGGTAGTGCTGGTTTCCCAACTCCCAACCTCAGGTGATCCGGCCCGCCTTGGCCTCCCAAAGTGCTTGGGATTACAGGCGTGAGCCACTGCGCCCAGCCAAGTTGTTTCCCTCTTTTGGCTGTTATGGATAATGCTGCTATGAACACTCATTTACAAGTTTTTGTGCAGACATTATGTTTGCAATTCTCCTGGATTTATATCTAATTAGTAGAACTGCTGGGTCACATGTTAACTGTTTAACTTTTTGAGGAACTGCCAAACTGCATTCCAAAGCAGCCGTACCATTTTACATTCCCATCAGGCATGTATGAGGGTTCCACTTTCTCCACATCCTCACCAACACCTGTTATTTTCTTTTTATATACTGCCATCCTAGTGGGTGTAAAGTGGTATCTCATCATGCTTTAGAGCTGTGTTTCCCTAATGACTAATGAGGCGGATCCTATTTTTTATTTGTTTATTGGTCTTAATTAAACTTTTCATCATTGAGTATCCCTTATGTGAAATGCTTGGGAACACAAGTGTTTCAGATTTTGGATTTTTTTGGATTTTAGAATGTTTGCATAATACTTAGAGACTGAGCATCCCTAATCCAAAATCTGGTATGCTCCAATGAGTGTTTCCTTTAAGCATCACGTAGGTGCTTAAAGTTTCAGATTTTGGAGCATTGTGGATTTCAGATTTTTGGATTTGGACGCTCAACCTGTACTGTCATTGTTTTAAAGCTGGAGAATAAAAAGGGAATTGGGAAAAATTATTCACAACATTAAGAGAAAAAACGTGAACAAATTTAAGGTGTCTGAAACAGCTGATCAACAATGAACCCAATTCTATAGATATATCTGTAGTAAAATGAACATCTCCACATAATATTCAAAAGTGAAATAAGGAACCAAACCTACCCTAAATAGGTAGGACTATAGGTGTGTGCCACCACACCCAGCTAAATTTTTTATTTTTTGTAGAGATGAGGTCTCACTATACTGCCTAGGATGGTCTCAAACTCCCGGCCTCAAGGAACCAAATCCTCTGCACTATTTTAAAAAGAGCTGGAGAATATTTGGGTTTCACACCTACTAAAGAACAAGGAGTGATGTTAACAATTATTTGAAAACCTTAAGGTATTATCTTGCTTGTTTTTCTGGACCAGTAACAGCTTAAAGTGGCTAAAAAGCCAGTGTGAAGAGGAAGAACAGGTGGCAAACAGGACAGGGCCATTTAATACAACCAAGCAGAGACCACTTAACATAGGTCTTTCGGGATAAAACTACTCAACTAAATAAATTTATGTAACACTTACCTCAAGGGTCCAGAAAGACATACTTTAAAAAACATAAAGAGTAGATATGTGCAAACTAAAGTTTTTATTAAAGAACAGGACACTGAGATAGACTATGATTTACCTTCTAATATTAGACAATATGTCCATCACTGAACTAGTAAAAAACATACTATCTTAGGATTCCGACTTTTGTTAGTAAAAAAATTCATGAAATTCCATGTTTGTCAAAATACATCATTAGTTAAAATCTAATTTACATTAAGTTTAAAGTAAATAAAAATTTAGGGAAAAAATGACAGGTGACTAAATTTTGTCCGAATAGTAAATAAACAGTAATAGAAAATAAGTCAGCATTTAAAAATTTCTATCTATCTGAGATGAGACCTCATTCTTGTCACCCAGGCTGGAGTGCAGTGGCATGGTCATAGTTCATTGCAGCCTCCACTTTCTGGGCTCAAGCGATCCTCCTGCCTCAGCCTCCTAAATAGGTATGACTACAGGTGTGTGCCACCACATCCAGCTAAATTTTTTATTTTTATTTTTTTGTAGAGACAAGGTCTCACCATATTGCCTAGGATGGTCTCAAACTCCCAGTATCAAGCAATCCTCCTGCCTCAGCCTCTCAAAGCAATAGGATTACAGGCATGAGCCACTGTGCCTGGGAAAGTTTAGCATCTTTAATAATCAACTTAATCTTGTATTACCAACAAATATCTATGACCTTAAATCATTTTCATTCTGGGTACTAAATAGTGTGAATTATAGTTGTTTTCTGATTATATTTACAATGTTTTGAGAAAACAGTGACAAAATCTACATAAAGCATTTAGTAACCCACTTAAAACATAGGATTAAAGAAATGAAGTCATAAACTAGTATGTATGTGACAATTTGGCTGAAGTATGTGGGAGAAAGTAGGTTTTCAGGTGACTGTTAAATAAGGGGAATAAGAAGCCTTCCCAAATTTGTATGATGTGGTTTGGATTATGGCACACAGAGGTACAAGAGGAATTTTGTAAGCAAAATGTTATTCTGATATGGAACATAGGGGTTTACTTGGATGCAATGTATGACTATGTAAGTTGGCAGAAATAGTAAGAGGTTCCATTTACTCTGCATGTACTTTATGCTAGGCATTGTTAAACATTTCAAAGGCTTAGACATAATTAAGTTAGCCTCCATAATTACTAAGTGGAGAAACCAGAGTTCAAACCCAGACCTAAGTGACTCTACAGTCCATGTCTTTTAACCCCTATACTATAAGGTCCTTTAAGAGCCTGTATTAATTAAAAGTGACACTCATGTGCAAAAGAAGCAATGGTAAACTAAAAGAGTGGCACTCAAAGCATGGTCCACGGGCCCCTATGTGGGTCCTGAGACCTTTACAGAGAGTACACAGGGTCAAAACTATTTTCCTAATGATAATACTAATACTTTTTTTAAAAAAAAAATTGTATTAACACTTGAATTGATGCCATAGGGGTAAGACTGCTGGTGCTTTAGAATGAATTAAGGTAATGACATCAAGATGCAATAGTTGTCACTGATTTCACATCTAAAATTTGTTTAAAAGTCAGCTCACTTAAGAATTCCTTGAGGAAACAGTAAAAAATGATTACTTTTATTAAATATTGGCCTTTTCTAATTGTGTGAAAAAAATGAAGATTACATATAAGCCACTTCTGCTGCATACCAACTTCTACTTAAGGACGACTGTCTCAAGGAAAAAGTACTTGTGCAACTGAGTTGTGAACTGACCTAGCCACTTTTTTCATGGAACACTATTTTTACTTGAAAAAACGACTGACAGACAAATTATGGTTATTCAGACTTAATGGTTGGAAGATGTTTTCACAAAAATGAGCAAAGTGAGTCTATGGCTTCAACGATAACCATTTATAGCATTTATTGCTAATGATAAAATTTCAGCTTCCTCTGAACTTGTCCCAGAGGCATGGTAAAAAAAGAAAAAAAAATTGAGCTTCCCAGAGAAAGTTAGAATTTTAGAAAACTTGTATCCACTTCTGTGAACCTGACAGATTCTCAATACTTAAGATTTTTCTGAATTGTGTGGTTAACAATCATGAATTTTTTATTGAATAAAATATGTTAGCATTTGGAAGACGTGCATAACTCAGTGACATAATGTTTTCCAAATAATCCAATGCATGGTATTACAAAAAGCATCAGTAAAAGATGGGTAAATGTTACATCTGAAGTGCAAGACAGACCAATAGATTTTAATGTAACAGTGTAAGAAAAGTTCACTCATGTGGCTTCAGATTCTACATTGCAACTATCTTTAAGAAACTACCTCTTGCAGAATTACGGTGTAGTATCACTTAATCTCCATAATTATCCTGAAAAGCCTATGAAAACATAACATACTTTCCTTTTTCAACTGTCTGTCTGTGTGAAGGTGGACATTCTTCACACACTTCGACCAAAACAGTGTATCACAAAAGACTGAATGCAGAAACAGATGAGAATTCAGCTGTCTTAAGCCAAACATTAAGACCCGAAAAAAAGGTTCAACATGGCCATTCTTCTCATTATGTATTTTTGGTTTTGAAAAATGTCCTTATTTTATAGATATCAATATACAGTTCTCATATTAACCACAGAAAAAGGAAGAACTCCAACCCTGTCTTTTACCAAACCTAAATGAAAAGCACAGAAAACAAACTGTGTTTTCTAGTGTTTGAAAGTCTACAAGTGACCCACAATTTCCAAAAACCCTCTGAGAAAAAAAGAAAACATTTACTGAATACCTATTATACCCCGTGGACTATGCTCAGTGCTTTCACATAGAACCTTTTCATCAAATTTGAGACTGGCATTAAGGCTGAAAGAAGTCAAATGGAGGAAATATGGTAAAGTACAAAAAGAACAGACTCTGACACACCTGAATTAAAATCATTCCCTTAAATGTTATCTTATTAAATCAAAAGCACAAGAGTTTCTTCTTTAAAATTTCTTCTTTAAAATAAATTCAATATGTATAAGATTGAGAGAAATGTGAATACAGTTAAAAGCATATACAGTAGGTGCTCAGAAAGTTCCCTTCAGTCATATTCCTCTTTTCTGTTCCAAAACTAAATCAGCGAGTAAGTACCAAAATCAGAGATCAAGGTTAAATCTGATGACATGCTCTTGTTTCATTCATCATTATAGGCCTCAAATAGATGAATGCTACTCCAGAAAACATTTAAAAATATTTTAAGGACCCACAACCACTATCAGGTATTAGAAATCAATGTTTAAAAACTACCTTTGCATTTTTTTTTCTAAAGTAGCTTCATTCTTTGAAATCTAAATCACTCCTACAATTCTTCCCAATCTTGTACATTCATTTGACATACTTAGTGACTACGAAAAATAAGGGCATCTTGGTATCTCCAGGAAAACTATCAATGAAGCAATTCTCAAACTGGCTACCTTGTAAACCAGGAAAGTTGGCAAGAAGTACAGAAACAGTCATTTAATTCCTAACTATATTTCTATCAGATATTTCATATTGTCACATGCTTGGACTATTATGTGAAAAATTAGACAGTAGTTATTTTAAGTATAGTAAATATGTTCCAAGATTTGTGGTGAGAGAGATCAGTCTCTAAAAGTTAACAAGACTTAATACCTTAACAATGCTTTTCACTCTGTACACTTTAACAAATCACTGAGGCTCTTTCAAAACAACAAAACAGCTGATCAATTTATTAAACTCTTGCCAACCAAGCACCTTTTTTTAAAGTTCAAGCTGACTTCATATTTTATGTTTGTGTGGATAATCACAAGTTTCTAATTATGTAGCATTTTAATATTCTTTTATATTTAGGGTAAGTTGTTTTCTTAAAGTTGTGTTTTTAAAAGATCTAGTTATATTTTATGCTCTATTTGAACCTAGACACTCAGAACTTTCATAAAAAGTATGCAGGTTTATTAGGAAATCTACAAGAAAATTCCCCTCTACTTTAAAAAACATAAATTATATGAGCTTAATTTACTTTATCCTGACAAGTTTTTTATTTCAAGTTTGGTCACTACCCATTTCCTGTGTTGCACTGTATATACCCTCTTTTCTATGGTTACTATTCTCAAACTAAGACTGGGGATCTTCTACAACACTGTAAGAAGCAGCCACGCCATGGTGAATATCATCTGATAGTTCCTGATAATTATTTTAAATGGATACTGAACATATGCCTTCTTTGGTGCGTTTGTGTTTCAAGAAACTTAACATGACCACATTTTAGAGGAGTCAGAATGGTAGAGAGAGGTAGGAACAAATATCAGATTGAAATCTATGAATAACTTTCAACTCTAACACTCAGAAATTACAACTTTAAAAGGATCACTAATTTGGTGTGCCTAAACTGCCCTTCAATGAGCAGCTACATGTCTCTGTATTAAAACCTTTCCCTATTACTTGTTCAATGTAACAAGTTATACAAGCAGAGAGAAAAAACAGCCACTGAAAATAAGGGAGTAAGAGAATCAATTATACTGAATCTTGTTAAATCCCTTCCCTCCCCCAAAAAGAAAAGCTGAAGGTGATAAAACGCTCAGAGAATTGCCAGGCATCTTCCTAACATTACCTATTAATCTTCACAACACTCATGAAGCAGATGTCAAGTACCTCTAGTTTTACAGATGAAAGAACCATAAGACTAAGCGATTTTCCCCAAGGTCATACACAAAGTTAGAGATCAAATTAAACTAAACTCTAGGACTCTGTATTCTTCATCATTTCTAATCAAATAAACTGTTAGATCATAATATGCTACAATTACCTCTCCCTAAATGCTATACTCTGTACATGGGCTGTTCCAATAAGGTAGCCACTAACCACATGTGGCTATTAAGCACTTGAAATGCAGCTAGTCCAAGTGGAGGTATGCCATAACCGTAAAATACAAACTGGATTTTGAACGTATGAAAGGAATAATATGAAACGTCTCAATTATTTTACACAAATTAGATGTTGCATGGTATTTTGGATATACTGGATTAAGTTAAATTCACTGGTCCATACTTCTTTCTGAAGACTTCCCATGAAATAGATGTCATCATAAGATCCAAATCAAAAAGCAATTATTTTCTCAGAATTTGCTGTATTCTACAGACATTATGTAACACAATGTAGTAACCATATCTAAAGGGTGATTAAGTGTTTAGAGAGATACAGCATATATGTAAGTAGGCTGATAAGTGCTTAGAGAGATAGACCAGATATGTAAGTAACAAATACACAAAGTAGACCACTGTACTGTTCTCTAAATATAAAAAAGAATGTTTCTATCTCATTACAAGCATATGTGATTTTGAGTAAGTCACAGTGTGGACAAAGTATGACTTTCTATTAGAATCATATGTTATTTCCTTAGGTGGAAGTGAAAATATTCCTACCCCTAATGTATGCACAAGGATATCAAAGTCATCAGAGGACAACCATAAGGCACTATGAATTTCTAAACAAAACAAAACAAAAAAACCTGGCTAATGTCAATATATACTTATTTTTTAAAAGTCACACATCACAATATTCTTCTAATACAGCCTCAGGACTTAATCTGATTTTGACTAAAGTGCCAAAAGATATGAGGTAGGAGGAAACATCAATTTAAAAAATAAGGATAACTTCAGAAAGTCTGGCAATTCCACCAAAGGTTCAAAGTAAGTTTCCATATGATCTAGCAATTCTATTCCTAGGTATATAGCCAAGAGAAATAAAACATACATCCACACAAAAATGTTCTTAGTAGTATTATGTAAAATAGCTAAAAAAGTGGAAACAATGAAAATGTTCATTAACTGAAGAAGGGATAAATAAAATGTGGTATATCCATGAGCTGGAGGATCATTGGATCATTCGGCCATAAGGATCATTCGGCCATGAAACATTGATACATTCTTGTTACAACACGGATAAACCTTGAAAACATTACACTATGTGAAAGAAGCCAGTTAAAAAAGAGCACAAATTGTACAATTCCATTTATATGGGATGTCCAGGATAGGCAAATCTAAGAAGACAAAAACTGGTTGCCTGGGGCTGGGGTAGTTGGGAATTGGAGAGTGACTGTTAATGAGTACAGGTTTCTTTTTGGGGCCGTGAAAATGTTCTAAGATGGACTGTGGTGATGGTTGCAAAACTGCGAATACACTAAAAGCCACTTTAAGTGGGTGAATTGTATGGCATGCGAATTACATCTCAATGAAGCTGCCAGAAAAATGAAGCCAGAAATGTAGAGGAAAAAAGGGTTATAGGGATCTGTCAAGCACCTAATTGCTATTTTTCTGGATTCTGTAATTTTGTGGTACTTACCAGTTTTTAAGTTTTATCATTTGTGATTTTTTCTCATTCTAAGTATTCATATTAGTAAAAAACATTTTCACCACATTCTTTCATAAACAAGTAAATTTACTGAAAAATCATTGTTATTTAAGAAGCTCATTTTTATGGCATGCAAATTATCTCAATAAAGATGTGACATCTTTGCATTAAAAAAAGGGATCACAATGGTAATATGTTAACCTTAAAAGAACCACAGAATTAACATCCCTGGACACTTAGTCGTCCCTCAAATTATGAAACCCACTAAAACGCTTGAACTACTTTAAAGATAATATTAACAGCTTTGTAAAAAGCCCAAAAAATATCTCAGTCAAGCAGACTCTCAAGTTCAGAAATGCCATGGGAAGTTGAAGATTTCATTATGAAAACGTACCGAGAACAACATAAAAAATACTGCTTGACCACTTTCCCTAAAAGCTAAACTCGTGATTAAGATGCAGAAGGGAAGTATTAAATCTATTTATCTAAACTCTTAAAAGCTGAAGGGAAGAAGTCTTCTATCAAAAATCTCAGTGGGGTGTGTGGGTATGCGTGTGTGCATGTGTGTATTTAACCCATACACCTTATGTAGACAATCTCGGGAGCAGCTGTATCTAAGACAATGAAGCTTTTTTTTTCCTTTTTAAATAATCAAACGTGATGGTGCCATTCCCTAGCCCACCCCATCCCCCACTACCACCACCAGCAGGTGGAGGGAAAGGATACTGTAGACTAGAGGATGACAGCTTTGTATAACCCTTTAGACTTTATATGTAAGAATGCAGCTGGTGGTCTCCTCTCAGGAGGGGGTAAAGAGATTTGTGGACAAGCTGAAATAAGGGGTATCCTTTGCCTGGAAGAGGGCACACCGTGAGCCACATCTTGAATCAGCTATATCCAGAGTAAAACACAGGCCGCTGGAAGGCACTGTTAGGATCACCAGGATGGCCTCTCACGCCGGGGGTGTTTTTTTCAACGGAGAAGTTGTCCTGTAGTTTGGATATTGGGGGGAGGCAGGGGTAAAGCGGGAGTCGGGAAGACCAGAAAAAATGCCTTTAAGTGGAGACGCCTCGGGCCTCGCTGAGGAAGTTCAGAGCCCCACTCGGTCGCCACACGCTCACCCTCCCATTCCCACCGCCCTCCTTCCCGCGGCGCCAGACGTCGGTGCCCGAGCGAGAGCCGGAATCTCCGCCACTGCCGGGGAAGGGGCCGCGGCCCGGCCGGGGCAGCACCGGCCGCACACGCACGCCTCCTCCGCACGCGCCGCGCCCGGCCTCCCCGCCGCGCGGCCCGGCCCCTCGCACCCGCGCCGGGCCGGCTCCGCCGGGCAGGCCTAGGCCGCGCCGGCCGTACCCGGGCACCTCGCTCCCCGGCGGAGGCGGAGCAGGCCCGACATAAACTTCCCGGCGCGCTAGCAGAGGCGTCACAGACGGGCCGGCCCCTAGCGCCATTCCCCGAGGCCTGGAGGCGGCTCCCGCCCCTAATCCCCACACTCGGGGTCCCGGCGGAGACCGGCCCCAGGCCCACAGCCCCCACCCCTCCGGCGTCGTCCCCGAGTTTACCTCCAAGTCGCGGCCTTTGTTCTTGAAATTCTTGAGCCGTTGGTTGTCCAGTTTCTCGTTGTCCGCCATGGCCGGGCCGGTGACTCCTTCCCCCGCCCGGGCCCCGCGGGATCCGCCCCAACCAACGCGCCGCACCGACACTCCCAGGAACCGGGCCGCCGCCTGAGCTGCTGTGCCCGCCGCGCCGCCGCTTCCTTCCTCCTCTCACCTGCCTCCGCCGCGGCCTTCTCCTCTCCCCGCCCGCCCCCCCGCCCTAACCCCAGCGCGACTGCAGCTCCGGCAAAGACAACTGTGGGGCCGGGCGGCGGCAAGGCGACGGAATGTGCTGCCGGCTGAGAGGGGGAGGCAGCCTCGATCTGAGGGCCCCGGCGCTGCGGCCACGCCCATCGCCTCCAGCCCGGCTCGCCCATTGGCTAACCAGGCTCCGGTGCGTTCGACCAATCAGAAGGGGCGATGGAGAGCCGGGGCGGAAAGAGCGAACGGAAAGGGGAAGCGAACGACGCTGGGAGGAGCCGGCTCCGGGCCCGGAGGGGTGCGGCGGGGGCAGGCGGGGAAGGACCACGTGCCTTCGGAGAGAGGGGTTGGAAGCAATAGAGAAGTAGACTTAAGGGGAAACCAGCAAGGGGAAGGAGAGGCCCGGGAACGCAGCAGGGCGAGTTGTTTTGCTCCACTCGTCCAGGAAGCCCTAGATGCCGGGGGTTCAGGGTCGAGGCTGCGTTAAAGTAACGTTCTTTTCTCCCCGGGCGCGCCCTGTCTTCCTGGGCATTCCTTGCGCTCTCCGTTCGCTTTGCAGAGAGATCTGAGCTTCGCTGTCTCCCGGTCGGACGCTCGCAGCTGCGTTCCCGGGCTGGGGCTCCGTGCCGTCCAGGGCCGGGTCTGGGGGCCAGGACCTGCTGGGATGACGTGAGTTGAGGAGGCTCAGCGGAAAGCGACAGGAAAGGTGGGTGGAAAAGGAAAGGGCCCATTAGACGAATCTGATTCATCTTCTGTGACTAAGCACCCGCAACAGTTAGGAATTTAGGCAGAGCTGGTGATCCTGGGACAATAGCACTTCCTAGGTAATTCGTCTTAAAAAGTTAAAGAAGCTGCTTGACCACAAAGTATGAACTTCTGGAGGGCGGGGCCCGTGGCAGCTGACAGGGAATATTGTGTGTTGAGAAAGGAAATGAGTTCCAAGGATACCAAGGACAACGTTACCAGAGGCAGAAATGACACGAGATACAAAAGAACGTATTCAAAAATTTAACAAAACAGAAATGGAAAATTATTTTAAAATATATTGAAATATCAACGAATAACACCTCAAATGTACAGGGATATGTAAAGCAGCAACTCGGGTCGGAAGCAAGGAATCGAGGCGTTGGGTGTGTTTAAACTTGACGAGGTAGGGAGAAGAGACCCTGATACAAACTCCTTCAGAATCGTTGACTCTCGGTCCTTTCTAGTATATTTTTTTAGTAGAACAACGTGCAGATAAGTGTTTAAAATGCAGATCTTCCTAAGGAAACACTTTTAAAGGCAACAGAGGGGAATTTTTTTTTAAGTTAAAATGGAAGAAGTTAGTGGGTTTAACAGATATGAACAACTGAGTTTCCTTTGGGGGAGAGGCAATGAAAAGAGCCGGAGTACTTTAGGGATCACTTTGGAGAGGATATTGTAGTGGGGGAAAGGAAGGTAAAAACTTAGGAAGCAGAGTAGTACCTTTAAAGTCGTCAGTACTTTATATACCATCAACTGGGCTATGGACAACAGAAGCTGTGCCTGGAAATAACTCACACTGAAGGTTAACTTGAATATAAATTTAGAACAGATCTTAAATACAAATGATGATGTTCATTATAAACTGTTATTCTTCAAAGACTCATTTAACTGAAGTAACATTGTATTTGCATACCAGAGCACTGGTGTTTTTCAAAATGAGTTTAGGATAAGAAAATTCACTTGAAAAGCTGGAGTATGTATGTATTTTGCGCCATCATGGATTTTATCATAAGCAGTGTTCAAGAAAACAAATTACCAGCGAATTCCCACCCTATGAGTAAAAGTTATCTTGTCAACATATCAATAGATGAACATTTTGTACTTCTTGGAATACATTTCATGGTAGCTTTCATGATGAAGTTTATAGACGTGTCTGTTATATGTCTTCATGTCTCCAGCTACAACTGAGTGTCTCTGATGATTAAACAACAACCCGAGTTTTCTCTCTGCAGAAGACTCCTAAAAAAGAGTTGTAATTAGTTACCAGCTGAGAAAGATGCAATACAAATAGGAAATAACCGCAATTTATAATTTTATTTATCTAAAATCTGTCTTCCTCCCTAGACAGTAAGCTCTCTGAAGTCAAGAACCATAGTTGTTTTGTTCACTACTGTATACTCAGCACCTAATAGTACTTGGCACATAAGTACTCAGGGACTATTTGTCAAATGCAAGAACATATGCCCCTAAAGCAGAAGTCAGGAAAACCAGAAAAAATGCCTTTAAGTATTACAGAAATGCCACAGGCCTCCACTTAAATTGAAAAGCAAGCTAACCCCTCTTGATAAAAATGTGGATTGAGATCAAGAAGCAGCTTCTCTGCTCCTTCTGGAATCTCCACCTGGTTTAGCCTGCTGCCTCCACTCCTGCCTCCACCATGTCCATCAGGGTGATCCAGAAGTCCTACAAGGTGTCCACCTTTGGCCCCCAGGCTTTCAGCAGCCACCCCTACACTAGTGGGCCCAGTGCCTGCACCAGCTCCTTGAGCTTCTCCCTAGTGGGGAGCTTCACTGTGCAGCTTCTGGGGTGGCCTGGGCGGAGGCTATGGTGGGGCCAGCAGTATGCGAGGCATCACCACCATCACGGTAAACCAGAGCCTGCTGAGCCCCCTTAACCTGGAGGTGGACTCCAACATCCAGGCTGTATACACCCAGGAGAAGGAGCAGATCAAGACCCTCAACAACAAGTTTGCCTCCTTCACAGACCAGGTATGGTTCCTGGAGCAGCAGAACAAGGTGCTGGAGACCAAGTGGAGCCTTCTGCAGCAGCACAAGATGGCTGGGAGCAACATGGACAACATGTTCGGGAGCTATATCAACAACCTTAGGCGGCTGCTGGAGCCAGGAGAAGCTGAGGCTGGAAGCGGAGCTTGGCAACATGCAGGGGCTGGTGGAGGACTTCAGGAACAAGTATGAGGATGAGATCAATAAGCCTACAGAGATGGAGAATTAATTTGTCCTCATCAAGAAGGATGTGGATGAAACTTACATGAACAACGTAGAGCTGGAGTCTCACCTGGAAGGGCCGACTGTATGAAGTGGAGATCCGGGAGCTGCAGTCCCAGATCTCCAACATGTCTGTGGTGCTGTCCATGGACAGCAGCCACTCCTGGACATGGACAGCATCATCACTGAGGTAAAGAGGCAGTACAAGGAGGTTGCCAACTGCAGCCGGGCTGAGGCTGAGAGCACGTACCAGATCAAGTATGTGGAGCTGCAGACGCTGGCTAGGAAGCACAGGGATGACCTGCGGCATACAAAGACTCAGATCTCCAAGATGAACCGGAACATCAGCCAGCTCCAGGCTGAGATTGAGGGCCTCCAAGGCCAGGGGGCTTCCCTGGAGGCCACCATCCCAGATGCTGAGCATCGTGGGGAGCTGGCCGTTAAGGATGCCAATGCCAAGCTCTCCAAGCTGGAGGCCACTCTGCAACGTGTGAGTACCAGGAGCTGATGAAAGTCAAGCTGGCCTGGAAATGGAGGTCGCCACCTACAGAAAGCTGCGGGAGAGCTAGGAGAGCCAGCTGGAGTCTGGGATGCAGAACATGAGTATCCATACGAAGACCACCAGCGGCTATGCAGGTGATCTGAGCTCGGCCTATGTGGGCCTCACAACTCGTGACCTCAGCTATGGCCTGGGCTCCAGCTTTGGCTCTGGCACAGGCTTCAGCTCCTTCAGGTGCACCAGCTCCACCAGGGCCGTGGTTGTGAAGAAGATCGAGACCCGCGATGGGAAGCTGGTGTCTGAGTCCTCTGACTTCCTGCCCAAGTGAACAACTGTGGCAGCTCCTCCTAGTCTGCCCCTCCCGTGGCTGCCACAGACTCCAGGAGGGAGGCTGCTGTGTGGGGAAGCACAGACAACAGGAGACCCCCCACCTGAGGCTCAACCCACCCGTGGGGGAGTTTACTGTCTGGGGACCCCCCTTGCCCATGCTTCCAGCTAGAAAACAATTGTGGTTTTTTTTTTGGTCCAAAATAAAACCTCAGCTAGCTCCACCACAAAAAAAAAAAAAAAAATTGTGGATTGAGTCGTTATTGCTTCTAGTTTACTGAGTTCCTTCTATTTATATAAATTCTTGATTTGATATCAAGCTCATTCTGGGGTGAAAGTTTAGGGAATAAATCAGACATACATTTCAGGGCAAAACCCCCTATGTATTTAAAAGTAGTTGTGACACACTTCGTTAAACAATTATCCTTAATTATAATTCTTAGTCTATTGGCTTAAATTTATTACTTGAAATTGTCACTACTCGTTTGCCAAGTTTACATGTTTAGTGTCTATACTTACAGTTCTTCCCAGATAGAAGATACATAATTTATCAAATGGGCAAAGAAGTCCTTCAGGGAGTTGGTAATAGCTCTACATGCTGATTGGTAATTGAATTAGCAAGATATGGTAGATCTAACTGATTAGAAGGTTTCAATTTAACTTGCTGAACTAAGGAAGTAAAATGCAGAATTATTAACCATTTCAATATTATCTTAATTTGGGATGTGATAATTAATTACCACAAACTGAGTGGCTTAAACAAACATTTATTTCTCACAGTTAGGGAGGACGTGAAGTCCATTATTAAGGCCGATCTGGTATCTGGTGAGAACTCACTTCCTGGTTTGGAGATGGCTATCTACTTACTGTATCCTTGTATATTGGATAGTAGCCAGGGAGCAAGCTCTCATTTCTGTTATACGGGCACTGATCCCACTCATGAGGGCTTCACCATCATGATCTAATTACTTCCCTCAAACCTCACCCTTAACGCCATCACATTGGGGCTTAAGATTTCAACATAAATTTTGGGGGAACACAAACATTTAGTACATAACTAACAGACTATATAACAAAAATGCTTTTTTATGTATATGAAGTATAGTTGTTATAACCAAACACCAGAAAACCTATTCTGTATCTGAGACCTGTTTTGCAATAGGCTATTTGGTGTTAGGTAATGATCTTCTGACTTGTAATCACTCTTGGTATTGGGAAAGTCTAAAATATTATAGAGATACTTGCTTTCAGTGTGTCATGAAATTCTCTTTCAGTCACTTTCTGAATAAAGAAACTGTTCTGCAACAGACATTTGTGAAAGGATTTGTGAAGACTTACACAGGATTTTGGTTGATCAAATGCAATCTCAAAAATAATTATACTTGTTAAGCAGTTTAGACTCTTCTCATGATATATGCATTAAACTGAAGATTATAGAATCTTTCTTTGTAATATGGATCCTATGGTTTCTGTTACTGTTTGGGGGAATACCTTAGATTATGTTTGATTTCCGGAGCAAAAGCCTGGGTAGTGTTGGCTGAAAAAAGAAGGAATTTCTTACTTTTTTTTTTCTTTTTTTTGAGATAGGGTTTCACTCTGTTTCCCAGGCTAGAGTGCAGTGGTGCGATCTTGGCTCACTGCAACCTCTGCCTCCTGGGTTCAAGCAATTCTCCTGCCTCAGTCTCCCATGTAGCTGCGATTACAGGCACTCGCCACCACACCCGGCTAATTTTTGTATTTTTAGTAGAGACGGGGTTTTAACATGTTGGTCAGGCTGGTCTTGAACTCCTGACCTTGTGATCCACCCACCTCGGCCTCCCAAAGTGCTAGGATTACAGGCATGGTACTGCGCCCAGCCTCAGGAATTTTATATGTTGCTAAATCTTACTAAAATATAATTGTTTTTGTTACAGTTGGACTGCTGCTTTTTTGAGAGAAAAATATTAAGCCTTTGGTAATATACCTTTATTTTCTCTGGAAAACAAAGTTGATCAGGTAGTAGGGACTTCATTCATTCATTTTCATTGCCAGACTTTTCTGACTTATAACTTGGGGAGCCTGGAGAAACAATTGTTACCAAATATTGAACACCTACCATGTTCTAGGTCTAGGTGTTTTATCTATGCAAAGTGTTTTCTTTTAAAATTATTATTGTTATTTCTATTTCTGCTATTATAGGCAGATAATTTTGACTGAAGCCCCTGGTAAAAGATGATAAATTAAAAGGCTAGCCATTGATGTTATTATTATTATTATTTTTGAGACAGAGTCTCACTCTCTTGCCCAGGTTGGAGTACAGTGGGGTGATCTCCGCTTACTGCAACCTCCACCTCCCAAGTTCAAGTGATTCTCCCGCCTCAGCCTCCCGAGTAGCTGGGATTACAGGCGCCTGCCACCATGCCCGGCTAACTTTTTTGTATTTTTAGTGGGGACATGGTTTCACTGGGTTGGCCAGCCTGGTTTCAAACTCCTGACCTCAAGTGACCGGCCTGCCTTGGCCTCCCAAAGTGCTAGGATTACAGGTGTGAGCTGCTGCGCCTAACCATTGATGTTAATTTGATTGAGAGGGATGAATCTAGTTTTTCTTTAGGTTTTTTTTTTTAAGTTAATTTTAACTATTTAATTGGAGAAAAACAGAATTATAGGCCCAGCCTCCAGGCCCAATAGTCTCATTTCAGACAAGCTCTCTACCCCTATCTTTTTTTGTTGTTTAAACTTTTTATTTTAAACTAATTACAGATTCACAGGAGTTCCAAAAAAATGTACAAGGAGATCCCATATGTCCTCTACTGAGTCTCTCCCAATGGTATCATCTTGTATAACTGTACTACATTATCAAAACAAGGAAATTGATATTGATATAATCCACAGAGGTTATTCAGAGGGGAGGCAAGACATTAGAATGTAAAGAATATATGAAAGTATGAGGCAATATCCATGTATTGGAACCTTTTATAACCTTATACTTTACAGGAAAAAATTCTATAATGACAGTGATGACAGTTGTTACCAAATATGGAGCACCTACTGTATTCTAGGTTTAGGTATTTTATTATCATTATTTGTATTTATTTTGTATTTCTGCTATTATAGGCAGGTAATAGTTAATGAGCACTTTCATGGCAGTCAGTCTTTTTTTTTTTTAAAGATGGAGTTTCACTCTGTTGCCCAGGCTGGAGTGCAGTGGCGCGATCTCGGCTCACTGCAACTTCCGCCTCCTGGGTTCAAGTGATTTTCCTCCTGCCTCAGCCTCCCAAGTAGGCGCAAGCCGCCACACCCAGCTAATTTTTGTATTTTGGCGGAGACAGGCTTTCACCATGTTGGCCAGGCTGGTCTCAAACTCCTGACCTCAAGTGATCCGCCTGCCTCGGCCTCCCAAAGTTTTGGGATTACAGGCGTGGGCCACTGCACCCGGGCTGGCAGGCATAAAAAGCACCTGTAATCCCAGCTACTCGGGAGGCTGAGGCAGAAGGAGAATCACTTGAACCGGAGAGGGGGAGGTTGCAGTGAGCCGAGATCACGCCACTGCACTCCAGCCTGGGCAACAAGCAAGACTCTGTCTCAAAAAAAAAAGACTGACTGCCACGTAAGTGCTCAATAACTATTACCTGCCTATAATAGCAGAAATACAAATAATAATAAAAAAAATACTTTATATAGATAATGTATGTATGCAATATATGTATGTTAACTCATTGAATTCTCACCACCACGCTATGAGTTAAGTATACTCACTTTACAGACGAGAAACTTGAAGAACAAAGAAGTTTAGTAATTTGCCCAAGATCACACAGTAGCTGGCATTTGAACTGGGCATGACACCAGAGCTGGCACTCCTAATTACCATGGAGGTACATAAACTTCACTGTGCATAGCAACCTTTAAAGGTAGACATTTCCATTTTCTGTATGAGGAACCTGAGGTTCAAAGAAGGGAAGTAATTTGCTCAAGAACCTACACAACTAACAGGTGCTAGTGTGTCTGGAATTGGTTGGTGGGTTCTTGGTCTCACTGACTTCAAGAATGAAGCCGCGGACCCTCGCGGTGAGTGTTACAGTTATTAAAGGCGGCATGTCTGGAGTTTGTTCCTTTTGATGTTCGGATGTGTTCCGAGTTTCTTCCTTCTGGTGGGTTCGTGGTCTCGCTGGCTCAGGAGTGAAGCTGCAGACCTTCGCGGTGAGTGTTACAGCTCATAAAGGCACTGTGGACCCAGAGTGAGCAGCAGCAAGATTTATTGCAAAGAGAGAAAGAACTAAGCTGCCACAGTGTGGAAAGGGACCTGAGTGGCTTGCCGCTGCTGGCTTGGACAGCCTGCTTTTATTCTCTTATCTGGCCCCACCCACATCCTGCTGATTGGTAGAGCCGAGTGGTCTGTTTTGACAGGGCACTGATTGGTGCGTTTACAATCCCTGAGCTAGACACAAAGGTTCTCCACGTCCCCACCAGATTAGCTAGATACAGAGTGTGGAACACAAAGGTTCTCCAAGTCCCCACCAGAGTAGCTAGATACAGAGTGTCAATTGGTGCATTCACAAACCCTGAGGTAAACACAGGGTGCTGATTGGTGTGTTTACAAACCTTGAGCTAGATACAGAGTGCAGATTGGTGTATTTACAATCCCTGAGCTAGACATAAAGGTTCTCCACGTCCCCACCAGACTCAGGAGCCCAGCTGGCTTCCCCCAGTGGATCCCGCACCCTGGCTGCAGGTGGAGCTGCCTGCCTGTCCCACGCCGTGTGCCCACACTCCTCAGCCCTTGGGTGGTCGATGGGACTGGGCGCTGTGGAGCAGGGGGTGGCACTCGTCGGGGAGGCTCAGGCCGCACAGGAGCCCACGGAGCCGGGGGGAGGCTCAGGCATGGCAGGCTGCAGGTCCCGAGCCCTGCCCCGCGGGAAGGCAGCTAAGGCCCGGGAGAAATTGAGCACAGCAGCTGCTGGCCCAGGTGCTAAGCCCCTCACTGCCAGGGCCGGTGGGGCTGGCCGGCCGCTTTGAGTGCGGGGTCCACCGAGCCTACGCCCACCCGGAACTCGCGCTGGCCCGCAAGCACCACCCGCTGCCCCAGTTCCCGCCCGCACCTCTCCCTCCACCCCTCCCCGCAAGCTGAGGGAGCCGGCTCCAGCCTTGGCCAGCCCAGAAAGGGGCTCCCACAGTGCAGCGGCGAGTTGAAGGGCTCCTCAAGTGCCGCCAAAGTGGGAGCCCACGCAGAGGAGGTGCGGAGAGCAAGCGAGGGCTGTGAGGACTGCCAGCACGCTGTCACCTCTCACTGGAACCCTAGTTGGAGTCCAGCCCTGCCTAGCTGTAAACCCCTGCGACTTCTAGTGGACCATTCTAGATAGACCCTGGCCTATCACACTGATCTCAGCTGGATCTCTGAAGAGGTCTAGTTCTGAAATGCCCAAGGGAATGGTTTGCAAACTTCAGAATGCATTAGAATCACCTGGAAGGTTAAAAACCAGATTGGTGGCCTTTATCCTCAGGGTTTCTGTTTCAGTAAATTTGGGACAGCCTTTGAAGATGTGAATTTCTAACAAGAGCTCAGAGGATGCTAATGATGTTTCAGTTCCTAGAATATACTTTGACAACTACTAAATCTGGCCCAACAGAGCTCATTATAGATAGATTCAGCATTAAGATAAGAACAGAGTTAAAATAAGGGTTAATTAGGCATCATAGTAATAGATCATATATCACGCAACACTTCAAAATACTGCATGTCAGCTGGGCATGGTGGTTCACAACTGTAATCCCAGCACTTTGGGAGGCCGAGGCAAGTGGGTCGCTTGGGCCCAGGAGTTTGAGACCAGCCTGGGCAACATGCTGAAACCCTGTCTCTACGAAAAAAAAAAAAGGAAAGAAAAAATTAGCCGGGTATGGTGGAATGGTGGCATGGTGGCATGAGCCTGTAGTCCTAGCTACTTGGGAGGCTGAGGTGGGAGGATCACTTGGGCCTGGGAAGTTGAGGCTGCAGTGAGCCATGATCACACCACTGCACTCCAGCCTTGGTGACAAGAGTGAGACCCTGCATCAAAAAAAAAAAAAAAAAAAAAAAAAAAGTAATGAGTGTGTAAATTCATTGTTATAGATTTCTTGCTTGAAAAAATGTACCAAACGATTAGTGTTTCAAGGACAGCATTGAACAAACCAGTAATACCCAGTTCCATACTACTTTCTGAATAGATGTATGTACTACTTTCCTGGGTTTCTCTCTGCTTCTAGTTTTCCTCTTGAGTTTTCTCAAATGCTATTTTCTTTATGGCATTCTTCACCAAGACTGGCTCCATTGAGCATGCAAAGTCTATTCTGAGTTTTTTGGTGTTAGCTTAAATCTCATATACTCTGCCACTGCCTTCCCTAGCTCCTTGAAGGAACAAGCCTGTCCTCATTCTTGTATCAATTCTCAAAGAGGCAGATTGTCTCCATTAACTATTCTTCCTCTGTTTCTGAATTTTAGCCCATTTGCCAGATTCTCTGTTTCCCTTCTACTAGTCTCCTTTTCAGGGCTCTCCCCCTAGAGGTCCAGTCAGGAGGATTGGAGTTTCCTGCCCCATCTGGACTGACCTTTTGGAACTATCTCTGACACCAACAAACAAAACGGAACTACTGGGTTAGCTTCTCTGTTTTTAGTCACCCTGTTCAGGGGGATTCCTTTACAATCAAAACAAGGAAAAAAAGAAAACTGTTCATTATTAATCCTTTTTTTATTTCTGCTAATGGTGCTACACAGTTACTTGAGCTGAAAACATTAAGCAACTTTGATTTTTCATCCTTTTCTTTTGCATCCCACACTCAATCAATGCCAAATTGTAATGATTAAGTATCTTCACAGAGTCTCTCACATTTGCCTACTTTTCATTCCCAATGCCTCTGCCCTGTTCAAGACTTGTAAGAATTGTTTCATATTCGTGATATTTCAGAGTTGGGAGAAAGTATAAATATTACCTAGATCAATCATCCATTTTGTGCTTGAATTTTCACTTCAATATTCCCATCAGGTGGTTTTTCCAACCTCAATACTTCTCGAGTCATAGCCCATTAGCCTTCAGAGGATACCGTTAGAACATTTTTCTTGTAAGACACATGTGCATCTAATCATTTAAAACAAAAAGTGATTGTAATATTTAGATATTTAAAGTAAAAGCAGTTAAATATCTGTGGAAATAACAAAGGGCAAATGCATTAAGTAGAGCTCTTTTTTGTATTTGTGAAAATGATATAATTCTATCTTCAGTAATACCACACACCTGAATTATGGGTTCTGTTTCGAAATGTGATAATAATTAGAGTGCTAATCAGACTGGTGAAAATTAATTCTCGTGAATATAAGTGTCTTTAATAATTTTAATGAAGACAGACTGATGTCCTAAAACAGATGATTGCCTTGGATAATCTCATATAAGTAGGATTCTGATGTGTTTATTAGTTGCTTTTCTTTATTACTGAGCATAGATTATATGTGATATATGGTACCATGTATACACACATGATTATAATTGTGTAACATGAGTTAAAAGATAGTGTAAGATTGAATACTTCTAGGGCATGGGATTTAGTCTTGAAATACACACCTCATAGGATTTATCAGATTTCTATTTATAGTCTGTCACCATGTTATAAAAAACCCTGAAGTCTCTTGGAGAACTTCTCAAATAGAATTTCAACAGATTCTCCAGATGCCTATGAAGTCAAAGTTTTATAGTTCCTGCTGTGCCATTTATGCTTGGTTACCACTGGTTACCTTATGATGGACTTCAGACAAAATCTTTAACAACAAATCTTTTAATGTTTTTCTTCCTGCTTTCCCACAGTGTTGAATCCTGGAAACACTTGTCTTTCACCTACATGCTTATCCCAACACTTTCATTAGGGCTTGTTAAACGTTGCTATTCATATAACTAATGAGAATAAGAGCCTGGTAAGTGTTAGATCATCTTTAGAGCCCATTAGATATTAGAATGTCTTGTGCACTTGTTTTTGGCTACAAACCTAAGATCTGCCTAATCAAACTTGATGTTCTACATGGCAGAACATAGCTACCATACTGATCCCAAATTAGACTTCCCAGGTTTTTAGTTCTGCTTATAAATAGAAGCATCAGAGGAAACGTTTAACTTGTAGACAGATCAAGTCAATTAACAACTAGTAACACTACTATTTGGTTAAGTCAAGGATATCATAGAGCCATTTAGAGCAGTAGAAAAATATCAGTACCCAAGTGACCTAGAAGAGCTATTTAATTTCTAGAGATAAGAAATACCTGTTGTTTTATATTTATCTTCTTACTTTTTTCTTATGCTTCTACTTGTGACATGAAAAGAGGAAAAAATTACCCTCCATTTATTGTCGAGATAGTCATTAGAATGGAAAACTCTTTAAGAGTAGTTAAATTTTGCCACAGAAGTCTTTAGTAATACCACACACCAGGATTATAGGCTCTGTTTTGAAATGTGAGCAGAGCCATATATCTCTGTCTCCTCGCTGGATTTCAGTCAGTCCTCTTGGAGGCACTCTTGTGACATGTGAACTGATCCAAAGGGTACTCTGGCAAATCGTTGATCTTGGCACCCTTAAAATGCTAACTCCTTTTAGGGATAATTTAAATACAATTTGTGTTGACTTTATTACTCAAGATAATAACAAAGAAGGAAAGGGAAGGATAAACCACATGTGTGTTTCTACCCACCACTCATATGCAACCCTTTACTGTAGTGTATATCTTAGTATATACTGAGTGTAATTTATAGTGTAATATATAGTACAGCATATATCTAAGGGTATAGTGTTATGTATAGTCAGGCCTGGCTTTATGGACACGTGACTCATACAGCCAAACAGAGCTCCATGCATGGCTTAAAACTCTGCTGTCACTGTCTTAGAAATTCTGTTTTTAAATTGGTGGCTCAACATTTTCATTTTGCACTGGTCCTTACAAATATGTAGTCTGCCATATTTAGTGTAGCATATACGTAGTACCATGTATCAGTGTACCTATAGTGTAGCGTATGTATCTTGTACTCCTTACCTACCCACAATTCTTTTTTCACATGCATTCCTTCAGTTTTTTCCTTAAAACTGTCTATATAATATTTCCAGTTTAAATGTAAACAAGTGATATGGTTTTGCTCTGTGTCGCCACCCAAATCTCATCTTGCAGCTCCCATAATTTCCACGTGTTGTGGGAGGGACCCAGTGGGAGATGATTGAATCATGGGGGCGGGTCTTTCCCGTGCTGTTCTCATGATAGTGAATGGATCTCATGAGATCTGGTGGTTTAAAAAATGAGTTTCTCTGCACAAGCTCTCTCTTTGCCTGCTGCCACCCACGTAAGATGTGACTTGCTCCTCCTTGCCTTCTGCCATAATTGTGAGGCCTCCTCAGCCATGTGAAACTGTAAGTCCCAAAAACCTCTTTTTATTTTATTTTTTTGTAAATTGTCCAGTCTCAGTTATGTTTTTATCAGCAGCATGAAAACAGACTAATATAACAAGTAAGGTAAATGTAAATAGAATCATAGTACATATGCCATTCTGAAACCTGTTTTTTTCATTTAACACATTAGGGACATTGCTTCCTGTTAATTTATCTCATACTTTGTGATTTCTGAAGAATATTGTCTGGTATAGATAAACCATAATTTATTTAACCAGTCTCCTACTGATGGACATAAATTGTTTCCTGTTCTTTGCTGTGACAAAGAGTGAACATATTTGAATATACTTGTTTGTGGATTTGCCCTATTATTTCCTTAGAATAAGTTTCTAGAAGTAGAATTGCTGAGTCAAAGGGTAAGAACATTTTATGAACATTTTAAAATGTGATAATACTTTTGGGTTGCTCCTCAGAATGATTATACCAGATTATACCTATCTAAATCCCACCAGTAGTGTACAAGCATGTTTGTTGCCCCACGTGCTAACTGAGCATAATAACTCAATTGCATCTCTGCTAATCTGATAGTCCCTGCAATTTTTAATGGTCTTGGCCTGTGTTATTAGCTCACTGGGATATCACTGATTCTGCTAATATGGAATGGCAGTGTATTAAATTAAACATCATTGTACCTATCAAAGTGAGTACCTTTTAGGTAGTAATTTTGGATTGGCCTTTTTAGCCAAATATGAGGTACTCTAAGCTCCCATCTTTTCTTTTAAGCTAATAAGGTTTTTACTTTCCATGTGTACCATTTAGGGATCCTGTAAGTGCTCAAAGAGATCTTCAGGACACTGACCTTACTTTCTGCTCTTAATCCCTGACTATTTAAAAAAATTATTTTAAAACAAGTTCAGACTTTCAAAAAAGTTGTAAAAGAATAGTACAAAGAATTCTCATATACCTTTCATCCAAGTTCCCCAAATGTTAACATTTTACACATTTACTCTTGCATCTCTCTCTCTTTCTCTGAACTCTCAGAGTTGAGTTGCAGACATGATGTTTCTACCCCAAATGCTTCAAGTTCATTCTCTTCCATAATCACAGTCTAATTATCTAAATCAGGAAAATTGACATGAAATTCTTATCTATAGACATCATTTAAATTTCATCAATTTTCCCAAAAATATTCTTTATAGAAAAAGAAGAAAAAAAATTTCGAGTTCAGGATTCAAACCAACATCACACATTACAGTTGTCATGAATACCTCCTTTCTTTTTTTGATCATATTTTTTTCCAGACAAATCCCAGGATGATATAGATAAATACTTTTTGGCAACCTAAATACTAAAAATATGGTTGGTTAGTTTTTTTGTATCTATATGTTCTAAAACAGAGAAAAATTGCTTAAAAAGGAAAAGACAAGGCCGGGTGCGGTGGCTTACGCCCCTAATCCCAGCACTTTGGGAGGCCAAGGTGGGTGGATCACTTGAGGCCGGGAGTTCGAGACGAGCCTGGCCAACATGGGGAAACCCCGTCTCTACTAAAAATACAAAAATTAGCCGGGCGTAGTGGCGTGCTTCTCTAATCACAGCTACTCGGGAGGCTGAGAAAGGAGAATTGCTTGAACCCGGGAGGCGGAGGTTGCAGTGAGCTGAGATCACGCCACTGCACTCCAGCCTGGGTGACAGAGTAAGACTCTGTCTCAAAAAAAAAAAAAGAGGAAATGACGAGATCCAACAGGTTAGAGAAGTGGTGTATTCTGACCATAGATAATAGAAATTTGCAGCATTGAATCATAAGTTGTAAAAAATTAAAATTTCAGAAACCTTTAACAATACTCTGAACTTTAAGAAAAGGTTTTCCAGAGACTTTCTAAACGGATTGTTTGCCACCGTTGCTAATAGTATCAGATGTTGAGAAGTTTTATTTGATTACATGCAAATAAAGTTACCTCTAAGTCCCTAGAAAGCCTAGAGAAAAGGGAAAATTGAACAGATATAATGAGAAATACCTCTTCCCACTCAACATTGGAGATGAACAGCATTTGTGTTCTTAATAAGATAACACTAAACAGCTTTCCTTTCTCTCGAATCTTTTGTTAAAGACCAACATAACGCGTAGATCCAAAATGGTGGCATAGCAGCAAGCTGGCTTCACTCTCCCCCACAGAAAACTAAAAACAAATGTACAGCTCCAAGATTATCACTAGCAATATCCCAGAACTCAAATATGAAGATGAGACAGTTCCTGCGCCCACAGAAAAGTGAAAAAAGTCTGAGAAGACAGAGAATAGAACTTCCACATCTATGATGTCCCGCCCCACATTTGGCCCAGCAATAAGGGTGCGAAAATTCTTCCCCGACACAGTTTCTACACTGGAAAAAGTGAGACTGAAGTGGACAACCAGCTTCCTCATCAATTTGGGTTCCCTGGCAGGAGACTTGTGCCTGCTTTAACCACAGGGCACATTGTGAGTGCCTAAAGGGAGAAATATCCCTGAGAATAGGCAGAGACAAAGGGAGGAGGCAGTACTACCATGCAGCCCTGAAAACTCTGCTGTGTAACTCAGCTAAAGGGGACACCAGATGAGAATGATTGCTCAGCAGCAACATGCTGTAGGAGATTTGTTCCACAGGTCCCCTGGGCACAAACTACTAGCCAGCCTTCTACACTGCCAAAATATCTTCTTTAGGACTTCCCCAGTTTGGGAAGGGCAGTGCTATGATTGTTTACTATAACTGAGGTGAAGCTGGGCTTAAGGAGCCACATAGAACTGAAAAGGAGGAAGCAACCTAGTGGTTAAGAACCTCTGAGCAAATATAAAAACCAAAATAAGCTAGTCAAAGAAGACTGGAATAAATAATCTTTCAATGCAAAGACACAGATGTACATCCACAAGAAACAACAGCAAATGGGGAAAGATGATCTCCCCAAATGGACAAAGCAAGGAACCAGTAACTGACCCCAGTGAGATGGTAATATGTGAACTCTCTGACCAATAATTTAAAACAGCAGTTTTAAGGAACTCAGTGATTTCCAAGATAACACAGAAAAGCAGTTCAGAAGTTTATCAGAGAAATTTAACAAAGAGATTGAAATAATAAAAAAAATCAAACAGAAGTCTTGGAACTCAGAAATACATTTGCTGAACTGAAAAATTCATTAGAAGCTCTCAACAGCCAAATGGATCAAGCAGAGGAAAAAAATCAGTGCTCTCAAAGACAAGCTATTTGAAAATACACAATGAAAGGAGAAAAAAAGGAAACCAACAAAGATCATCTACAAGATATAGAAAATTGCCTCAAAAGACCAAATCTAAGAATTATTGGTGTTCAAGAGGGAGTTGAGCAATAGCATGGGGTGGAAAGCTTATTCCAAGCAATAATAAAATGAAACTTTCCAAAACTTGAGAAAGACATAAATATTCAGGTACAGGAAGGTCAGAGAACACCAAACAGATTTGATTAAAATAAAACTACCCCAAGGCATATAATAACACTCAAAGGACAAGGACAAAGGAAAAATGCTGAAAGTGGCAAGAGAAAATAAGCAGATAACATATAAAGGAGCTCCAGTTTATCTGGCAACAGACTTCTCAATGGAAATCACATAGGCCAGGAGGGAGTGGAATAACATTTTTAAAGTGAGGGAGTTTTTTTTTTTAACTGCCATCCAAGGATACTGCCTCCAGCAAATTTATCCTTCAACCATGAAGGAGACAAAAGTCTTTCCCAGACAAACAAAAGCTGAGAGAATTCACCACCATCAGATTCACCTTACAAGACATATGAAAGGGAGCTCTTCAACCTGAAACAATTTGTTTGTACTAATGTACAAAACAAAAAGAAAAGAAAACTAAAAAAAATTTGAAACTATAAAACCCACTGGTGAATCTAAGTACATGAACAAACTCAGAATACTCTCATACTGTAATTGTGGTATGCATTCTACTCATAATTCTAGTATGAAGCCCAAAAGACAAATCTGTCAAATACAATAATAGCTACAGTAACCTGTCAAGAGATAGACAATTTAAAACACATAAATTGAGACAACTAAAAGTCAAGAGGGGGAGGGGGATGGAGTTAATATGTAAATTTTTTTTAAATTATTTTCTTTGTTTTTATTCTATTTTTTGTGATCTAAGATAAGTTGCCATCTCTATAAAATAATTTCTTATGTCTGCAAGATGCTTTTTATAATCCTCAAGGTAACCACAACACAAAAACCTATAATAGATACACTAAAAATAAAAAACAATGAATTAAAAATACTACCAGCGAAAATCACTTAGCCATGAAAGAAGACAGCAAGAAAGGAAGTAAGAGGAGAGAAGGTACAAAACCACCAGAAAATAAGAATCAAAATGGCATTAGTAAGTCTTTGCTTACCGATAATAACACTGAATATAAATGGACTCAATTCTCTGATTAAAAGGCACAGGGTGGCTGAATGGATAAAGAACCAAGACTTGGCTACATGCTACCTACAAGAAACCAATTTCACCTATAAAGATGCACATAGACTGAAAGTGAAGAGGTGGAAAAAGAGATTCTATGCAACTGGAAACAAAAAAAGAACAGGAGTAGCTATACTTATATCAGATGAAACAGACTACAAATCAAAGACTGTAAGAAGAAACAAAGCAGGTCACTATATAATAATAAAGGAGTCAAATCAGCAAGAGGATTTAACAATTATAAATATCTATGCACCCAAAACAGGAGATCCCAAGTATATAAAACAAACATTAATATATCTAAAGGGAGAGATAGATCACAATACAATAATAGTGGGGACTTTAATACTCTACTGTGAGTAATGAACAGATTATCCAGAAAGAAAATCAACAAAGAAACATTGGAGTTAAACTACACACTAGACCTAATAGGCCTAACTTATTTACCAAATATTTTACCCAACTGCTGCAGAATACATATTCTGTTTATCAGCACATGGAATAGTCTCCAGAACAGACCATATCTTAGGCCACAAAACAAGTCTGAACAAATTTTAAACAGTAGAAATCATATCAAGTATCTTTCCTGGCCAGGTGAGGTGACTCATCCCTACAATCCCAATACTTTGGGAACCTGAGATGGGAGGATCACTTGAGCCTAGGGGTTTCAGAGCAGACTGGGCAACATAGTGAGACTCCATCTCTACAAAAAATAAACAAAATTAGCCAGGCATGATGGCACCTGCCTGTAGTCCCAGCTACTTGAGAGGCTGAAGTGGGAGGATCACTTGAGCCTGGGAGCTTCAGGCAGCAGTGAGCCGTGATCATACCACTGCACTCCAGCCTGGGCAACAGAGCAAGACCCTGTCTCTGAAAAGAAATAATAAATAAAAATAATTTTTAAAATTACCTTTTTCTGATCACAGTGGAATAAAACTAGAAATCAATAATAAGAGAAACCTCAAAAACTTCACAAACAAGTGGAAATTAAACAACATGCTCCTGAATGACAAATGGATCAACGAATAAATTAAGAAGGAAATTAAAAATTTTTGAAGTTAATGAAAAGGAGAATACAGTATACCAAAATCTGTGGGATAAAACAAAGCCGTACTAAGAGGGAAGTTTATAGCAATAAACACCTATATCAAAACAGTAGAACAACCTCAAATAAACAACTTAATGATGCACCTCAAGGAACTAGAATAGCAAAACAAATCAAAATTAGTAGAAGGAAGGAAATAATAAAGATAGAGCAGAAATAAATGAAATTGAAACTAAAAAAATTATGGAAGTTCAATGAAACAAAAAGGATTTTTTTTGAAAAGATAAATAAAATCACCAAACCATTAGCTAGACTAAGAAGAAATAAGAGTGAAGAGCTAAATAAATAATCAGAAACAACTGAGACTACAGAAATGCAAAGGATCATTAGAGATTATTATGAACAACTATATGCCAACAAATTTGAAAACCTAGAAGAAATGGATACATTCCTGGATACAGCAACCTACCAAGATTGAACCATGAAAAAATAGAAAACCTCAGCAAACCGATAATGAGTAATGAGAACAAAGCTGTAATAAAAAGTGTACCATCAAAGAAATGCCTAGGACCTCATAGCTTCACTATTGAATTCTACTAAACATTTAAAGAAGAACTAATACCAATTCTACTCAAACTCTTCAAAAAAAAAGGAAGACAAGGGAATACTTCCAAATTCATTCTATGAGGCCAGCATTACCCTAATACCAAATCAGAGAAAGACACAACAAAAAGAAAACTACAGGCCAATATCCCTTATGAAAATCGACGCAGGAAAAAAAGTCCTCAAGAAAGTACTAGCAAGTTCTCTTTCCCATCTTGCAAGACGGTGGGTGAAAAAGTTGAGAAGCTGGATACTAAGTAGAAGGAACCTGAAGCCAAGAAGGCTGTTGCTAATGGCAAGGTGAAAAAGGGTAAGAAAAGGCCAAAAAGGGGAAGCCTCATTGCAACTGAAGTCCTGTCTTCATCAGAGAAATTGGCAGATATTCCCAATCTGCTATGTATTGTGGAAAGGTTATGTACAAGAGGAAGTATTCAGCCAGTAAATCAAAGATTGAAAAGAAAAAGGAGAAGGTTTAATACAAAAGCAGTTGGTGGTGACAAAGTTGAAGGTACTCAGGTGGTTACACTTTGCAAAATGCATAGCTATTATCCTACTGAAGATGTGCGCTGAACGCTGTTGAGCCACAGCCAAAAATCTTTCAGTCAGCACGGAGAAAACTGCGAGGCAGCATCACTCCCAGGACTATTCTGTCCATCCCCCCTGGGCACCACAGAGGCAAGAGGGTGGTTTTCGTGAAGGAGCTGGGCAGTGGCTTCTCACTTGTGACTGGATCTTTGGTTCTCAGTTGAGTTCTTCTATGAAGAACACACAAGAAATTTGTCATTGCCAC
This sequence comes from Homo sapiens, assembly GCF_000001405.40. Lineage (NCBI taxonomy): Eukaryota > Metazoa > Chordata > Mammalia > Primates > Hominidae > Homo > Homo sapiens. Next base: position 160,585,513 of record NC_000003.12, read on the forward strand.
CTCCACAAAAGTTGTTATCAGCAATGTGAAAATCCTAAAACATCTTACTCATACTTACTTCAAGAAGAAGAAGCTGTGGAAGCCCAGACACTGGGAAGGTGAGATCATCAACAAAGGAAAAAGAAAAGGAGATTACAGAGCAGTGCAAGGTTGATCAGAAAGCAGTGGACTTGCAAATTTTACTAAAAATCAAAGCGATTCCTTAGCTCCAGGGCTACCTATGATCTGTGTTTTCCCAGATAAATGAAATTTATTCTCAAAAATTGGTGTTCTAAATATCTTAAGAAGAACCTAATTAATTTTTTGATGTGTTGTTGAATTTGACTTTCTAGTTTTTTTAAATGTATCTGTAAATACACTAAAAAAATCAGCAACACATCAAAAAGATAATTCACCATTATCAAGTGAGATTCATCCCATGGATGCATGGATGGTTCAACATACACAAATCAATAAATGTGACACGTCACATTAACAGAACCAAGAACAAAAGCCATATGATTATTTTAATAAATGCTGAAAAAATATTTGATAAAATTCAGTATTCCTTTATGACAAAAGCCTTCACAAACTGGGCATAGAAGAAACATAGCTCAAAATAATAAAGGTCATATATGATAAACCTACAGCTAACATTAGTATGGAAAAAACTGAAGGCCTTTCCTCTAAGATTTGGAGTAAGACAGGAATTGCCACTTGCACTACTTTTATTCAACATAGTAATGGAAGTCCTGGCCAGATCAATAGGGAAGAGAAAGAAATAAAGGGCATCCAGATTAGAAAGGAAAAAGTCGAATTACTCTTGTTCACAGATAACATAATCTTATACTTAGAGAAACCTCAAGATGCCACCAAAAACCTGTTAGAAGTTATTACAAAACTCGATAAAGTTGTAGGATACAAAATCAACATACAAAAATCCATAGCATTTATATACGGCAACAGTGAACAATCTGAAAAAGAAATCAAGAAAGCAATCCCATTTAAAATAGCTACAAATAAAATAAAATACCTAAGAATCAACTTAATCAAAGAAATGAAAGATCTATACAAAGAAAACTATAAAACACTGATAAAAACAGTTGAAGAGGACACAAACAAAAGATATTCCATGCTTGTGGATTGGAAGAATTAATATTGTTAAAACGACAATACTACCCAAAACAATTTACAGATTCAATGCAATCTCTATCAAAATACCAGTGACATTCTTCACAAAATAGAAAAAACTTCTAAAATTTCTATGGAACCACAAAACACTCCAAATAGCCAAAACGCTCCTGAGCAAAAATAACAAAACTAGAGGCATCACACGTCCGACTCTAACACTTACTACTGGCAGAGGGGTGGAGTGAGATGGCAGAATAGAAGGTTGCAATAATTGTCTTGTCCACCACCCATGGGAAGACCAAATTTAACATCTACACACACAGACACAAACACACACACAACACTTTCATAAGAACCAAAAAATTAGGTGAGCACTCACAGTACCTTGTATTAACTTCACATTACTGAAAGAGGCACTGAAAAGGTCAGGAAAAACAGTCTTTAACAGTCTTTAATTGCTGTTTCCTGGTCCCCCAGCAGTGGCTGCATGGTGTGGAGAATCTGTGTGCTTGGGGAGGGAGAATGCAGTGATTGTGAGACTTTTCATTGAACTCAGTTCTGGTAAGCCTTTTCATTGAGTGTTGGAGTGTTCTGGGGCTCTAAATAAACTTGAAAGACATTCTAGGCCATAAGGAATACAACTCCTAGGTGGGTCTTAGTGCCAAGCTGGGCTCAGAGCCAGTGGACTGGTGGGGGCACATGACCTACTGAGACACCAGCCAGGGCAGCTAAAGGAGTGCTTGCACCACTCCTCCCCCAACCCCAGGCTGAACAGCTTGCAGGTCTGATAGAGATCCCTTCTTTCCGCTTGAGGAAAGGAGAGGGAAGAACAAGAGGACTTTGTCTTACATCTTGGATAACAGCTCAGCCACAGTAGGATAGGGTAATGGGCATAGTCATGAGGGCACCGTTCCAGGCCCTAGCTCCTGGACAGCATTTCTAGACACACCTTGGGCCAGAAGGGAACCTGCTGCCTTGAAGAAAAGGACCTAGCCATGGCAGGACCCATCATCATTTGCTGACTAAAGAGCACTTGGGCCCTGAATAACTAGTAGCAATATCCAGGTATTCTGGGCTGTGGTTGAGACTCTGAGAATTGCCAGCTTCAGATGAGACATAGCACATTCCCAGCTTTAGTGGCTATAATGAGAGACTCCCTCTGCTTGAGAAAAGCAGAGGGAAAACAGTAAAAGGGAACTTTGTCTCGCACCTTAGATACCAGTTGAGCCACAGGAGGGTAGAGCACCAGGCAGGCTCTTGGGGACACTAATTCCAGGTGTGGCTCTTAGATGGCATTTCTGGCCTGACCTGGGCCACAGGGGAGCCTACTTTCCTGAAGAGTGAGTCCCAGGCTTGGCAACATTCACCACAAGCTGACTGAAGAGTCTTTGGGCCTTAAGTGAACATTGGTGGAAGCCTGGCAGTATTCCCTGTGGGCCTGTGGTAATGGTGGCCACAGAGTGAGACTCCTCTGCCTATGGAAAGCAGAGGGAGGACTGGGAAGGGTGTCATGGTTTGAGAGACACAAGCCTGTCTGGCTTCACCACCTGCTGATTGTACAGTTCTAGGTTCTTGAGCAAACATAGGTGGTAGCCAGGTAACAGCAGGCCTTGAGCAAGATCCAGTGCTGTGCTGGCTTCAGGTCTGACCCAACATAGTCCCAGTGGTGGTGGCCACAGGGGTTTCTTGTGTCACCCCACCCCCAGCTCCAGGAGGCTTGGCACAGAGAGAGAGAGAGAGAGACTCTGTTTGGGATAAAGGGAAGAGAACAAGAGTCTTTGCCTGGTTAATCCAGATAATTCTTCCAGATCTTATTCAAGACCACCAAGGTGGTACTTCTATGAGTATTCAAGAACCACAGCATTACTGGGCTTTGAGTTTCCCCTAATACAGATAGAACTTAGATCACAACACCCAAGCTGTTTCAAATACCTGGAAAGCCTTTCCAAGAAGGACAGACACAAACAAACCCAGACTGGGAAGACTACAATAAATACCCAACTTTTCAATGCCCAGATACTGACAAACATCTACCAGCATCAACAACATCAAAGAAAACATGACCTCACCAAACAAACTAAATAAGGCACCAAAGACCAATCCTGGAGAGACAGAGATATGTGACATTTTAAACAAAGAATTCAAAATAGCTGTGTTTAGTAAACTCAAAGAAATTCAAGATAACACAGAGAAAAAATTCAGAATCCTATAAGATAAATTTAACAAAGATATTGAAATAATTAAAAATAATCAGGCAAAAATTCTGGAGTTGAAAAATGCAATTGATATACTGAAGAACACATCAGTCATTTAATAGCAGAATTGATCACACAGAAGAAAGAATTAGTGAGCTTGAAGACAGGCTATGTGAAAATACACAGAGGAGACAAAAGAAAAAACAATAAAAAGTAATGAAGCATACCTACAAGGTCTAGAAATTAGCCTCAAAAGGGCAAATCTAAGAGTTATTGGCTTTAAAGAGGAGATTGAGAACGAGATAGGGGTAGAAAGCTTATTCAAAGGAAAAAGAGAACTTCCCAAACCTAGAGAAAGATATCAATATCCAAGTACAAGAAGGTTACAGAACACCAGCAGATTTAGCCCAAAGAAAACTACTAGGCATTTAACAATCAGACTCCTAAAGGTCAAGGATAAAGAAAGGATCCTAAAAGCAACAAGAGAAAAGAAACAAACAACATGCAATGGAGCTCCAATACATCTGGAAGCAGACTTTCCAGTGGAAGCCTTACCGGCCAGTAGAGAGTGGCATGACATATTTAGAGTGCTGAATGAAAAAAACTTTTACCCTAGAATAGTATGTCTGGTGAAAATATCCTTCAACCATGAAGGGGAAGTAAATAGTTTCCCAGACAAACAAAAGAATGAGGGACTTTATCAACACCAGACCTGTCCTATAAGAACTGCTAAAGGGAGTACTTCAAACAGAAAGAAAAGGATGTTAATGAACAATAAGAAATAATCTAAAGGTGCAAAAGTGACTAGTAGTATTAAGTATACAGAAAAAACACAGAATATTATAACGCCGTAACTGTGGTGTGTAAACAACTATTAAGTAGAGAGACTAAATGATGAATCAATTAAAAATAATAACTACATCAACTTTTCAAGACATAGTACAATAAATAGAAATAACAAATAGTTAAAAAGCATGGGGATGAAGTAAAAGTGTAGAGCTTTTACTTTCTTTTTGCTAGTTTGTTTGTTTATGTAAACAGTGTTAAGTTGTTGTCAGCTTAAAATAATGGATTATAAGATTGTATTTGCAAGTCTTATGGTAACCTCAAACCAAAAAACACACAACAGATACACAAAAAATAAAAAGCAAGAAATGAAATCATACCATAAGAGAAAATTACCTTCACTAAAAGGAAGACAAGAAGGAATAAAATAAGGAAGAGAGGCCACAAAGCAAAAATCAAATAACAAAATGGCAGGAGTAAGTTTTTACTTGTCAATAATAACATTGAATATAAATGGACTAAACTGTCCAATCAAAAAACATAGAATAGCTGGATGGATCAGAAAACCAGACACAATATAGGCTTGGTGCCTGTAAGAAACACAGTTCACCTATAAAAATACACACAGACTGAAAATAAATGGATGGAAAAAGGTATTCCCTGTCAATGGAAACTAAAAAAAAAGAGCAGGAGTAGCTATACTTATATTAGACAAAATAGATTTCAAGACAAAAACTATAAGAAGAGACAAAAAACATCATTATATGATGAGAAAGGGTCAATTCAGGAAGAGACTATAACAATTGCAAGTAAGTATGCACCCAACACTGGAGCACCCAGATATATAAAGCTCGCTTTAGCTCTTATTAGAGTTAAAGAGAGAGATAGACTCTAATACAATAATAGCTGGAGACTTCAACACCCCACTTTCAGCATTGGACAGATCTTCCAGACAGAAAATCAACAAAGAAACTTCAGACTTAATCTGCACTATAGACCAAATGGACCTAATCAATATTTACAGAACATTTTATCCAATAACTGCAGAATGCACATTGCTTTCCTTAGCACATGAATCATTCTCAAAGATAGACCATATGTTAGGTCACAAAACAAGTCTTAAAACATTCAAAAAATTGAAATAATATCAAGCATCTTCTCTGACCACAATGGAATAAAACTAGAAATTAATAATGAGGAATTTTGGAAAATATGCAAATACATGGAAATTAAACAATATGCTCCTGAATGATCAGTGGGTCAATGAAGAAATTTAGGATGAAATTGAAAAATTTTTTGAAACAAATGATAATGAAAACACAACATACCTATGAGATACAGTGAAAGGAGTACTAAGAGGGCAGTTTATAGCTATAAATGCCTACATCAAAAAAGAAGAAAAACTTGAAATAAACCACCTAATAATGCATCTTAGGGAACTAAAGAAGCAACAGTAAACCAAGTCCAAAATTAGTACAAGAAAAGAAATAATAAAGATCAGAGCAGAAATAAATGAAATTTGAATGAAGACAACAATACAAAAATAAATGAAACAACTTTTCAACACAAAAAGGAAACTTTTTTGAAAAGTTCAACTAAATTGACAAATCTTTAGCCAGACTATGAAAAAAAGCAGATCCAAATAAATCAGCGATGAAAAAGGGGATGTTTCAACTGATACCACAGAAATTCCAAGGATCATTAATGGCTACTATGGGCAACTATATGCCAATACACTGGAAAATCTAGAAGAAATGCATAAATTCCTACACATATAAAACCTACCAAGATTGAACCATAAAGAAATTCAAAACCTGAAGAGATCAATGATAAGCAATGAGATTGAAGCCATAATAAAAAGTCTTTAAGCAAAGAAAACCCCAGGACCCAATGGTTTCACTGCTGAATTCTACTAAACGTTTAAAGAATAACTAATACCAATCCTACTCAAACTATTCCAAAAAATAGAGGAGGAGGGAATATTTCCAAACACATTCTACAAGGTAGTATTACCCTGATAGCAAAACCAAACAAAGATACATCAAAAAAAAAGAAAACTGCAGTCCAATATCTATGTTGAATATTGATGCAAAAGTCCTCAACAAAATACTAGCAAACTGAATTCAACAACATTAAAGAGATCATTCATCATGACCAAGTGGGATTTATCTCAGGGATGCAAGGATGGTTCAACATATGTAAATCACTCAGTGTGATACATCATATCAACAGAATGAAGCACAAAAACCATATGATTATTTCAATTGATGCTGAAAAGCAGTTGATAAAATTTAACATCCCTTGATGATAAAAACTCTAAAAAAAACATGGTATATTAGATATATACTGAGGAGTATATTTCTAACATAATAAAAGCCATATACCACAGACCCATAGCTAGCATCATAATGAAGGGAAAAAGCTGAAAGCCTTTCCTGTGGAACGTGACAAGGATGCTGACTTTCACCACCGTTATCCAACATAGTACTAGAAGTCCTAGCTACAGCAATCAGATGATAGAAATAAAAGGCATCCAAACTGGAAAAGAAGCAGTTGAATTATCCTTGTTTGCAAATAGCCATGATCTTGTATTTGGAAAAGCCTAAAGACTCTACCAAAAAACTATTAGAGCTGATAAAAAAATTCAGTTAAGTTACAAGATATAAAATCAACATACAAAAATCAGTAGCATTTTATATGCCAATAACAAACAATCTGGAAAAGAAATCAAGAAAGTAATCCCATTTACAAACACTACAAATAAAATAAAATACCTAGGAATTAACCAAAGAAGTGAAAGATCTCTAGAATGAAAACTGTAAAACATTGATGCAAGAAATTGAAGAGGACACAAAAAAGTGGAAAGACATTCCATGTTCATGAATTGGAAGAATCAATATTGTTAAAATGTTCATACTACCCAAAGCAATCTACTGATTTAATGCAATTCCTATCAAAATACCAATGCATTCTTCACAGAGATAGAAAAAAAATCCTAAAATTTATGTGGAAGGACAAAAGACCCAGAATAGCCAAAGCTGTCCTGAGTAAAAAGAACAAAACTGGAGGAATCACATTACCTGACTTCAAATTATGCTACAGAAGGATAATAACCAAAACAGCATGGTACTGGCATAAAAACAGACACATAGACCAGTGGGAAATAATAGATAACTGAGAAATAAATACATGCATCTATGGTGAACTAATTTTTGAAAAAGTTTCCAAGAGCATACATTGGGAAAGGATGGTCTCTTCAATAAGTGGTGCTGGGGAAACTAGATATTCATACACAAAGAATGAAACTAGATCCCTATATCTTGCTGTCTATAAAAATCAAATAAAAATGTATTAGATAATTAAATCTAAGACATCTAATGATGAGAGTACTAAAAGAAAACATTGGTGGAACTCTCCAGGACATTGGAGTGGGCAAATACTTCTTGAGTATTTGGTTGCCCCATAGGCACAGGCAACCAAAGCCAAATTGGACAAATGGGATCACGTCAAGTTAAAAAGCTTCTACACAGCAAGGGAAACAATCAACGAAGTGAAGAGACAACCCATAGAATGGGAGAAAATATCTGCAAACTACCCATCTGACAAGGGATTTATAACTAGGGTATATAATTAGCTTAAACAACTCTATAGAAAAAAATCTAATAATCTGATTTTAAAATGAGCAAAAGACCTGAATAGACATTTCTCAAAAGAAGACATACAACTGACACCATGTATATGAAAACGTGCTCAACATCACTGATTATCATAGAAATACAAATCAAAACTTCAATGAAATATTATCTCACCCCAGTTAAAATGGCTTATATCCAAAAGACAGGCAATAACAAATGCTGGCGAGGATGTGGAGAAGAAGGAAAACTTGTACTCTGTGGGTGGGAATACAAATTAGTACAACCACTATGGAGAATAGTTTAGAGGTTCCTTAAAAAGGGAAAGCATTAGGAGACATACCTAATGTAAATGATGAGTTAATGGGTGCAGCACACCAACATGGCACATGTATACATATGTAACAAACCTGCACGTTGTGCACATGTACCCTAGAACTTAAAGTATATAAAAAAAAGATTAAGTACCTATTAAGGATAATAGCTTCGAGCTCCATCCATGTCTCTGCAAAGGACATGATCTCATTTCTTTTAGTGGCTGCATAGTGTTCCATGGTGTATATGTACTACATTTTCTTTATTCAGTGTATAATAATGGGCATTTAGGTTGATTCCACATATTTGCTATTGTGAACAGTGCTGCTATTGTAGAACAGTGTATGTACTACATTTTCTTTATTCAGTGTATCATTGATGGGCATTTAGGTTGATTCCACGTATTTGCTATTGTGAACAGTGCTGCAATGAACACACACATGCATGTGTCTTTATAATAGAATGATTTATATTCCTTTGGGTATATACCCAGTAATGGGATTGCTGGGTCGAATGGTATTTTTAGTTCTAGGTCTTTGAGGAATTGCCACACTGTCTTCCACAATGGTTGAATTAATTTACACTCCCACCAACTGTGTAAAAGTGTTTCTTTTTCTCCACAACCTCGCCAGCATGTGTCATTTTTTGACTTTTTAATAATTGCCATTCTGACTGGTATGAGATGGTATCTCACTGTGGTTTGGATTTGCATTTATCTAATGACCAGTAATGTTGAGCTTTTTTTCATGTGCTTGTTGGGAGAATGGATGTCTTCTTTTGAGAAGTGTCTGTTCATGTCCTTTGCCCACTTTTTAATGGGTTGTTTGTTTTTTAAGTTACTTGTAGATGCTGGATATTAGATCTTTGTCAGATGCATAGATTGCAAAAATTTTCTCCCATTCTGTAGGTTGCCTGTTTACTCTGTTGATAGTTTCTTTTGCTGTGCAGAAGCATTTAAATTTAATTAGATGGACAAATTGGATGGCTTCAAGCTAAAAATCTTCTGCACAGCAAAGGAAGCAATCAGCAAAGTGAAGAGACAATACACAGAATAAGAGAAAATATTTGCAAGCCACCCATCTGACAAGACATTAATAATCAAAATACATAAGGAGCTTAAACAACTTACTAGCAAAAATCCAAATAATCTGATTGAAAAATGAGCAAAAGATCTGAATAGACTTTCTCCAAAGACATACAAATGGCAAACAGGCATATGAAAAAATACTCAACATCACTAATAATCAAGGAAATGCAATGCAAAACCACAATGAGATATCATCTCACCCCACTTAAAATGGCTTTTATCCAAAAGACAGGGAATAATGGATGCTGGTGAGGATGTGGAGAAAGGGGAACCGACATACACTGTTGGTGGAAATGTAAATTGGTGCAGCCACTGTGGAAGACAGTATAGAGGTTCCCCAAAAAACTAAAAATAGAACTACCATATGATCCAGCAATTCCACTGCTGAGTATATATCCAAAAGAAAGGAGATCAACATATCAAAGAGACATCTGCACTACCATGTTTATTGCGGCAGTATTCAGAATCAACCTAAGTGCCCATCAATGGATAAATGGATAAAGAAAATGTGCTATATATACACAATGGAATATTACTCAGTCATAAAAAAGAGTGAAATCCTTTCATCTGCAGCAACATAGATGGAACTGGAGGTCATATGTTAAGTGAAATAAGCCAGGCACAGAAAGACAAATATTGCATGTGGTCACTCATATGTTAGAGCAAACAAAGTGGATCTCATGAAGATAGAGTGTAGATTGATGGTTACTAGAGGCTGGGAAGGGTAATGGGGGGGGGATGAAGAGAAGTTGATTAATGGTAAAACTGTACAAATGTATAGGTTGATAGAAGAAATAAGACCTAGTGTTAGGGGATCAGTAGGGTGACTATAGTCTATGATAATCTATTGTATATTTTAAAATAGCTAGAAAAGAATAATTTGAATGTTTCTAGCATAAAAGACAAATATTTAAAGTGATCAATATCCCAAATACACTGATATATTCTTTACAAACTATATGAATGTATTAAATTGTCACATGTACCCTCAAACTATGTACATCTGTTATGCATCAATAAAACAAAATAAAAATATACATTGTGCCTATAGTTAACAATACTATATCATACACTTAAATTTTGCTGTTATTAATAAAATAAAAACAAAAATTTAAAAACATACAAATAAACAAAAAACACCTACACACCCCCATAGCCCCAATCTCTAGCCTCAATCTCATAGTATGGTACAAACAAAAATTTTAATTATTAATAAAAAATAATCCTCCCAATAATGTGAAATATGTTGATAGGGTAAATTAAAGCTTTAACTATGGCTAACACCTGAGTAGGCTCCTTGAGGCACTGAGGAGGCAGATGGTTTAGATCAGTTTACCTGAGAGCTTCTACACTTCAAGGTGAATTAATAGATAAGGATTAGACGAATATTTTGCTTATTAAACAAACCTTCAGAAAGTGCTCACTTAATGTGAACAATGTTTTAAGCATCTCAAATGAAAATTCATTATCTTATTATTTGAGCTCCACTTTACAAATGAGGAAATAGAGGCCCAGAGAGGTAGAATAATTTTTCCAAGGTCACATAGTTAGTGGATGGAAGAGCTAAGAAACTGCGGGAATCTTCAGGTAAGGCCTATAGGATCCCGAGTGGCTTAATCTCATGAACTTTGGAAACTGACCCACCAGTCTCACTTCCGGACTAGGACCTCATAGTGAGAAGAAATGGCTGAGATTGCAGTCAAAATGTAGCAGGATAGGAACAATGAGGAAGGAAAGAGAAGCCCAGACTAAAGTGGGAGAGGGGAATAGAGTCAGGGAATCTCTGAGAATGAACTGCCATATTTTAAACAATCGAGGTTATAAAAGCTGTCTGAATCAACCTTCCTCCTTAAAGTTCTGGAAAACTAAATTCACATGAAAATGAACAACAGAGAAATATTGAGGTCGGATTCCATACAAAGTTGTTAAGGCTGAGTATGTCTTATCCGAAATGCTTGGAATTAGAAGTGTTTCAGATTTAGGGTTCTTTTGGATTTTGGAATATTTGCATATACATAATGAGATATCTTGGGAATGGGACCCAAATTTCAACACAAAATTTATTTATGTTTCATATATGCCTTAGGCACATCACCCGAAAGTGATTTTAAACAATATTTTAAATAAGTTTGTGCAGGTAACAAAGTTTGTGGTAAGTACTTATGTGTAGAATTTTCTACTTGTGGCATCAGGTTGGCACACAAAAAGTTCTGGATATTGGAGCATTTTGGATTTCAGATTTTTGGATTAGGGATGTATAAGAAAAAAAGAAAAAAGAGTAAAATAACATCTATACATACAATAAAAGTATGCCAAAAAGACATACTCAAAAAACAGGTCCAAAGTACTGCATTATTTCAAAATGAAGTAAAAGACGTTAAGAAAATTATATAATGAATGAAAGAATAAAATTAATTCAAATTCAAAAATGAAGTGGCAGAAATCAAGAATGGATTAAAAATTACAGTAGCAGAATTTGGGTTCCCACTCGAGGGGCCGGCTCTACTGAGAACCACACCTCAGGCCCTACTGGAGCTACCTCCAGTGTTATTAATGAAGGAGCTGAGTTTCTTTACTTTTAAAAGTGGCTTTAAAATATTTTAAAATAATAAATATTGTTGAGTGATTGTAGTAAAGATAACTAAATAAAATATGAAAAATTAATTTTAGAATGTTGTGGCTGCTTCAGTAGAAAATTAAAATTTAAATCTCAAGCCCTGCACTTTTAATCCAAAGACTGTGGCTCCTTACTACGTTAAATGTGATTTGGTGCAAAGTGAATACAATTTTTTGGAAGCCAAAACCAAAAAAGTGAATTTAATATGGGGCAACAAATGTCACAATGTATTATGGAGACATTATACTTATGTAGAAACTTACCCCAAATTTAGTAGACAGAACAACCTTTTGTAATGTCACATATACATTATTATAAATTGGAATTTTGGCATCGTAAAGATGTGAGGAATACGTTTAAGAAAAGGATGCTGTTAGCAGGCCAGGCACGGTGACCCACGCCTGTAATTCCAGAACTTTGGGAGGCCAAGGCTGGTGGATCGTTTGAGCTCAGGAGTTTGAGACCAGCCTGGGCAACATGGCGAAACACAGTCTCTAAAAAATATACAAAAATGAGCTGGGTATGGTGGCACATACCTGTGGTCCCAGTTACTTTGGAGGCTGAGGTGGGAGAATAGCTTGAGCTTGAGAAGCAGAGGTTATGGTGAGCCGAGATCACGCCACTGCACTCCAGCTTGGGTGACAGAAAGGATGCTGTTAGCAGAAACACTGAATGGTAAACTTACAACAAATCATTCTCAAGGTGAGAGAGCATGTGTAATTTAAAAAAGCCTATTCAATATCACTTGTTTTACAAACCAAGAAAATTCAGCTTGGCAGGGCATTGTACTCATGCCTGTAATTCAAGCACTTTGGGAGGCAGAGGTGGGAGGATTGCTTGAGGTCAGAGTTTGAGAACAGCCTGGGCGACGTAGTGAGACCCTTCTCTAGAAAATATTAAAAAAATTAGCTGGGCTTGGTTGGCACACACCTGTAGTCGCAGCTACTCTTGAGGCTGAGGTGGGAGGACTGTTTGTCCGCAGGAGTTTTAGGCTGCAGTGAGCCATGATGGCACCACAGCACTCCAGCCTAGGCAACAGAAAGAAAGATCCTATCTTGACTTTTTTCAGAAAGAAATTCAAGCTCGATAAAGTCTGTTCCATGGTGGATATGTTATTCTATTGTGAGAAGGCACTACAATGGAATAGGATAAAACCTGAGATATAGTGACATAAATCCTGAGTGTGTGTGCATCTGTGAGTGTGCACACTGGAGGTAAATAGGTGCCGACTCCATGTATTCAAATCACTGTGGCAGATTTTCCAAACTATAGTACTCAGGCCAAGCCCATCCAATCCTGGTTGAAAGCCACAAATACGGGATATTAAGGCCAATCGGAGAGAGATTTGAGCTATGCGCAGAGGCTGTGCTATAGATAGTCTCAGAAAACTCTCCTATCCCTACAATTTTTTGCAGAAAATATCAAGTTAAATGAATGCTGAAAAATCTTAAGGGAAAAAGGGTGGCTTTGTCAGCAAGTTGTTTTAAAATTTTTCATAACTTGTGCCATTTCTTTGAACCAACATCGAGCTGATAGGACATTTTTAAACCAGATTTTGATGGCCGTGTAAGTCCTAGGTCCTGATTCAGACATCTTCAAAACAATTTCTGATCTGGACTTTGGAACCCTAAAGTGGACCTACCTCACCAAGAAAGGAAATGTAGGTGACCTAGATCTGTTTGCTTATTATTTATTAATAAGGTAATTTGCTAGTACAACCGAGCCACAGATGAGTGCAGATAGCATTAGCCAATTTGTCTGAGGCTCATTTCTGGGTGAATTTGGACTCTAGACCCAGGGTGAGTTTCACCTGCTTTGTTTTCCTAGCACCTTAACTTCAGTGTTACACGTAGCCATCCTCTCTTACCTGGTGACTCAATCCTTTCATGACCTGTTTAGATTCTCTGCTTTTTAAAAAACATGCATTTTTCCCAACTCATGGTACATTCTTTGGAGTTTGAGATGAGAAGAGACAATTTAACTCAATTCAACTCAGCCCATTTTATTTTTGTTAGCAGTTTGAACAAAGAGTCGTTAGGGTACAATCAAAACTTTTGATTAAAGAGATTTGAATTTTGGAGAGTTTAGTTTATTTTTGGCATCATGACCCTGGGAATGCAGAGAATTAACTTGTTTCTGTTGACTATATAGACATTCAGCTTTGTTTTTAGATGACGTAACAGAGAATTTTATAGTTAGAATATCAGTACATTCTGTAGAACTTTGGAAAAAACATGGACTATCTCCAAAAGAGATACAAAAAACTGCTTATGTAATTTTGGGTGTTTTTCATGTAACTAATTCTGTTGTTGTTATTGTTTTTAAATTGTGATTTATGGTGATTGTAAGGTAGTACATGCATGTGGTAAAAATAAATACATAAAATCAAATAGGCCGGGCATGGTGGCTCATGCTGGTAATCCCAGCACTTTGGGAGGCAGAGGTGGGTGGATCACTTGAGGTCATGAGTTTGAGACCAGCCTGGCCAACATGGTGAAACCCATCTCTACTAAGAATACAAAAATTAGCCTGATGTGGTGGTGAATGCCTGTAATCCCAGCTATTCAGGAGGCTGAGGCAGGAGAATTGCTTGAACCCGGGTGGTGGAAGTTGCAGGGAGCCGAGATTGCACCACTGCACTCCAGCCTGGGCGACAGAGTGAGACTTCATCTCAAACAAGCAAACAAAAAACAAGATTATCCAGTGAAAAGTAAATCTTCCTTTCAGACCTATTCAGACCTATTCCTAAATCTGCAAGTTTCCTTCTGAAGAGGCTATCACAGTTTCTGTGGCTAAGGTTGATAAGGAGGTGACGAATTAATCCTTTTTGCAACTCAATCTTAGTCTTTAAAGATTAGACAAAACAAAATAAAACAAATTGGGCTATAAACGTCTGCACTGTTGGAAAGGGTCACATAGCATTGGTTTCCTAAGACTCTTCACTGATGTTGCATGTAAAATGGATAGGATCCAAGGTTTAGAAATGATTGCACAATAAAAATTAGAATTCTCTGTTGTGGATCATTGAATAGGTACCACTCAGGTTACAATTTAACCAAACTAAAGAAACCAAACTATGGAAACAAATGGTAATAAGTATAACAATCATTAGAGATTTGAAACAATTTGAGTTTACTTTATAGTTTATGGAATATTCCTTTTCCCTCAATGTCATATAATTTGAATGACTGTTTAAAGTAATCGTCTTTGGTTAAATAGGATTTTTCAGAGTTAGATGTATTACCAGAGAAATTCATTTCCTAGTTTTATAAACCTAATTGTAAATGTTTATCTTTGTATTCACTGTTATCTGATTTTTTTTTTCATATAAGAAATTCCTTGTCTTCTCATGGTCAATACCCACTTGTCTTTGATATTTGAATACTAAATTCTAAAATCAATCTCCCTTTACAGTTCATTGCATTAAGCTACTATCTTAGAACATAGGATAGATATTTTCTGTGAAAAAGTTATTTATGTTCTGGATTATTTTTGGTTGTATTTGAATAGCTCAGAACCCAATATTTTATTAGTGTGATCTGAATTATTTTCTTCCAATTCATTTATCTTGACATGGTTATATTGAATTCATCTGTCTAATTTTTACATTTTTAGAGTCATTGTTAATCTCAATGGTAGTTTACAATCCACACAATAAACATTCATTTCTCTAACCAGCAAATATTCAGTGAATATCCACTGCAGGTCAAAGGTGGATAAGACACAGCACAGTTTCTTACAGTCTCATAGTGTTAGATCTGAGAGGCCAAACAACATGGAAAAGCAAAAAAAAAAAAAAAAAAAATATATATATATATATATATATATATATATATATATATATATACACAACCTTGGACAAATCAGTTTTATAAAATGTTAATACAGAAAATACATTCATAATCTGAACATCCCCTTGATGGTAAAATATTGCAGTAATAACGTTGACAGAATAAGCTTTATTCTTGCATAAAAAACAGTTGCCTGTTACCCACAGGTATTAATTATTGGACAGGAGTTCAGAATATTTGGTTGTTCATGATTTTAATTTGTGTTCTACAAACTCTAAAAGAGTTGTTTGGTTCTGGTACCAAAGGTTTTACTTTTTGGCAGCTACTGAATCAGTAGGGGTAAGATTGGTCAACTGAGAATGCTTGGTTTGCTTAGCACTAACTTGCTGGAATTGATTATGAGGGAACATTGCCAAAATAAATTGATGTCATTAGCATTTTTATTCGTAAGTAGTAGGAAAAGTCCAAAGCTAGCCCTGTAACATCCTGGTCTGTTTCTGTACCAAATATATTCTACCTCCTAATGCTTGGTGTGTATTTTTATGGAAAAACAAAGGTCATATAGTGCAATTATTACCTAATTACAACATTCTTTTATTACCATAAGCAAGAGAAAGAAGCATCTTTCATCTTTTAACTGAAGCCTCTTGAATTTCTCCCCAAATCTATTCCCATCTACTTTTTCCTTTTATCAATAGATGGTAACTGTTCCCCAATTGTTCATGCCAGAAACCTGGTTGTCATCCTTGAAAATTCCATCTCGCTGTGAAAGGTACTTCATGTCCAATCAATGACCTTTCTACCTTAAAATATTTATTAAATGTATCTACTTCTCTCCATCTTCATTGCCATTTGCCTAATCCAAACCACCCTTGTATCTCTCTGGATGACTGTGAAAACTTTACTGGCTGTTCTGTGTCCACTGTTGCCCTTTCTTCAGTCTAGTCCCCAGTAACTACGAGAATGACAGTTTAAAGGAAACATCATGTTATGTCATTTCTCTGCTTAAAACTTTCAGTGGCTTCTCAGTGCTCTTAAGAGAAATTCAAACATCCTTGACATGGCTCTATGTGATTGCTACTGTCATTTTGAGGTCTTGCTCTCCATGACCCAGCCATGTCACCTTCCCTCCTCCTTCAGTGAACCTCAAACTCTTTTCTCTTGGGGTCTTCTAACACGTTTCCTCTGCCGGCCTCTGCTTTCTCCATCTCTGGGCAGGAAACTTATCATTCAAGTTTTAGCTTGAATGTCACTGTGCCTTCAATCCTGGATCCCCCTAATATGTTTTCCTCAAAGCACTCTATTCTCATTTTTTATAATACTTACCAGTAATAATTATGTCATTATTTGTATAATTATTCATCCAGTGTTCATCTTTCCCATTACTGTAAGCTCTGTGAGAGCAGAGACCTCACCTGTTTTTGCTCATGCTGTATTTGAAGCATCTAGTGTGTTTCCAAGCACAATAACTGCTCAGTAAATAATTGTTGAAAGCAAATGAGGGCAGCTACTCACTAAAACATAGAATGGTTTAGTTTTAATGTGTGAGATCTTGGGTATTAAAATATCTTTAATTAATTCAGAACCTGTAAAAAATTAATGAGTTATCTTTTCTGAGCATTGACACCATATACTATGGTTTAGCAAGTTTTTCCCTTTCTCTCTATTTTAAGACAGTCACAGAGTCTATATATCTTCTCTGGCCTTTCACTGGAAGGTTTTTTGAATCTCTGTAAGAAGAGAACCTTTACCATGCACCCACTTTCCTTTTGCTACAGGGCTGGCCAGCATGTTTTTCTCTGCTATTCTTAAACTCTATTCGGTAGCATTTCCTGAATGCCCCCAGTCCCTGATGCAGCTTATCTTTGACTCCACCAAGGTGGTTGTGCAGTTCTAGTTATTGCTTCTGTGTCTTGGTTCTCAGACATAAGTCCACTTCCCACTTGTCAATGGTGTTGCTACTGCCACAGCTCATGATTTCCATTGACCAGTCTTTGCTTATTCCCATCGTCACAACATGTCACTATTTAGAAAATTATTTCTGTTGGGAAACTGGGAAATCTTGTTATTTTTCTTCTTCCCCAAATCATTTGAAAAATATTAATTAAAATGACCCTAACACAGATACTTCGGACACCACCATGACATTTTTGCCTAATTTTTATCCCTAAGCCAGTTCTCTATCTGTAGGACAGACTCTAACGGGGCCTCATTCTCTCTACCCCATGGCCTTCACACTTTCCCCTTCCCTTGAGTGTGTGTGTATGTGACCTGTGACTTGCTTTTAACCAATAAAATACAGAAAGGTGATAGGATATACTTGGTTACATGTATGTGATTGTGTTAATTAAGACTGTAACATCCTTCTTGCTGAGAGGCTTTCTCTCTTGCTGCCTTTAAAGAAGCAAGCTGCTGTGTTGTGAGCTTCCCTGTGGAGAGGACATGTAACAAGGAAACTGAAGGCAGCCTCCAGCCAACATCTAGTAAAAAACTGAGAATCTTAGTCTGTCATCCTAGAAAGCACTGAATACTGCCAATAACCATGTGAGTATGGAAGTGGATCTTCCCCCAGTCAAACTGAGATGAGAATCCAGCCTTGGCCAACATCTTGATTTTAGTCTTGCAGAGAACCCAGCTAAGTTGTGCTTGAATGCTTGACTCACAGATACTGAGATAATAAATGTGTGTTGTTTCAAGTCACTAAGTTTATAGTAATATTGTTATGCAGCAATAGATAACTAATGCATCTTTTTTTAAATTATACTTTAAGTTCTGGGGTACATGTGCAGAATATGCAGTTTTGTTACATAGTGATACACGTGCCATAGTGGTTTGCTGCATCTATCAACCCATCACCTACTATCCCTCCCTTACCTCCCCACCCCCAAACAGCCCCAGTGTGTGATGTTCCTCTTCTTGTGTCCATGTGTTCTCATTGTTCAGTTCCCACTTATGGGTGAGAACACATGGTGTTTGGTTTTCTGTTCTTGTGTTAGTTTGCTGAGAATGATGGTTTCCAGCTTCATCCGTGTCTCTGCAAAGGACATGAACTCATCCTTTTTTATGGCTACATAGTATTCCATCGTATATATGTGCCACATTTTCTTTATCCAGTCTTTCATTGATGGACATTTGGGTTGATTCCAAGTTATATATTCTTAACTGAAGTGCTTTTATCTCACACTCTTTTCCCAACCATTTATGGATGAGAAAACTTTCAGCACAAAACTTGGTCAAAGCTTTGTGAAAAAGTAGATATTATGGCATCCTCTTCTTACATGTAATTATTTACCTACAAAAAAAAAATTGAGTA
The DNA here is from genome assembly GCF_000001405.40 of Homo sapiens. NCBI lineage: Eukaryota > Metazoa > Chordata > Mammalia > Primates > Hominidae > Homo > Homo sapiens. The sequence continues at coordinate 160,604,359 of NC_000003.12, forward strand.
TGACTTTTATCTTAAGAATCCTTATGATTATCCCTTCTACCTCCAGGGGTCATATGTATGTACACATTCAGAAGTGAGACCTTTAATAATTGATTCCATCAGTTCCTGGCTAGGGAAATATGGATACAACTACTTCTTCCTTGATAGAACTTCTCTCATGAATAGGACATCTCCCATTCTAGCACAGGGTAATCTAACACAATATCATCTGTTAATAATGTAATAGCTAAAGATATTTCTGTAGAAAATGTTGTCTGAATGTTCAGTTCCACACCATGTATATCATATCAGAAGTATGTCTGAAATGGAGTGTATCTGATCCTAAAATGCCTAAGTGTGGAGGGTAAGCTCTACAGATAGAAATATAATGCAAGTTACATTTTTACAAATTTTCTAAAAGCTACATTTAAAAAATAACAAAGCCAGATGAGACAGATTTTAGTAGTATATTTTATTTAATTGAAGATACCTAAAATAATTTCAACGTAATCAATGTAATAAAATTAATGAGATATTTTTTCCTTTTTCCCCCTGGGTCTTCAAAATCCTATTTTTTTTACACTTAGAGCACACTTTGATTTAGATTAGCCATGTCTCACATGCTCAGTAATCATATGTGGGTTATTGACAAGTGTAGTGGACAGTACAGCTTTAGATAGTTACATGAGCATGTTAAACCACAGATATAAAATAATCCACAAAAAAATCTGCTTGAGGCAGCTGATTGAAAATGCATATCACAAATACACATGTAAATAGAAGATCTGAGTACCTAGGCAGACGTGGATCAAAGAAGGAAGCTCTATTACGGTTCTTCAGAGAAATAGAACAAATAGTATACATATAGATGTATAGAAAGAAATTTATTATAAGGGATTGACTTATGAAGGCTGAGAAGTCCCATAATCTGCTATCTGCAAACTGGAGGTCCAGGAAAGCTGGTGGTGCTCTATCTCAGCCCAAAGATCTGAAAACCAGGGAAGTCAATGGCACAAGTCTCAGTCAGAGTCCAAAGGCCCAGTGTCCAAGGACAGGAGAAGATGGATGTCTCAACTAAAGAGAGTGAGTTTGTTCTACCTCTGCTTTTCTTTAAAAAAAATTTTTTTAGAGACACTCTACCTCACTCTGTCACTGAGGTTGAAGTGCAGTGGTGTGATCATAGCTCACTGCAACCTTGAACTCCTGGACTCCAGCAATCCTCCTGCCTCAGCCACCCAAGCAGCTAATTTTTTAAATTTTTTTGTAGAGACAGGGGTCTCTTTATGTTGCTCATACTAGTCTTGAACTCTGACCTCAAGCAATCCTCCTGCCTTGGCCTCCCATTGGGATTATATGTGAGCATGAGCCACTGGGGCCAGCCTAATACCTCTGCCTTTTTGTTCTATTTGGGCCTTCAATGGATTGGATGATACCTGCTCACATCAGTGAGTGTGGATCTTTCTTACTCAATCCACTGATTCAAATGCCCTTCGTCCAGAAATCCTCACAGATACACCCAGAAATGTTTTACCAGCTATCTGGGTATCCCTTAGCCCAGTCAGATTGACACATAAAATTACCCATCACAGAAGTCACGATAGGTGCTACGATTTAATAAAGACACAAAGAATCCTTGGCTTATGCAGATTTTACATCTGTAGTACCATCTGCCCAAGAGTGACTCAAAGGATCTTGATATGTAGGTCTTGTAACTGGACTGTGGTGTGAATTTGAAGCAGCCTACTACAGGAACAATGCCTTGGCTGGTGTGTAAGTCTGTCTGACCTCCCTGTGTCTGTACATCTCTACTTATCTCATAAGTAGTAATGGTCACTAAAAGCCTGAAGGAGCCACTTAATTTTTTCATTTATATTTGTGGCATCTTATGGGGGAAATAACATGCATGGCAAAATATACAGACTGCAGGCACTGAAACTGAATCATTTGCCAATGTCAGATTTTTCTTTTTTCTTTTTTGAGACAGAGTCTCACTCTGTGGTCCAGGCTGCAGTGCAGTGGTGTGATCTCAGCTCACTGCAACCTCTGCTTCCTGGTTCAAGCGATTCTCCTGCCTCAGCCTCCTGAGTAGCTGGGATGACAGGTGCACACCACCATGCCCAGCTAATTTTTATATTTTTAGTACAGATGGAGTTTCACCATGTTGGCCAGGCCAGTCTCGAACTCCTGACCTCAAGTGATCGGCCCACCTCGGCCTCCCAAAGTGCTGGGATTTCAGGTGTGAGCCACCATGCCTAGCCCAATGTCAGATTTTGATGGAGCTATGAAAGGCTTGTGAGAGTAGACTGGGTTCTCATCTCTGCTTCCATTTAATTAAAAACCATGGAGTCCCTATGAAGTGTTAAGCCCCTTTGATTGAAAGCTTTTGTCATAGAAAACTTCAATTTTTTTTTCTTTCCTAGATATTATGCTATCTTAATAATATTTGTTAATATTGTTGTTTAAAGAGCTGAATAGAAAATTCTTACTCTTAATTTAACAAATTATTCCTTTCAGAAAATTTACATTTTTAAGGTTCTGTGAAGAAATGAAAGATCTTTACCTGAGGATATGTAAGTACTCTTCCATCAGATACAGTTGATTCTCAGTCACAGAGGGCTGGAGTGCTTCTCAAGGATTATCCAAACTCACAGCTCCATTTCTTTCTCCTTGATGTAGAAGAACTATGTTATTAATATGCATTGAATTTTGGTGGTAAGCATGTAGGTGTCTGTTTATTATATTGCACATATGTTTTAAATATTTCATAATTTAAAACAATTATTGGACTGGATGCAGTGGCTCATGCTTGTAAATCCCAGCACTTTGGGAGGCTGAGGCGGGTGGATTACTTGAGCTCAGGAGTTTCAGACCAGCCTGTGCGATGTGGCAAAACCCCATCTCTACAAAAAGTACAAAAACTTATTTGGATGTGGTGGTGTGTGCCTGTAGTCCCAGATACTCTGGAGGCTGAGGTGAGAGGATCACTTGGGCCCAGGAGGTGGAGGTTGCAGTGAGCCGAGATTGAGCCACAGCACCCCAGCCTGGGCAACAGAGTGAGACCCTGTCTCAAAAAAACAATTTTCCTAAGGAAAGAAAGGTCATACAACTTGTTCTCTGACCTCTTTCCATTAATAAAGGGATTCTCAATCTTGGTATTACCGCCATTTTTGGCTGGGTAATTCTTTGTTGTTGAGGGCTGTCCTATATATTGTAGGATCCCTAGCTCTGTCCACTAGATGCCAATGTCTTATGGTTGTTCTCTCGTTTCTATTCCCACAGTCATTATTTATTTTGGGCCCTCAACACCTCTCACCAAGACTCCACATCAGTCCATGGAATAGCCTGTGCATTCAATCTCTTACCTTGATAATACACCCTCCACATTGCCATAGAAAGTGTGATACCTATAATTTATTTAGCATCTACTGTGTGCTATTTGAGTATTGATTACTTTCATTTGTCAACTGTAGCCTGACCTGATGAAATTAAAAAACAGAAAAGTTAAGTGACTTGCCCCAAATGACACTGTTAGCAAGTACAAGAAAAGATTAAAATTTAGGTATGCTTAATTTCAAAGCCTATGATCTTAATGTCATCATACTGCCTAAAACATGACATTGTCCTGAAACATAAGTGGAAGTTGTTTCTTTCTTTTCACAAACTTTCAGGGTCTTCCCAGTACATGCCTCACTCTTCAAGGCAACATGATTCATCCATTCCTTTCTGGCATCCTTTCCCATAAATATTTCCATGCACACTGCATTTTTTTTTTTTTTTTGAGACGAAGTCTTGCTCTTGTCCCCCAGGCTAGAGTGCAATGGCACGATCTTGGCTCACTGCAACCTCTGCCTCCTGGGTTCAAGCGATTCTCCTGCCTCAGCCTCCTGAGTAGCTGGGATTACAAGCGCCTGCCACCACGCCAGGCTAATTTTTGTCTTTTTAGTAGAGACAGGGTTTCACCATGTTGGCTAGGCTGGTCTCGGACTCCTGACCCCAGGTGATCCACCCACCTTGGCCTCCCAAAGTGCTGGGATTACAGGCGTAAGCCACCATGCCAGGCTGCACACAGCATTCTTATCTCACTGGGTAGCAACCATCTTCCCAAACTTGCTGCAATTCTTAAATATCCCCAAAATTAATATATAAAAATCCTAACTAGGTGATGGTATTAGGAAGTGGGGCTTTTGGGGGTTGATTAAGTAATGAAGGTGGAGCCCTCATGATTGCAATTAGTGCCCTTAAAGATAAGACCCCACAGAGCTAGCCACCCTTTTCACTATGTGAGGACATAGTGAAAGGTGTCTTCTATGAATAAGAAAGTGGGCCCTCATCAGACTCTGCATCTGCCAGTGCTTTGATCTTGGACTTCCCAGTCTCTAGAACTGTGAGAAATACATTTCTGTTGGTTATGAGCCTCTCGGTCTGTGATATTTTGTTATAGCACCCTGAACAGACTCAGGCACTTGCCATGCATTTTCATGCCTTTGCACATGCTGTTTCCTCAACGCAAAATGCACTTTCCATCTTGTTCTCTTCTCTAAAATTCTAATCCTCCTTCAAAACTTAATTCAGATGCCTTTTTGTCCAGTGAAACATTTTCCAATATGCATAGGATTGTTTCTTCTTCTTACTCCCATAGCACATTGCTAGCTGCATATAGCTTTTAAATCATTCTGTTTTATTAGGTGCTTTTCCATATATCTGTCTGTAAATACCTGGAGGGCAGGAATCATTCCTTATTTACACTCTGCTTCATTTAAAAGAGACCAAGGCAACGAGAGGCTTCCTCTTTTTAGCTCTGCATTTCCTAGAACACAGCACGTATGAATTTCTGTAACACATCCACACACAACACTCAATAAAATTTGGTCAAATACATGGGAAGATGAATGAACAAACAAATGACAAAAGATTTATGATGGATTTTCCCTGACTATGAGCATCATCTAAAGTTTGGAAAATACAAGGAAAAAATAAGTAATCTGTATTCTTACCATAGATATTTTGGAAAATATCTTTCTGGTTAGCTGATGCTGAGCAAATGGCTTAGAAAATCACCAATTAGGTGTCATTTGGTATAGGTATAGGGTGGATCACAGTTGCATAGAGCTTTGCCCTGTCAGCACCTGGCAGAGGGGTGTACTTGTGGGTAACAGGACACATCAAGGGGCTTTTTATAGACATTATTTTTATTATTTATAGGTATTTGTATGTATAGGCATAAAATTCAAAAGTTACAAAGGGGTATTTAGTGAAAGTAATCTCCTTCCACTCTTGTCCTTCAGTCACTTAGTTTCCCTCCCTACAGGCAACTATTGTTATCAAGAGATTTTATTGATTTTGTAAGATAATTGCTATGGTCTGAATAAATAATATGTCCTCCAAAGCTCACATGTTGAAACTTAATCACCAATATGATAGTATTAAAAGAAGGAGCCTTCAGGGGATGACTAAGTCATACGGGCAGAGCTCTCATGTATGTGATTGGGGCCCTATGAAAGGGCTTGAGGGAGTGGGTTTGTTCTCATCCACTCTTTGGCCATGTGACAGCACCCAGACAGCGCCATCTATGAGGAACCATCTTTCACAGGACAGCGATCCTGCCAGCATCTTGACCTTGTGCCTCTCAGTCTCCAGAATTGTAAAGAAATACATTTTTAAAAAATAAAGGACCCAGCCTCAGGTAATTTGTGATAGCTGCACAAACAGGCTAAGACAATGATTATTTCAAATAGCACTTACTTGGAAAAATAATTTTTATACATTACTATTATGCCTTAGACAAAAAACTGCTATTAAAAATCTAACATCTAAATAATAACTTTGATTTAGCAAGAATTACCAATAAATTGCTTTGTAAATGAGTTATTTTTTTGTTTTGTTTTGTTTTGTTCTGTTTTTTTGAGACAGAGTCTCGCTCTGTCGCCCAGGCTGGAGTGTGGTGGCGTGATCTCGGCTACTACAAGCTCTGCCTCCGGGGTTCACGCCATTCTCCTGCCTCAGCCTCCCAAGTAGCTGGGACTACAGGCGCCCGCCACCGTGCCCGCCACCACGCCCGCCTAATTTTTTGTATTTTTGGTAGAGACGGGGTTCCACCGTGTTAGCCAGGATGGTCTCGATCTGCTGACCTCGTGATCCGCCCACCTCGGCTTCCCAAAGTGCTGGGATTACAGGCGTGAGCCACCACGCCCGGCCTCGAGTGATTATTTTTCAACTCAGGTGAATGACTCTTCTTGAGGTTGCAATAAACATGTTGCATTTGTTTGTTGTGGTGGTTTTTGTGTCTTCAGTGACTTACAGTAGGCTTCTGGAGAAAAATCATATAACCATATAATTTGGCACCTTCAAAACTGCCCCCACCAATCCTTTTTTTGTTCTCCAAATCAACCGCTCTCATGAGTGGCTAATTTAAACCTGAATTCTCAAATCTCTGATCCTGTCACCTTCCTCTGCACTTCCAGCAGATGACCATGCTTCCTCTTCTCAGGGAAAAAGAAATCATTGTCAGGATTTTCTCACAAAACAGGCTTCTGGTAAGCAGATGCACATGTGAGTTTTGGAAGGAACATCTTGTGGTTGATTTTGTATGAAAGGAGATGGTCTGAGGCATGGATTTATGTTGATTCATGGGCTGAGTTAAGTCAGGTCACAGAAAGAACAAGATGGAAAGATTGTGGTAAGAAGATACAGGGGAAGAAGCGCATAGATGGACGTTTTTAAATTGTGCCCACAGTATGAAAATAACAGGGTACCATGGGGATACTTGTCAAACGACTCCTTCAGTAGAGGAGATTCTCAATGACTAAGTGGACAAAAGGTTTTTCCTCAGACATCTAAGTGTTCAATAGGCTCATTTAAAAAGTTTCTACAGTAGCAGGGAAGGAGTTTATGCATAGATTCAACATTGACTTCCCCCATTGGGGCTTATATGGCTAGTTCAACTCCTGAGTACCAATGATATCTGCTGCAGTGACGAATATCCGTGGCCCTGGTCCAACCCCAAGCCCCAGAATAGGAACCAGTCATCTAGTGGCAGGTTGATTACACAGGTCTTCCATCATGGAGAGGGCAGCAGTTTTTTCTCACTGCAACATGTGTATACTATAGATACAGGTTTCTTTTCCCTGCATGCAAAATTCTTACCTGCGTCATTATCCATAGATCTACTAACTAATTCACTGATATCCCCTTAATGATTGCTTTTGACCTGGTAATTTATTTATTGGCAAATGAAGTAAAGCATTGAGCTAATTAATTCTGTTGAAATTCACCAATCTCTCCATGTATCCCATCACCCAGAAGTGGAAAGGCATTTAGAAAGATAGAAGGTAAATTGGGAGACCCAGTTTAGGTACCAGCCGGGAAATATGACCTTGCAGGGTTGTAGTGCTAGCACTCCGGATGCAATAAATGCATATCATCTTCCATGGCCACAATATATTGGTTCAGGAGCAAATGGATGTGAAGTAGGAGTGACATCTCCCACTAAATTCTTGTTTCCTGTCCCTGTAACTTTTAATTCTGCTTGTCTAACAGTCTTATTTTTCAAGGGAAGAATGGGTCCATCAGGAGACACAAAAGTGGTTACATTGAACTGGAGGTTGAGACTGACACCTGATCTTTTTGGACTCCTAATGCTTCGTGAACAAGGGAAGAAAAAGATTGCATATATTGGCTAGGGTGCTTGATTCTTATTTTAAATGGGAAGACTTTCTACCAGACAATGAATGCCAGGAGGAGTATATTTGGAATCTAGGGCATCATTTGCCTTCTGCTACTACCAAGTCTAGTGGCAAAAGCCAATGCAAAATCTTAGGAATCTATATGTCAGAGTCATAAAAGGCCTTTTAGGAAGGAAGTTTAGATAATCTCATCAGGTAAATGATTCATGTAAGCTTTTGGCTGAAGGCAAAGGGAGCATAGAATAAGTAGTTGAGGAAGGAAGTTATAAATCCTAGCTATGGTCTCATGATCTGTAGTACCTACCTTATTTTCTTCCTTGCTGCGTTCTTTTTTTCCCTTGCTCTTTTCATTTGTGTTTAACTTTACAATTTAGTCTACAGATTTCAGAATATCAACACTGAGTTGTGACTTAGCATGAAAAGGAAAAAACATTACCCAAAGATACATGGAGTAATTGATGAGATTCTGTATCTCAAAGGGAGACAACGAATGTAGCTTCTTTTGTATAAGAAATATTTAAATTATGAAAAGCAAGAACATGTTGTTGCAATTTGTGGTTTGAAATTTTAACATGGGAAGAAGGGTGAATGGATGGTGAGTCAAAGGGATGGACAGCAGCAAATATTACTGATTGGCTCATTTGACACCTTTCCAATCCCATTGTTACATGGCTTCCTGGGCTTTAGAAGCTGGAAAGCTAGACTATATTTCCAAGACTTTCTTGAAGTGTAGCTGGGGTTGCTCATGGTTTCTGCTGGCAGACCCCCATCCTCCAACAGACTTGGCAGGCAGAAGTGAACATCACAATGCAGAGGCCACATGGTTCTTCTGGCAGGCATGGTCGTAGAGGCTTTTTTCTACTGCAGCTGTTGGAGAGGTTCCACCAGATCCTGGGTTCATGGGTATCAAGCAGCAGGTGGTGGCAGCAGGGACGTATCTGCTGGAAAGTTCCCATGGTGTGGTTGATCATTTCTTCTGGCTGTGTTGGCTATGCAACATTCAAGCTTGGTTTCTGGGCTCCCTCAGACATGCTCTAAGCTAACCAATACCCTGTAATAAATCCCTTTCCACTTAAACTAGTGAGAATGTGCTCTGTCTGAAAATAGGACTCTAATTAACATGTTTCTAAACCAGTCAACAGCATGGGGAATAGGACCCCCCAGTTTTGAGGTGGGCAGGAGTGGATGTTGTGGATGTTTGACAATCAGATCTCCTGATCTCACATTCTGTCCTTAAGCCACTCAAATTTGGCATATACATCCTCTGCTACTGCTCTTGTGAAGGTCACGAAGACATTCCTTGTGTAACCTCTTGGCACCATGTGATCCTGTTGCCCACCTAATACTTTTGTTTTTTTGAAGACTCTCTCTTCCTTTAGCTTCTGTGTACATAGTCTTCTGGTTTCCTCGTTCTCTGTGTTTCTCCTCAGTATTCTTTAAGGGACCCTCTTTTGCTGCTGCTGATCATTTAATGAGGATTCCTCAGTGTTCTATAATTAATCTGCTTCTCTTCTTACTCTACATATTATTCAGGGTGATTTTAGATTTTCTCTACTTAAGCGCCTTTAATTAATGCCTGCACAATGCCGACTTCCAAATTTATTTCTTCAGGATAGTCACCTCTCCTAAGCACCAGCTGCAGTCTAAGTATCTCTAACTCAATGGCTCCTAAGCACTTTAAACACAGCATGGATGAAACAGAACTCATCAGCTTCCTACTCTTACCTCCTCAAAATATCTCAAATTAGCAAACTTCTCTTTCATTGTATTTCCTGTACTGGTGAATGGCACCACTGTCCATAGGGTTGCTCAAGCCAAAAACTGGACATCAACTGTCAATCTCTTTTTTGCTTAGTCAGTCTTCAAGCCCTGCTGTTTCTACTTCCAAGCTATTAATATGTCTCAGTTTTCCTGTACTGTCTTAGTTTTAGATACCGTCATCTCCAGTCTAGTTTACTGCCACAGCCTGCCAACCAGTTTCTATTCCCTCAATCTTGCCTCCCTCTAGTTAATTCTTCACACTGAAGACAGACTAATACATCCAGATTACGTGTTGAGTCATGTCTTTTCCCTGTCCATGGAATACCTTTACCCTTTTCACAGGGCTTGCAGTGTCTTCCACGGGCTGGCTTCTCTAGCATCATTTATTGCACTCCTTGCTCCCTGTCCAGCATGCTTTATGTCCACCATATTTAACTTTTCTCAGGTCCTAGAATATGCCATGTTCTCTTGAGCCTGTGGAAGAGTGTGCCATAAAATTACACTCTATGTCTCTCCAATGGTACTGATTTTAACTTGGATATTATTTTCTTCAACAAGTCTTTCTCCTCTGGGCTTTTGTTCCTGCTTTGTCTTCCAATAGCAGGCAAGGTACCTTCCACTGTCCCTATAATGCATTTGTGACATGCAATTGTGACTCTTGATTTACTTTTCTATTTCATCTCAATGCACCTAGCATTGTGGAGGCAAGAGCTATGACTATTTTGTTCATTGTTAATGGTCCCATCACCTAGCAGAGTACTTGGCACTTAAGTATTTGTAAAATGAGTGAACAATTGACACAATTAATAGGGTAGCATATGATAGGAGAGTAATAGTTAAATAATTGTTCAGTACTTGCTGCCCAGTAGCCATAATTGTAACAATTTAGCATTAGCTAAAATGCAACAGTTGAATAAATCTAAATCACTCTCCAGCAGTGTGTTTCTTTATACCATTATCAACTTAAAAAAAAGGTTTATTGAGATACAACTTACAATAAAAAGTATAAATCTTAAATCTAAAGCTTGATTGATTTTTGCTTATGTATATGCCTATATAACCCCCATCAGATCAATGTATAGAACACTTCCAGCACCCTAGAAGTCTCCCTTGCCCCCTCTTCCAATGAGTATCCTCCCAAAGGTAAAGGTTATTTTGACCTCTATCAATCAGCACAGATTTGTTTGCCTGATTTTGAACTCTACATAATGGAATTATAAAGTATGCAATTTCTTTGTGCTTTTTTCTTTTACTCAACATCATTTTGGTGACACTAGTATTTTTTCATTGCTATATTCATTCCATTGTATGAATACACTATACTTTATCCATTTTACTGTAAAAGGACATTTTGGTTGTGTCACCTTTTATGAATAATTTCACTTATTATGAATAAAGCATTTATAAATATTTTTATATATGTCTTTTGGTAGATGTAAGCACCAATTTCTTTCAGGTTGGTAGCAAGAAGAGAATTTGCTTTATCATAGGCTACGCATATGTTTAGCTTAAGTAGATACACTGCCAAATGTTTTACCAAAGTCATTACAACAATTTATTCTATTGATAAATGTATGAGAGTTCTAAATGTTCTATATCCTTGACATTGCTTCCTATTGGCTTTTGCCAACTTACAAAAATGTACACAATCATTCAAGATAAAAATCGAGATTACAAATTACTATGATACTATAAAAGCATTCAAAATAGGCTTCCTGAGATTGGCGAGTTTCCAGTGGTAAAATAGTAAGAATGGCTAACATTGATTGAGCATTTGTTGCTTGCTGGGCATATTCTAGACACTTTATGTAGATTACCTTATTTAATCATCACTGTAGCTCTATAAAGTATGTACTGTTATCCTCTTGTTATGGATGAGGAATTTGAGGCATAGAGAGACATATTATTAATTCATAGAGTTTTAAAGAGCTGACCTATATAGATCAGTGAATGGAAACCCTCATTACTGACAAAAAAGCCAGACTGGAAAGCAGACTGCATCTTATGAAAGGAAGACCACCTAGCTTATTAGAGATAGAATCTGGATTAGAATCCAGATCTCCTAAGTTCTCATCTGGCATTGTTTATAAATCAACAGTGCACAACCTAGATAATATTAACAGTAACCCAAACAAACATTTTTAAAAAGTGCTTCATTCCATTCAGAATTTAGTTATTATAACTTTGGTTTGTGGAATAGTTTCACTGAGTTCTAAAGCCATTTGAAAAGTGTCAAGCAATATAACAGAAGAATAGAATTCATGTTTTGTAGGACCAAAAGCTTAAACAATTTGGGCAAGACAGTTGTTAAGAAAAATATTATAGAAATATCTTAACATTTGCAAATGTTACAAAAACATATGACCATGTGCTCCAGCCTCCAATTATAAAGTTTTTCCCCAATTATCCCTCTCCTGATATTCACACCCTTGTGTGGTTCTTCTTCCATATTGTATTGCAGTTGGTTTGTGAGACCAATGGAATACAGTAGAAGAGATGATATGTCACTTCTGAGGCTAGGTTATAAAAGACATGATGACTTCTACATTTCTTGGATCATCCACTCTGGGAGAACATAGTTAACATGTTGTCTGAAACCTCAGACAGCCCTGGGGAGAAGCCTGTGTGGTGAGAAACTAAGGCTTCCAGCTTACAACCAAGTCAGTGGACCATTTTGGAAGCAGATCCTTCAGTCCTGGTCAAGCCTTCAGATAACTGCAGCCCTGGCTGACAACCTGACTGTAACCTCTTGAGACATCCTCAGCCAGAGCCACTCAGCTAAGTTGCTCCCAGATTACTGACTCTCAGAAACAGTGTGAGAGAATACATCTATTGTTTTAAGCTGGTATGTTTAGAGTAATTTGTTATACAAAAATTGGTGACTAATACAGACCCCTCACAGGCCCTTGGAAGAGACCCATATAAGTGAGAGGCCCTGAAATTTAAGTTTCATAAGCTTTATAACAAATTGATTTCTGCCTATGTTAGTAGGCAAATTTATTAGATTATTTTAGCAGAGACAGCTAGTTCTCCACCAAAATTTGTGCTTTCTTCCACTGCAGCTGTAACTAGTCTGTCAAGCCATGAGCCACATTGGCCAGCTTGCTTTGCAGCTAAATGTTTCATGTGACTCAGCTCTTGCTAATGGAATGTGAACAGAAATAATACATGCCCTTCTAAACTGTGCTTTCAGGAGACTGGGCATTGTGCTCCTTTCCTCCTCACGGTCCAGGATGGTAACAAAGTGACCTCGGAAGCCACATATTGAGATGGCATAACCCCTGTCTGATTGTGTCCCTGAACAACTTCATGGAGCACAGCCTTTCCCCCCTAGTTTGGGACACCTACTCTGAACCATTTTGTTAGAGAGAAATAAGCCTCTATTCCATTTGAGTGATCATTTTTTTAAAGTCTGTTTATTAAAATGGGTCAGCCTACCCTAACTGATGGCAGTTATGTTCTTCAAATTTTAGATACTTGATTTTTTTCTCCCCAGAGTCTAGTCTTGGTGTTATTTATTCATTTGTTTGTTTGTTAATTTATTAACTGTTTATTCTGTAAATTTTCAATTATACAAAAGTAGAGATATCATAGTAGAGGAAGCCTGATGTACTTATCACTTGGCTTTGGCATTTATGTTATAGGGCCATTCCCATATCCTATGTATATATGCCATATCTACATACATACAGCCATCCCTGTTTCACTGGTACCCCTTTCCTCCTCTGCTCCCTCATGGATTATTTTAAAGCAAATCTCACAATCTCAAACATCATATCATTTTTAGGGGAAAGTTTTAAATGTCATGTAAGAAACCTCCTCCACCTGGAGGAATTCCAGCACCTGGAACTCAGTGCTTTTTGTAAATGGAGTGTTTTTTGTAAAGTTGCAAAAAAGGCCAGTTCCCATTGCTTGACAACACATGATGAGGACAGTGAGAGCTGTAAGGTTAAGCTCGCCTGCTGGAGGGAAAGGCACAGCTTATTCCCACAATCTACCTTCATCCCATTCAAGCTGGATTTTGAGCTTATAAAGGGACCTGACAGTGCCGGGCAGGCTGAAAGTATGAAGTGACCAGCATGAAAGCCAGGGGGAGTGGCAGGTAGTGTCAAGAACTGAGGCTAGATAACCTGGGTTATCTAGTTGTATGCTCTTTAACCATTTACTGAATTACTCAGTTCTTCACTTCTCATTTGTAAAATGGAAATAATATCTATTCTGTCTCACTGGCTTGATATAATTAAATCAGCTAATGTATTTTTAAATTAAGGCTTTATATAATTATTGGTTTCTAATGTGGAAGTAAATGTGAGCGATGTTTTTAATTTTTATTTAATGTTTGCCTTTAGAGTAGAATTTGTAGTCACTTAAGCCACAGGGATCTATTAAAATCAGTGTTAACTGTAGGAATAATTATTTTTCCCAGGTAGGTTTTGGATATGAATCAGTACCACCATCCGTGAGGGGAAAATTATGCTGCAAATTGTATATTTCTAACTATCTTTCATCTGAGAAAATTGGACAGCACCATGGTGAGCCCCTGGAGGAGGAAAGGGCAAACAATCTTGCCAGAACTTTTCCCTGAGTGGCTTAGCTTCTCCCCACTCACCAATGGCTAGATTTTGACCCGGGCAGTTCTGGATAATCTGGGATATGGAGAGGAAGCAGACACCACATTTCCAGATTTTAATGACTTCTCTGCTACATAAAAATGTCTCTTTCTGGATCACTGAGCTCATGCCAACTGGGTTACAGTGTTGGGCAAGGTTGGTGTTGACAGAGAAGGAGGCTGAGGAGGTTGTTTGCTCAGCCCCACCGTGTGCTCCCTGAGCTTGCTATGCCTGCTCGGCAGCCCTGAACCCTCATGCTGGCGTCTTCAGCCTTCACCCTAATCTCTGGCTGTGCCTTTTATCCTCTTTTACCTCTCTATCTTCTTTACTCATTTACAATATTTAAGTAATGCCATCATAGAACTATTCTTAAAAAGGAAGTTTACAATAATTAAAGTGAAAAATAAGCAATACATATTTTCTTCTCTCCTACTGAAGCTGTTGAAACATTTCTCCTTTCTAGTTTCTGTTTTTTTAATGATACAAGAACCTGGTAAGTTTGAGCCTTTTTGTTTTTTTAACTTTTTATTTTATGGTAGTTTTAGATTTACAAGAAAATTGCAAGAAAATACCAAGAGTTCCCATATAACTTTCACCGAGTTATCCCTCTTGGGTAATCTTAGCATCTTACATTACAAAGTACATTTGTCACAACGGAGAAACTAACATTAGTACGTTGTTATTAACCCCAGGCTTTATTTGGATTTCACTAGTTTTTCCACAAGTGTCCTGTTTCTGTTCTGGACCCTGTCTAGAATATCACATTACATTTAGTAGTCATGCCTCCTTAGCCTGCCTTTATCTGGGTTTTTCTTATTTTTCATGACCTTGACAGTTTTGAGGGGTAATAGTGAGATATTTTGTAGAATGTCCCTCAGTTTGATTTTTTCTCTGGTCAGACTGGAAAGATAGGTTTTGGGGAGGATGACCACAGAGATGAAGTACCATCCTTATCGTATCATAGCATGAATAAATATTACCAATTTGACTCAACACTGGTTGTGTTAACTTTGATCACTTGGTTAAGGTAGTGTCTGTCCAACTTCTCCACTGTAAAGTAACTCTCATTCCTTGTCCATACTCCATTCTTTAGGAGCAAATTGCTAAATTCAGCCCATATTCAAGGGGGGAAAAAGGGATTCAGCTTCGCCTCCTAGAAGAAGAGCATCTACAAAAATTGTCTGGAATTCCAATGGAAGGAAGATTTATCTCTTCTCCCTTGTTTGTTTATTTATTTATTTAATCATTTTTTAAATCGGCATGAACTTCTAGACATTTATTCTATACTTTGGATTATAATCCAACACTATGTTTTTTGTTTTTTGTTTTTTTATTGAGATGCAGTCTTGCTCTGTCGCCCATGCTGGAGTGCAGTGGCACGATCTCAGCTCACTGCAATCTCTGCCTCCCGGGTTCAAGTGAGTTTCCTGCCTCAGCCTCCTGAGTAGCTTGGATTACAGGCGTGTGCCACCATGCCCAGCTAATTTTTGTATTTTCAGTAGAAACGGGGTTTCACCATGTTGATCAGGCTGGTCTTGCCCTCAAATCTTTTCAGGTTTGTTTTGGGAGCACTTTCACATTTGCTCCCATATCTTTGAATGCCCTCATGGATTTGTTTTTTGAGCATTATAGGATGCTCTATTTTGCATTTTCCCTGCCCCAGCCCTAGAATCAGCTATTTCTCTAAGGAGCCCTGATTCCATTTACTAGAGAATGATATTAGGGTTCAAAATTTGGGCATTGAGAGTGCTCATTTTTACTGGGAAGAGCATTTAAAATATACGTATATATATAGAAATTGTGTTTGTTTCAGTACCAGCCATTTATTTGCCTGTCACCTGTAACAATATTTTGATGGAATCACATATATTTTACTCTATGGGTTAAAATCTGTGTAGATTACACTGTTAATCTGTGTAGTATTTATCTGTTAAATGAATTTCCCATTTGAAAGAAAAACTAACTGAGGTAGGTAACCTAGCAAGTTTAGATAAAAAAAAATCTAGCCTTACAAAAAAAGTAAGTATCACAGGATAATTTATTTATAAGAACAAAAATCTTCTTGTTCCATTAAAAAATCTTAAGCAGAAAATCTCTTTATGTGCACTTAAAATATAATTCAATTTAACAAAATTTAATTTGCGCATACCTTTTCAGTAACACACTGTTTCAGCCGAGCTTCCCTAGAAAACAAAACCTGAGGCAAACTTTACCTGCTAAAAGTTTACTGAAAGTAAAATTCCAGGGTAGGAAAGGTGAGAGAAGATGGAAATGAGTCAAAGAAGGAAGGAAAGTAAATACAACGTGGTATGTTATCAAGCTGGCCACAAACTCTCAAAGAATACAACTTGCTCAGTTACATGGAACTTCTCTGGAGAAGACATACAAAATCCTTGGGGCCAGGGTAAACCATGGCTGGAGAAGAAATTTATCTGTTGGCTCCTTCTAATGGAGACTGTGCTGAGGTTCAACCCTCATTCCCAAGGAAGGCTGAGTAAGTAGTGTTAGGAGATAGGTGATGGTAGTTCAAGTAGCAGAAGTAGGGGGTAGAAGGTGGGGCCATGCAAATTTACTGAGGTGCATCGGTGAGTCTAGTACACACACATGGAGCAAAGCAAGTTGCCTACATTTATTATGCATTAAAAAACTGGAAGCAGCCAGGCATGATGGCTTATGCCTACAATCTCAGCACCTTGGGAGGCCAAGGCGGGAGGATTGCTTAAGTCCTGGAGTTCAAGACCAGCCTGAGCAATTAGCAAGATTTTGTCTCTATAGAAATAAAAATTAAAAAAAAAAATAACTAGCTGGGTGTGGTGGAACATGCCTGTAGTCCTAACTATTTGGGAGACTGAGTCTGAGGATTGCTTGAGCCTGGGAGTTAGAGGTTACAGTGACCTATAATTGTGCCACTGCACTCACTCCAGCCTGGGTGACAGAGTGAGACCATGTCTCTCTAAATAAATAAATAAATAGCTGGAAGCAAAATATATTTGAAATTATCTTCTTAGAGAACTGACACTTCCATATTAATATGATCAATAATAATAATTCCTTATTTTGTACAGGCATGTCAGTTTCCAAGGGATTATATCTGGCTCAACTGTTAGTCTCACCTTCAAATAATGAAATAAGTATAGATTCACAAGAAGCTGCAAAGTTAGTATAGAGACGTCTGGTGTTGAGAGGTCCCATCTTGTTTTCCTCATTGCCATTGATTACATCTTTTGTATTTATAATACAATATCAAAGCCAGGGAACTGACATTGGTGCTATGTATGTGCAGGATTCTATATCATTTCATCACATGTAGATTTATATAACCACTACCACATTCAAAACACAGGACTATTCCATCGCCACAAAGATCTCCCTTGTGCCATCCCTGTATAGTCACTCTTCCTCCTCCACTTCTACCATCCCTAACTCCTGGCAACTGCTAATTTGTTCTCTATCTCAATAATTTTGTTATTTTAAGAATACCATATAAATGAACTCATACAACATGTGACCTTTGAAATTGGCCTTTTTCTGAGATGCACTTAGTTTTACCTCCTTGCTCCAGCACTAGTAGCTATGTGATTAGGATAATAACTTATCTGAGCTTCAGTCTTCCCAGCTATAAAATGGGGGAAATAGTATCTTCCTCATAGCCTATTGTGAGGATTAGTGAGATAATATTTATAAAACATTGCCTGGCACATAGAAAGGACTTAAAAACTATTAGCAATTTTTATTATAATAATTATTTTTATTATTAATGTTATCTGTGAAGCTGTTGCACATTGGACAAAGCATGAGATTTGGAGATTTAAAGCCTGGGTTTAAATTCCAATTCTCACTTTTATATTTTCTGACCTTGGATAAGTTAACTTATCTGGTCTTTGTCTTAGACCATTATCAGTATCATGAGAATTAAATGAGATAATATATATGGAAAAGCACAGCACACCCAGGTGTCCTAAATACCTTCATTTTAAAAATTCCAAGCCTACTAAAGAAAGCTGTAAGCCAGACACATAGCAAGTTTAAAAAGATGTTTGTTTTACCTTCCTAGGGCAGGGGATGGTGTGAGTTCCCAGACAGAACATGACAGCAGAGCCCAGGTTGAGCAAGAGAGGGTGGGAAACAGAAATGTTTCCAGCAATTTTTCTTTCTTTCTTTTTTTTTTTTTTTTTTAATCATGAAGATTCAGTGTGTCCTACAAGTGAATGTTTGAGTCATTCTGAATTAAACTGGGAGAATATGATGATTATCTCTAGTTTGGTGTGCCTAATCTATCTTTTCTTTTGGGGAACTCCTACTGCATTCCCTTGGCTCTTGACGGTTGTCAGTTACAGCACTCCATTTCACTCCTCTCTTTCCCCTCAGAGAACAGAGATGACCACATGACCAGGAATGTTAGTAAACATTTTCTCCTCTACGTGGATGAAAACCTGCCTTCAGTAGAAGAGATTGAGACAGGCAGCTGTGAGAGAGAGCATGAGGACATTGCCTGAGTTCCTGGATTCATCTGTCCCTGAAGCTGGACTATGCCCCAGACTTCCAAGCTGAAAAAACCAGTATAGTCCTGAGCTTTCATTGCTTATACTTATTCAAGTTGGGTTTCTGTAGCTCAAAGTGTCCTGGCTAATATAGGAACTTCTGCAAAATGCACAAACTTGGCCTCCAAGTCTGGAGTTTCTGATGTGGTAGGTATGAAATGTAGCTGAAGCATGTGCATTCTTTTTAAGCTTCTCTAAGCTCTATATCCTGGCTCAAATTGAGAACCATTGCTTTTTTTTTTTTTTTTTTTTTTCTTTTTGGATTTCAAATTCACAGGACAAATTTGGTCATATTCAGTTCATGGTATGTTATCATTATTGGTTCATGCAATGTCAACATTCCTCTCTTATTTTGCTAACTATATTTTATTGCCATACTCCACCTCCCTGAAGACCACAATTCTAGTATATTTAATGAATAACTTTTTTATGTGTTTTTGTAAAATATGTTTTGTTGTTTTCTGTGCATGTCTTTCTCAGTTATAAAAACAGCACTTTGTTATATAGTTCAGTCTGTTTTTACTTTTAAAAAATTAATATTTATATTTTAGTGCAGTTTTAGGTTTATAGAAAAATTGAGCAGAAAGCACAGAAGGATCCTATATAATATACCACCCTGGCCCTCTGGCAATTTTCCTTATTGTTAACATCTTGGATTAGTATGGTGAATTTGTTATAGTTGATAAACCTATATTGATGAATTATTATTAACTAAAGTCCATAGTTTACATTAGGGCTCACTGTGTTATTTAGTTCTATGGGTTTTGACAAATGTATATCTTGTATTTACCATCACAGTTTCATACAGAGTAGTTTCACAGCCCTAAAATTCCCCTTTTGTTCCACTTTTTCATCTCTCTTCCCCCTTCTAAAGCCCTGACAACCACTAACCTTTTTATTGTCTCCATAGTTTTGCCTTTTCCAGAATGTTGTATACAGTTAAGTCCTCACCTAATGTTGTCAAGAGGCTCTTGGAAACTGTGACTTTAAGCAAAATGACCTATACCAAAACCAGTTTTACCATAGGGTAATTGATATTTACAAGAGTTAAGTTCCTAAGGCATATTTCTGGTCACAAAAAAAAAAAATCACTAAACTTCTAAATAAAGACTCCAAACACTTCTAATATTAAACATAGAAATAAATGTGAGCTACACATACACTTAAGACAGAGTAATAAAAACAAGTAAGATAATTATTTATCCAATTTTTGGTGAATCAATGAGTGATGGCAGTCATAGTGGTCATGGGCTAAATTAAATAATTTTGCAAAGCAAAAATTGTAAGGAGCACCTCCTGTCATCACACAGTTCAAAAACAAACAACAGCAAAAATGACAGCTCGCTGAGAGCTTTTGTCTTGAATCATTTATTGTTGTGCATTTGTGTAATTATTGTATACTTTACAAATTTTTATTTTACAATAATTTGCATTCATTCATTCATTCATTCATTCATTCATTTACTTTCCAGCCCACTCATTCCAGTTCAGGGTTGCAGGTAGCCAGGACTTATCCCAGCAGCTCAGGGCACAAGGCAGGAGCCCATGCTGGACAGAACTCTATCTCATTGCAGGGCACACTCACACTCATACCCATACTCACTCAGATTGGGACCATTTAGACACAACATTTCACCTAATGCGCATGTCTTTGGAATGTGAGGGGAAACGAGAGTACATGGAGAAAAGCCACTCAGACATGGGGAAGCCTTGCAAACTCCACATGGACAGTGGCCTAGGCCAGGAATCAATTTTTTTTTCTCATCAACATTGTAGCCAAACGTCTTTGAATGAAATGATGTAATTAGAGGACCTGCTGTAATTGGAATCATATCGTATGTCATTCTTTTAGATTGGCTTCTTTCACTTAGCAATGTACGTTTAAGATTCTTCCATATATTTGCATGGCTTGTTAGCTCATTTCTTTTTATCACTGAGTAATATATTATTGTGTGGATGTACCACAATTTGTTTATCCATTCACCTATTCAAGGATATTTCCATTGATTCCAAGTTTTGGCAATTATAAATAAAGTTACTATAAACATTTGTGTGCAGGTTTTTTGTAGGAACATAAGTTTTCAACTCACTTGGGTAAATATCAAGGCGTGCTATTGCTGGATTGTGTGGTAAGAGTATATTTACCTTTGTAAGAAATTCTAAACTGTTTACCAAAATTGCTGCACCATTTTGCATTACCACTAGCAATGAACGAGTTTCTGTTGCTCTACATTCTTGCTACCATTTGGTGTTGTCAGTGTTTTGGATTTTAGCCATTCTAATAGGTATGTAGTGGTATCTCATTGTTGTTTTAATTTGTATTTCCCTGATAACATAGACTGCTGAGAATCT
Organism: Homo sapiens; assembly: GCF_000001405.40. Taxonomy (NCBI): domain Eukaryota; kingdom Metazoa; phylum Chordata; class Mammalia; order Primates; family Hominidae; genus Homo; species Homo sapiens. The sequence continues at coordinate 160,625,284 of NC_000003.12, forward strand.
TTTCATATGCTTATTTGCCATCTGCATATATTCTTTGGTGAGATGTCTGTTCAGATTGTTTGTCCATTTTTCAATTGAGTTGCTTTTTATTGTTGAATTTGAGTCCTTTGTACATTTTGAACACAAGTCCTGTATCAGATATGTGTTTTGCAAATATTTTCTCCCAGTCTGTGGCTTGTTTTTTCATTGTTTTAACAGCATCTTTCACAGAGAAGAGAATTTTATATTTTAATGAAGTCCTACCTATCAATTTTTTTATGGATTCTACTTTTGTTGTTATATCTAAAAGTCATTGCATACAGAAGATTGAGTAGATTTTTGCCTGTTATCATAATTTTTATTTTATTTTAGTTTTTATAGATACAGGGTCTCAGTCTGTTGCCAAGATTGCAGTGTAGAGGTGCCTCCAACTTCTGGGCACAAGCAATCCTCTCGCCTCAGTCTCTCAAGTAGCTGGGACTAGAGGCTTGTGCCATCACACCTGGCTAATTAAAAATTTTTTTTGTAGAGATAGGGTCTCAATATGTTGCCTAGGCTGGTCTTAAACTCCAGGCTTCATGCAATGCTCCTGCCTTGGCCTCCTGAAATGGGAGTATAGGTGTGAGCCACCATGTCCAGTCCTTGCCTATGTTATTTTTTAGCAGTTAAAAAAAAAAAAGAAATTGGCTGGGCAGGGTGGCTCATGCCTGTAATCCCAGCACTTTGGGAGGTTGAGGTGGGAGAATTACTTGAGCCCAGGAGTTCAAGAACAGCCTGGGCAACATGGCGAGACTCCATCTCTAAAAAACAAACAAACAAACAAACAAAAACACAAAAGAGCTTCTAATTATGTATTTATTTTAATTTTCAATTTTTGTGGGTGCACAGTAGGTGTATATATTTATAGGATACATGAGATATTTTCATATAGGCATACACTGCATAACAATCACATTGGGGTAAGTAAGGTCTCCATCAACTTAAGCATTTATCTTTTTTTTGTATTACAAACAATTCAATTATACTTTTAATTATTTTAAAATGTACAATAAATTATTGTTGGCTGCTTTCACCCTCTTGCACTATCAAATACCAGATCTTATTTATTTTATCTAACTATATTTTGTACCTATTAACCATCCCCACTTCCTCCCACCCAGTTTGTATAGCTTGTGTTTTACATTTAGATCTATTTTCTATTATATTCCTTAATGTTTTTATGAAGTAGTAAGGCATTATGTTTTTAGGATCCATCTGTTTTCCTATGTATCCATTTAATCTGTGGTTTAATTGTTGTATAGACCTCCATAGTGTGCATCTGCAAGTTCATCTGTCCACTTTCCCTGTGACAGGCCACTAATTTGCCTCCAACTTCTTGTCACCACAAATAATGCTAAAGCAAATATCTTCATACATGTTCCCTCATGGATCTATATGAAAATTCTTTAGATTCATGCTCAAGATTGGAATTACCGAATTATGGAGCATACTTAATCAAATCAAGAAGTGGCAGGGTGCTTGCCAGCATGGCTGCACCATTCTGCACTCTTGTGTTATCTAGCTTTCTGATTTTTGCCAGTCTAATAGCTGTAAAAGATCCCACTGTTACTTAAATTTGTATTTCTCAAATAATCATTGATTTATTATATTTTACTTTATTTTGTTTTTTGAGACAAGGTCTTACTCTGTCACCCATGCTGGAGTTCAGTGGCACACTCTTGGCTCATTGCAACCTCTACCTCCTGGGCTCAAGCGATCCTCCCACCTCAGCCTCCCAAGTAGCTGAGACTACAGGTGTGCCCCACTGTGCCTGGCTAACTTTTGTATTTTTGTAGAGACAGGGTTTTTGCCATGTTGTCCTGGCTGGTCTCGAAATCTTAGGCTCAAGTGATCCACCTGCTTTGGCATCTCAAAATGCTGGGATTACAGGTGTAAGCCACCGTACCAGGACTGATTTATTATATTTTAAATTCTGATATAAGAGGCCACTGCAATAATAAGGTAATTTTTTTATTTCTAAAAAGTGAATACAAGTTAACTTGTAATTATCTGAATTAATAAATGTTTTCAGAAATTAAAATAACTTAAACAGTCCCTTCTTGTCTAAGAAGTAAAATGATGAAAAACAAAAACCCCAGATTTACTTTATGAATAAATATAAAGAGAAGGACTTTCAATCAATGTGAGGCCCTTGAAACTGAACTCAACCTGATAATTAAGGGAGTCTAGTTGATGTGGAATTTCAAAGTAATATTTGAATGAGAGGTAATTTTTAAACAAATAAATTTCCAGGTCATATAGTGGTTAGATAGTTGACTTTTGAACATCAGCTGTCTTGGAAATGAAGAATAAGACTGTGCTGCATGTTAGGAAGCCTCTTGACTCACAATAAATAAGTGTTTTTCTGTGAATGGAAGCAAAGAGATGTCCTGGAATATGGAAACAGATACCATAGGACTCCAAATTCTGTAAAACAAATAGGAGTGGAATCACTTCGAATTTTCTTTTCCTTCTGATATTGCTTGGTTTATTTTGCTTAATCAACAAACGTTTATTTCTTATGGTTTGGGAGGCTGGGAAGTCCAATATCAAAGCACTGGCAGACTCTGTGTCTGGTGAGGATCTGCTTCCTAATTCAAAGAATGGTATCTTCTCACTGTGTCCTGTCATGGTGGAGGGCAAAGCTAGCTCTCTATGGACTCGTATCAGGAAACTAGCCCCAATTACGAGGCCTCCATCTTCATGATGTCATCTAATCCTACCAATCAGCAGAGACATGGCCTCCAAACACCATCACATTAAGTGGTAGGGTTTCAACATATGAATTTGGGGGGACATACACTCAGCCAAAACCTCTGGCCCCCCCACATCCATGTCCTCACATGTAAGATATATTCATCCCATCCCCAAAACCTCAAAAGTCTTAACTAATTCCAGCATGAACTCTAATGTTTAAACTCAAATTCCAAAGTGTTGTTTCAATATCATGTAAGTCAGGTATGGGTGAGATTTTCCTTCTGAAAATCTCAGTTTTAAAACTCTTGACTTGTCTTCAAAGTTAAAAAAGAAAAGAGTTTATTACAAATATCATAGCAAGGTTACAAGTTCTTTGATTTTACACTTGTGAGAACTAGTTTCAAAGTAAGTTCTCAATTCAATTCTTTGAATTAAATTGAAAAAGAAAACTGCGCCGGAGAGAAAGGGTCAACATCTAAAGAGAGAAGCTAGAAATTGTTCTAATGGTGACTGTCATGTGAGGGTGTCATAAGACCCTAAGATATCTATAGTAAAAAGAAATTTCCATCTCTGTCAGTGAGGCTACAGGAAAACAGGCACCTTCTACACTTCTGGGAAACATTGGTATAACTCCTCTGAGAGGCATTTTGGCAATATCTGTGAAATTTTCATATGCATCTACACTCAGATCCATGGATCTATGGAAATCCTGTTCAGGTTGGACTCAATCTGGAAGCTATTTCTTCCCAAAAGGAACTGAATACAAATCTCACTGAAAGCCTCAGTATGGGAGAACACAGAAGTACTGATAGACAAAGAGCTGTGAATGTGGAAAACAGTGCTGATCTCAAGGCATAAGAAGCTGGTTGCAGGTTCAGCACAATGTATTCAAGAAAAGCTAAACCTATGAACCAGGGAGATGTCTTGCTAAAACTCTGAACTTTTGAGCAACTGTAGATGGCGATTTTGAGAATTCTTTTAAATGAGTTGTAAGAAAGCAGTCATTGTTGGGCAAACTGATATGTGACAAGAAAAGAGGGTGTTACTTTGAGGAGGGTCAGTAAAGCCTGGATAATCTAGGAAGTGAAATCCAGTTAAGAACAGAAACATTTCCTAAGAATTACCTAAGAATTTCCACCACTTCTTTTGCGAAGAGACAATGGAATATGACACCAGAATGCCTCTGCGCAGTGTTTGTTGTAGTATTAGGTGTGGGTATAATTCGTGAACTGCTTGGGTTTTCTTTTATACTATGGTTCGGCCAGTTTCAATTGGTCCTTGAATTGTTTTTATAAAGCCCCAACCGAAGAACTCCTCCAATATTGTTATAGATAACAATCAGTGCTGAGTGGACCCACATTGACAGTTGCAGTCAGTTGCCCAGGTGGACTGTGGCCCTGGCAGCATGGCGCCTGGGTGTTCTGTCTGGGGTGCTACTTGTTACAATGGCACTGGACAAGAAATGATGTCCATCATGGTGACTGGCCCCACGAGAAAAGAGCACTTTATGTTTAGTACATTCTGTTCCAGAAAGTAAGGAAGTATGTAATTTATTATAGAAATAGTGACATATAATGAGTACTTTTTAAGAAAAGTTCCAGTGCTCTAAAGCAGTGGTTCTCTAACATTACTGTAATCTTAATCACTTGGAGTGCTATTAAAACAGATTGCTGGGTTCCATCCAGACTTTCTGATTCAGTAGGTCTGGAGTGGGGACCGGAGAAGTTGCATGCTTCCATTATCTGGAACATCATGTGGTAAGTTTCTTATTTTTCATGATTCTGAACACTTAAGATATATTGCTAAAAAGCTGGAAGCATTCCCCTTGAAAACCAGCACAAGACAAGGACGCCCTTTCTCACCACTCCTATTCAACATAGTGTTGGAAGTTCTGGCCAGGGCAATCAGGGAAGAGAAATAAAGAGTATTCAAATAGGAAGAAAAGTCAAACTGTCTCTGTTTGCAGATGACATGATCCTATATCTAGAAAACCCCATCATCTCAGCCCAAAAGCTCCTTAAACTGATAAAAAACTTCAGCATAGTCTCAGGATAAAAATTCAATGCGCAAAAATCACAAGCATTCCTATACACCAACAACAGACAATCAGAGAGCCAAATCATGAATGAACTCCCATTCACAGTTGCTACAAAGAATAAAATACCTAGGAACACAGCTAACAATGGAAGTGAAGGACCTCTTTAAGGAGAACTATAAACCACTGCTCAAGGAAATTGGAGAGGACACAAACAAATGGAAAAACATTCCATGCATATGGATAGGAAGAATCAATATCGTGAAAATGGCCATACTGTCCAAAGTAATTTATAGATTCAATCCTATTCCCATTAAACTACCATTGACAGGAACTTAAACAAATTTACAAGAAAAAAACAACCCCATTAAAAAGTAAGCAAAAGACATAGACAGACACTTCTCAAAATAAGACATTTATGTGGCCAAGAAACGTGAAAAAAAGCTCAATGTCACTGATTATTAAATAAATGCAAATCAAAACCATAATGAGATACCATCTCACACCAGTCAGAATGGCGATTATTAAAAAGTCAAGAAACAACAGATGCTGGCGAGGCTGTGGAGAAATAGGAACACTTTTACACTGTTGATGGGACTGTAAACTAGTTAAACCATTGTGGAAGACAGTGCGATGATTCCTCAAAGACCTAGAACCAGAAAGGTAACCGCCCAATGGGTTCACCTTGCCCGCTGCCTAGACAGAGCCGATTTATCAAGACAGGGGAATTGCAGTGGAGAAAGAGTAATTCACACAGAGCCGTTGTGCAGGAGACTGGAATTTTATTATTACTCAAATCAGTCTCCCCAGGCATTCGGGGTCAGAGTTTTTAAAGACAATTTGGCGGACAGGGGCTTGGGAAGTGGGGAGTGCTGACTGCCTAGGTTGGAGATGGAATCATAGGGGGTCAAAGTGAGTTTTTCTTGCTGTGTTCTGTTTCTGGGTGGGATGGCAGAACTGGTTGAGCCAGATTACCGGTCTAGGTGGTCTCAGCTGATCCATCAAGTACAGGGTCTGAAAAATATCTCAAGCACTGATCTTAGGTTTTACAATGGTGATTTTCTCCCCAGAAGGAATCTGGGGAGGTTCAGACTCTTGGAGCCAGAGGTTGCATGACCCCTGAACTGTAATTTCTAATCCTGTAGCTAATTTGTTAGTCCTGCAAAGGCAGACTGGTCCTCAGGTGAGAAAGGGGTCTTTTTGGGAAAGGACTGTTATCCATTTTGTTTCAGAGTCAAACCATGAGCTGAATTCCTTCCCAAAGTTAGTTTGGTCTATGCCCAGGAATAAACAAGGACAGCTTAAAGGTTAGAAGCAAGATAGGAGTTGGTTAGGTCTGATTTCCTTCACTGGCATAATTTCCTCAACTATAATTTTGCAAAGGCGATTTCAGAAATACCATTAGATCCAGCTATCCCATTATTGGGTATAAACCCAAAGGAATATAAATAAATCATTCTATTACAAAGATACGTGCATGTATATGTTCATTGCAGCACTATTTGCAATAGCAAAGACATGGAATCAACCCAAATGCCCATCAATGATAGGCTGGATAAAGAAAATGTGGTACATATACAGCATGGAATGCTATGCAGCCATGAAAAGGAATGAGATCATGTCCTTTGCAGAGACATGGATGGAGCTCGAAGCTATTATCCTCAGCAAACTAACACAGGAACAGAAAACCAAACACCACATGTTCTCACTTACAAGTGGGGGCTGAACAATGAGAACACATGGACACAGGGAGGGGAACAACACACACTGGGGTCTGTTGTGGGGGCACAGGGGTAGGGAGAGCATCAGAATAAATAGTTAATACCTAGGCAATGGGGCTTAATATCTAGGTGATGGGTTGAAAGATGCAGCAAACCACCATGGCACATGTTTACCTATGTAAGAAACCTGCATATGGGGGCCCCAGGCTTCAGACCCTTCACAGAATCCTTAGGGTGTCTGCTTCAGAGAGTGTCTTCGTAGCTCCTGGCATCCTCATTTTCCCTCCTGATGTCAGCTATGTGGTTCCCCCTGCCCTGCACATATATCCTGGAACTTTAAATTAAAATAAAAAATAAAACAATAAAAATTTTAAAAAATGACCTGAATAGACATTTCTATATGAAGACATACAGATATGTGAAAAATATGCTCAAAATCACTAATCATTAGAGAAACCACAATGAAATATCACCTCACACCTGTAACAATGGCTACTGTCAAAAAGATGAAAGATAACAAGTGTTGGCAAGAATGTGGAGAAAAGGGAACCCCTGTACTCTGTTGGTGAGAATGTAAATTAGTACAGCCATTATAAAAAACTGAATGGAGGCTACTTGAAACACTCAAAACGGAATTATCATATGATCCAGCAACCTCACTTCCGAGTATTTACCCCCCAAATTTAAAGTCAGTTTGTCAAAGAAATATCTGCACTCTCATGTTCATTGTAGCATTATTCATTTGGCTGGAATTAGAGAACATTATGCTAAGTGAGATAAGCCAGGCACAGAAAGATAACTATCTCATGTTCTTACTTTACGTGGCATCTAAAACAACTGAACTCATAGAAGTGACAATAAAATGGTAGTTACCAGAGTCTGGGGCAACCACCCTTCTACATTCTGACTCTTATAAATTTGACTACTCTAGATACTTCATGTAAGTGAGATAGTACAGTATTTGCCTTTTTTTGTGATTGGCTTATTTCACTTAGTTTAATGTCCTCCAGGTTCATCCACGTTGTAGCATGAAAGAAACACCTATTTACTATCTCACAGTTTTCTGTAGGTCAGAAGTGCAGACACAGTGCAGCTGGTATGGGATAGTGGAGGAGATTGTGCATGTGTCAGGGAAATGGGTATTTGAGAGCTCCCTGTACTGTCCACTCAATTTTGCCGTGAACCTAAAACTGGCATTAAAAAAAACTATTAAAAAAGAAAGATGTATTGCTAAGTGACATGGGAAGCAGGGTGCTCATTACAACCGATCCTGCTTCCTTTCCTGCACCCAAGGCTCCCAGGACCGCTCTGCTGTGCTTCCTTCATCCTTCCAGCAGCACCTACATCCAAATTGGAATCTAAAGTGGGAGTTACCTCTTGACTTTCACTCTTCTCTTTCTTAATTATTTTCTTCCCTTTCTTTCATTTCTTGGCACTAATACATGTAAAGCAATTGTGAATAATACATGACAATAGAATTGAGCAATTAGGTTTTAGGTGTTCACAGAAAGGAACAATTAGGAAAGACCCATGGTGGAATTAAACTATAAGCTTGACCTTGATAGAAGGATGACATTTTACTCATCAGACGGAAGACAGCATACATGTCAGACCCAGGCAGCATCTTGGGCAAAGGCCCAGAGGCGGGACACTGGAGAGGCAGGCCTGAAAAGAGAGGTAGTGGAGAGTACTAAGATGGAAGTTTGAACAGGAAGTATGTGGCTGGAGAGCCAGGCAGCGTTCAGAGTTGACTTAGTAAGACATGGAAAGGTGTGGAAGGTTTTATGGTGATTAAAGGCCTGTTTCAAGCAGATTAGTTAGGAGATGGAGTGACAGGGTGGCTTGACAGTGGAGACTACCTAGCAGGCTGTTCTGGAAATTCAACCTGTATGAGCCAGCACTGGTCTCCTTCTTAACCACCTGAAATGTGTCTGATCCATGACATCCCTAGATATGATTTCCTCAGTGTGTCTGGGTAAGCTGGGCCACATTATGTTCTGCTCATTTTCTTAAAGTTTCTAAACTTTCTAAAAATCACTTTCACTTGCAGTATTTCATGTCATTCATTGTTCAAACTGGTACACATATATGTATCTCAAATACATATATGTATCTTATCCTTTTAAGCTCAAAATTTTACTTTCCATTTCACAAAATTGGTTATTACTTCTGAATTAGCCTTTAATTTCCTTATACCACCTCACTTTCTCATCTCTCCAAGCTTTTGTTTTTCCTGCCTCAATAACTTTTCTCCTCATTTAATTATCTAAACGTATACTATCTTTACATTCTTTTTCTACCTGGCTTAGTTTAGAGGTAAGCGTTTCTGTTGCCTGATCATCAAACTCACTAAAATATACAGTGACAGATGGTTTTTTTCTTCCCAATGTTGTTTCCACTTAATTTATGTCATCTATGATTCATAGATCATCTCAGAATAAAAGCAGGATATTTTCCTCATTCGAATAAGAGAATTCAAGCATTGTCCTTTATGTTATATGACTAACCCACATTTCCCTGGGCCATCGTGACAAAACAGCAATGTGTGGCTCAGTCTTTATTAGTAAAATATGGGGACCCCAGGCCTCAGACCCTTCACAGAACTCTTAGGGTATCTGCTTCAGAGGGTGTCTTCCTAGCTCCTGGCATCCTCATTTTCTCTCCTGATATCAGCCATGTGATTCCCTCTGCCCTGACATCCCCCTGCACACCCAACAGTGGCACATGCATGGCTGCTTCTTAATTGCGTTCTCAATGGCTTTCTTGCCACCCTTCTCTCCCAGCTTGCCCTCTTCCTGAGCCCTAAAGCACATGTTACTTGTGCTCTGGTTTACAGGGGCTCTGTTCTTTATTGCCCCTTTCCAGGAAGAAAGCACGAGTCCCAAAGCTGGGCTGAGCGGCAGTCATAGGGACACCTCACTGTGCTGCCTCACCACGTTGCCTCACGGACCAGAGGAATGTATACTTTGGGTACATTCTTCCAATGCACTTAGATTAAGCATGTGCACCTTAACTCTCATCTCAGGGAACAAACAGAATCATGAATTACTTTGAGTGATTCAGATAGCTTATTCCATAAGCTTTGGACATTTTTAGATAGTTTCTACTATCTAACCCTATCTTTGAGAAATTTGAAAACATTTTCCCAACGTTCCTATTTCTTACACCCTCCCTAGATGCTATACTTATGGTCTCAATGTGTCCATGAATGTGAATCAAAACCACGAGCTCTGTCAGCTCCCAAATACCATCAAAATATCCAAATGTCCAATGTACAAATATTAGCTCTCACTCATTCATTGAAAATTATATTTTTAGCATCTCCTCTGTGCTAGGCATTGTTCTCAGCACTTGGATTATAGCAGTAAACAGGGCAGACAAAATCTCTGCTCTCAGAAAATGTGTATTTTCATAGAAGAGAGTTAACAAATAAATAATTTCAGAGAGTAATAAGTACTGTGAAGAAAATAATACAAGCTAATATGATAGACAGTGATAAGGATGGTGAAGGAGGCCTCCTTGAAGAGGTTTTGCTGGAGACCTCCATGATAAGAGGGAGGCAGTAGGGAGATGTCCTAGGCAGAGAATACTCCAAGTAGGAGAAAGATTAAGTGTAAAGACCTTGGAAGAATTGGAAGCAGGAGCACCAGTGAGCCTGGAATGTAATGTAAATGGGGGATGGGGAGTGAAGGGAATGATGAGGGGTGAGATAAGAGAGGGAAAGGTCATATTACCTAGGGGGATAAAGAGATTGGATTTTATTTGAATACTACAAGAAGCCATTGAAAAATTTAACCAGTGGAAGATCATGATCTGATTTAAGTCTTTTAAAAAAGTGAGGTATAATTCACATAACTTTAGTATTTTAAAGTGTACATTTCACTGGTTCTTAGCATTTCACAATGCATGTATCCATCATCACAAATTCCAGAACATTTGTATCATTCCCCCACAAAAACCCTGTACCTCTTAACTGTTACTCCCCATTCTACCTTCCCCTCAGCCCCTGGCAACCACTAATTTACTTTTGGTCTCTATGGATTTGCCTGTCCTGGACATTTCATAAATAGACTCATACAGCCTATTGTGTCTGTTTTCTTTCATTTATCATAATGTTTTCAAGGTTTATTCACACTGCAGCATGTAACAGTACTTTATTCCTTTTCTATGGCAGAATAATATTTCATTGTGTGTATATACCACATTTTGTTTATCCATTCATCAGTTAATGAGCATTTAGGCTGTTCCACTTTTTGGCTATTATGAATAATACTTCTATACATATTCATATATAAGTTTTTATATAAACATATGCTTTCATTTCTCTTGGGTATATAACTAGGGCTGGAATTGCTCGGTTATATGGTAATTTAATGTTTAACTTTTTGAGGAACTGCCAAACTCTTTTCCAAAGTAGCTGTACCATTTTATATTCCCACCAGCAATGTATGATGGTTCCAGTTTCTCCACATCATGGACAACATTTGTTATTTTCTGTTTTTGTGTTTATAGCCATCCTAGTAAGTGTGAAGTGTTATCTCATTGTAGTTTTAATTTGCATATCCCTAATGACTAATGGTGTTGAGAATTATTTCATGTGCTTATTGTTTTATGTATGTCTTCTTTGGAGATATTTCTATACGAGTCCTTTCCCCACTGTAAAATGGAATTTTTTTTATTGTTGAGTTGTAAGAGTTCTTTATATATTCAGCATACTTGGCCCTTATGAGATATATGATTTATAAAAATTTTCTCCCATTCTGTGAGTTGCCTTTTCACTTTCTTGTTAGCATCCTTTCACCTTATGTAAGTTTTTAAGCTATGTAGAAGATGGACTGTTGAGACAAGAAGAGGAACAGGGAGACGAATTGGAAACTATTGTGGTAATCCAGACAAGAAGATAATGGCTTGGATGGTAGACAAGGTTCTGGGTTTAAATTATTATTGCCAGCTCTAGATAGGCAGTGTTAAATCAGCTGTCTGAAACTTAATTCCACTTTATATTGTTTTGAGTCCAAGAGAGAAAACTGTGGCACAACTGTTTGTGAGGCTTGTCCATAGAATCAGGGGTCAGTCCTATCATGTGGTCTCAAGTGGCTCTGGACTTGTTGTATAAATTCTGACCATGGCTTTAGATTTTGGAGAACCAAATAGCAAATCCCACCCACAAAAGATGGGAAATTTTATTAGTAAATTTATTAATAAATGAATGGAATGGGCAGAAATGGAAACTCTTAAGGTAAAGAGAATATGCCATTTTCTTGGGTTGAGGGAGAAAAACAACTCAAAGGCCTGTGCCTGGACCATTCATCCCAAGTAATGAAGTTTCTTCAGGAAACCGAGGAGGAATTGGGTTGATTTGAAACTTATACTTCAGTCTGACTGTAAGAGCAGAGGAAGTGGGAAAATAAAAACAAAATAAAAGAAGACAAGATGATTAGCTGGAGGGAGAATAAACTTTTCTTAGGAAACAGAGTGAGTGCTTAGCTGGAGGTGAATCATCTAGGAAGGTCAATATGAGCTCTTGGAGGTCAGGATGGGTATGCCACCCAAAAGCAGTAGGAGGTGTAAACACCTAATTGTTCATGAAGAGGAATTTAGAAAAGGTGAAGATGTTTTAACTATTATTAGCGCAGGAGTAGTGACTGGGCCCAGTGAAAACAAATAAAAGGGATAAGATCTCTGAGTGAATCCCTTTGCCTGCAAGAAGCCAGATCCAGAAACAAATTGAGAGGCTCTCCTGAAAGGTGCAGATGAAGAATCCATAGTAAGAGCAATTGGAACAGCTTTTTGATTACTGGTGTGGTTATACCAAGTGGTCACAAATAATGTAGGGAGATTTGCATGGGGAAGACCAGGTACATAAGCATAAAATATTCAAATAGTTGCCAAATGGTTAGATTCAGGGACAGACAGTTAATGCAGATGGTGCCTGTTCTATGAGGGCACCTGTCAGAGAAATTTATAAGGTTGGCATTTTAAGGGAAGGCACAGTAGATATGAAAAACATAAATGGAGAGCCAGACAGAACAATAATCAGCCAAGTCTGGGCCTAGATTGGATGTTGGTTTGATGGGATAATATCTCCCAGGTGAGTCGTTCCTACAAGGGTGGGAGAAAGTCGCTAAGATTTGTTTGAATAGTGTAGCTTTTGGTAGCCCTCAACTTTATTGATTTCATATCTCTCACTAAGGTGGAGCCCTACACATCAAACCTAGAGCAATATGTTAGGAAAACTATTTTCTGAGCCAGAAGGCAAAGAGAAAATAGGGCGGAAGGAAGGAAGGCCCTTAATCCCAGCCCTATATGTGTTAGAAAAGGAATCAACCCAATTAAGAAGTAGTTTAAATTTTTAGAAATTCAACTGGGTCTTTCTTGAAAGGCAAGGGTAAGAGCAGAGGGAATGAAGCACCAGAGGCCTATATTAGAACTTCACTTAAAGATACACCAGGCAGCAATGCTACTTAAGGCCTAGAATATTAAAAAAATGGAGGAAAGATGGTAAATCAAGGACTCTATTGGAGAGGAATTGATTCTCATAAACCACTAGAAACAAACTCTGAAGCATTAACAGTCATTCAGTTGGGAAATCTGCTAAGGTTGATTCTTCAGCTGAATCAAATGTGATGACTAGGCAAAAATCCCTTCCCTAAACAGATTTTATAGCCCTACGTAATTTCATGGCAAGTGGAAATGGAAGCACCCTTTGTGGCTCAGGCCTGAAAAGGTCTGCTCACAGGTTGTTGATGAGGCTCACATTCAGTTCTGCTCTGGGGTGCCAGAAACGTGGGATTCAAAGGGAAAATGAAAAATTAGATTATGAATAAGTAGAAAGGTGGGGGTGCCTGTGATGATTAATACTGAGTGTCAACTTGATTGGAATGAAGTATGCAAAGTATTGATCCCGGGTGTGTCTGTGAGGGTGTTGCTAAAGGAGATTAACATTTGAGTCAGTGGGCTGGGAAAGGCAGACCCACCCTTAATCTGGGTGGGCAGCATCTAATCAGCTGCTAGTGCCCCTAGAATATAAAGCAGGCAGAAAAACGTGAAAAGTCAGCCTACATCTTTCTCCCATGGTGGATGCTTCCTGCCCTCGAACATTGGACTTCAAGTTCTTCAGCTTTGGGACTCCGACTGGCTTCCTTGCTCCTCAGCTTGCAGACGGCCTACTGTGGGACCTTGTGAGCACGTGAGTTTAATACTCCTTAATAAACTCCCCTTGAGATATATATCTATACCTATCTATCTATCCTATTAGTTCTGTCCCTCTAGAGAACCCTAACTAATACACGCCTCAAATAAAGCCTAGTGATTTGGGCTGACACAAGTTAAAGTTTTTAACTTTGCAAGAAGATTATGATGTCTCAAATGCTACTATCTTGCAAACAAGGCTATTTTCAGATCCCCACCACCTTCCTCCAGCCTCATCCTAGATATGTAGATATATGGTGTCAAAATTAACTACTAAATGGGAGGTTGATCCTGAGATTCACTGTAAATTCAGAGACTGTGAACTTCAGATAACTATCCCAGACTGACTCATATCATTGAGAGGTTAAACCAAGATACTTGTTTTTGGTCTGACCTGCTTCTATCTAGTACCAATGAATCTCTGCTAGGGTCTTTGACAATACTAACTCTGGGCTCTGGAATTGTATATTATATGATAGCAAGATTGGCTTATTTTCTGGATTTGGTGGGTCAGGGGCCCATGCTGGGATAGTCTTCTGTATTCTATTAAGTCTTGGAGCCTTTAAACACAGGACATAGTAGAGATGCATTCAACTGCTAAAGTCCTAAAGGACCTACATCCATTCCATAGAAGATAGCCCAGGTTGCAGCTGCCTACTCCCCACCCACTGCCCCAGACACTCTTAGCTGAGACTAGGCAAAGTATTAATAAGAAATTGAAGAGGATAAACTTTAAACTTCAATTTCTTTGGATTTTTAACTCCCAAGTGCATGAGAATGTGATTTTGGACTTTAATTCTTTTGACCTCTAAAATCCTTGGACTAATTTCCATTGAGATTTAATTTTTAACTTTAATTTCCTCCCAGGAAAATCCATCTAAGAAGGCAATTAATATTCAAATCTGGGACTTTGTTTGTTGTTGGCAGTTTTATTATTGGAGTATTTTTATATTGTTATTTTCATCATTGCCAAACCTTATATTAGACAATGTGGCTAGACATAGTTTGGGAAAGGAAATAAAAAGAGAAATAATTTTCAGTTTGGATGCAGGTTTTAGAATTAATTTAATCAATGTGCTATTCTGGCCCATTTTAGAGTCCATGGGGTTAAAAATAAAACACTGCCCACCAGCATCCCAGAACAGCCATGGTTGGTGTTGGAGGAATAATTTTTTGAAGATGGGATGAGGATTTTTAATCTTGTGCCCCATGGAGGGAAGCCACGCCACTAGTTGATGGTTAAGCAAATGGGGTAAGAGAACAAAAATTGGGGGAGTTTTAGAGGCGGGTAATCTTCTTTCCTATAACTTGCTTATAACCTTCCTGCCTCTTTACTCATCATCACTCACTCCTCCCAGAACTTGTCAGACTTTCAGCCCATACAGGCAGTGCTGGATAATGCCAGCATGCTCCTCCTACAACCTCCCTCCTCAAGATCTGTCTGCCTGCATCCAAAATGTGTAGTCTGCCCTATACCTCTGCTGCAGGTACTACAGGATCAGGCACTCTCTGCCCTGCACAGTGAAGTCTGTGGTGGTCCATGCCACCTGGGACTGGGTAGGAAGGCTGTCTAGCTGTGAGTTCACTATTAGGATGCCTTCTTACCTGCAGGCAGAAGAATGAGCTGTCAATATTAGCTGTAATACTGATAAAGGTAATATTTTGACCTCCATTTGTCTCCATTTGTCTGACTTTTGTGTCTATTTTCAGTTGGTTCTTAACTGGAGATGGGAATGTAAGTGTTGATTATTAGGCCCTCTTTAACTCTATTAGGATTACTATAAATTTTTTGAGATAGACCTGATAGGGCTTGCCAAGTTAGAATTAATTTGAGCTAGTTAATTAAAATTAATTAGAGCTAATTCAGTGTGGGTTATGAGGAAAAATGACAAATCAAAGATGATTTCTAGGTTTTTGGCTTAAGTCACTAAGTAAATAGTGGTTCTATTTAATGATGTAAAAGCCCTAATTCTGAGCTTAGAGGTGTACATGTGGTGAGAATGATGTGCATGTGTCAGGGGAGGGTATATATGTGGTGAGTGATTTTTGGAGAGGAGGGTATAAATACAGGGACAATGGCTTAGTAAGGATGAGATGGCTTGGGGGCAGGGAGAATGAGCCAGAGGCCATTGATTTAGTTCCACATAAGAGATAAGGGCTTTGAGTAGGGTACTGGAAATAGAGAAAGGGGATTTAAGTTTGGAGACATTTAGGAGGTAGAATTAATAGACTTGGTGACCTGTTGGATATGGATAGAGGGATGTGAAGAAGGAGTTGAGAGAGAATCCAGGGTTTCAAGTTTATGGACTTTCTCACCTAACTTAAACATTAGGTAGTTACATAAAGCTGTTCATTTGATAGATTCTGCCATTTTGAATGTGACAACTCTTTCAGCCACAATAAAAACATGCAGGGTATAGAGAAAGGAATATGGAAGGATAAACTTCTCTAGAGACTAAGTCTTTGGTTCAAGAGCAAACAAAAATCCCACAACTATTCAAAACCTTTGAAAGCAGCAGCTAAGGTGGATCTTTTGGTTGTGGTCATCTTGATTTTATTAATAGACATGATACACTAGATCAGGGATCGGTAAACTTTTTCTGTAAGGAACCAGATAGTAAATATCTTAGGCTTTGTGGAACATGGTCACTGTGGCAACTACTGTATTTTGTTATTTTAGTGCGAAAGCAGTCATAGACAACAGGGTAATGAATGGGCATAACTTTTCTCATAAAACAGTGGGCTGGATTTGGCTTACAGGCCATAAACACAGTTTGCTAACCTTCATAACAATACCTTGTATGAGTGATGAGGTTGCCTTTCCCTTAACCCTTACTAGAGGGCAATGGCTTGTCCAAAGACTAGTTAATAAAAGGAGGCCTTGCAATGTTATACAAGGTTGGGAGGGAAGTGGTGCTCTTTTGATTGATGAGTCAACAGCAGCAAGGGGAATATGACTCCCATACATGGACCTGTCAAAAGCTGTTGGCAGGAGATTAACTCTCCAGTGCAAGACGCATGACTTTTTTAATGGGCTGGACAAAGAAGAGAGGGGGAAGGAAAAAGAAAACAAATTTATCCAGGCAGTGTTTTTCTGACCACATCTCTATCTTCAGGATATAAACCTTCCCTCTCCTCCCATCCAGCAGCAGGAACAGGCGGAAGAATGGTTGTGACTCCTAGCCTGTGCCAGGGACTGACAGGATTTCCAGGTCACAGGAGGAGGCCAAAGGCTTGCTAATACTGGGGAAGGGCCACTTCTGAAGAGGGAGGGTAGGGATAACATAGGGGAAGGGAGAAGATGGGAAAGCACTGAGGGCAGGGGAGAAGAGGGTGGTGTGATGAGAGACAAGGGGTCTGGAAGAACACTTTCCATTGCCAAGGAAACATTCATGGGGGAATATCATCAAGGTCTGATCAGTGAGGCCTGTGCTCACAGATCATGCTCAGAGATGAAGCAGTTCAATAAGGAGGGCAATGGCGAACTTCTTTCCGCTACCAGATTTATACAGATTGGAATTTGTCTCAGAATTCTTAAGAACTGTTTGACCCTAGTGTGTTTGTGTGTGTTCACTTGGCCCAAGAAGGGGCTTAGACCCCTGGCCCCACCAGTTAATAACCAGAGACACTGAATGATATAAATGAAAACAAGAGAAGCTGAGAAAATTTGAATGTGATACACAATTACACAACTATAGAACTGCAAAGGACTGTAAAAGAGTATGTGACCTAGTCTTATGCCTTTAGAAAAGTTAGTCTTTCTTAATGATATGCCTAACAAAAGACCAGGCATTCTCTTTCAGTAATTCATTCAGATATTTTCACTCTGGCAGCCTGGAAGCTCTTCTTTATATCCAATAGAAATCTCTCCTACTTTACTTTCATTTTCTTTTATTCAATATGTGATATAGACAAAACCGAACCAAACCATCTTTTTCAAGAGCATTTTATAGTCATTCAGACGTAGTAGAGTGTCATTTATTAGGATGTTTGAACACTGGGAATAGCCAAACAAC
The DNA here is from genome assembly GCF_000001405.40 of Homo sapiens. Classification (NCBI taxonomy): domain Eukaryota; kingdom Metazoa; phylum Chordata; class Mammalia; order Primates; family Hominidae; genus Homo; species Homo sapiens. The sequence continues at coordinate 160,642,962 of NC_000003.12, forward strand.
AGACTTGTAATGATGTTTCCCTCTGCCAGTGTTGGCCCAGCATTCCAGATCATGCCATGCAGACAGGGTGGTGCAGATTATAATGGACAAATAGAAAATAACCTTGTCAGTGGCTATTCCAGGTGAAAAAAGTCTCATACATTTCAAAAGAAGTTCATTTACTACTGAGCAAAAAAACTCACTGTTGTACAGGCCAAAATAGATATTCAAAAAGGACAAGGGCTACAAAAGCAAACTGACATTGATGAATCTGTTCAAATGAGTGTTGCATTCACCTCTCCTTTAGTTTTGCTAGAAGCAATTTCAACAAATTGTGTTAGCAATTTTCTCATACTTCTCTCTGCAGACAACAATTTCACACTAAATAAAAATGGTTTACTTTTTGTATTATTGCATACTTCTTTTTGAGGGGTTGTTTTAAGGAAACTAATTTGCATTATGAATTTTTTTTTTAGTGTGAGAATCGAAAAGCATAAACTTTTTGTTGTTTTTGTCATCTCTCAATATTTAGGATTTTTCATAATGTGCCACATTTATTTTTGTTGTTGCTGTTGCCTTCAAGTAAACTAGATATCTTTGCTTAATGCCAGATGACAATAAATCCTTAATTCATGTTATATATAATCTACTTTTGGTGTTGTTGTTGTTGTTGTTGTTGTTGTTGTTGTTAGAGATAGGGTCTCACTTTGTTGTCTGGGCTGGAGTACAGTGGCACAGTCACAGCTCACTGTAACCTTAAACTTCTGGGCTCAAGAGATCCTCCTGTTTTGACCTCCAGAGCAGCTAGGACTACAGGCACATGCCAACATGCTGTCTAATTTTTAAATTTTTTTTGTAGAGACAAGGTCTTGCTATGTTGCCCAGCTTGGTCTCAAACTCCTGGGCTCAAGCGATCCTCCTGCCTTGGCCTCCCAAAGTGCTGAGATTACAGGCTACCTGCCTTGGCCTCCCAAAGTGCTGAGATTACAGGCTACTGTGCCTGGCATTTACTTTTATGGAATAAAATGTTTTTCTAAGACATACAAGGCTTTAAACTTTAAATAAATAAGTATTTATTTATTTAGATTGTTTAAAAAAATTCTGTTTTAGATACTATTGTGTATTATCAGGCCATGCTAGACTATGCCATGTAACAAACTGGCTGTCAAATCTCAGGGGCCTAACAGAACCGAGGTTTATTTCTTGTTCATGTTATGTTTTGTTTGGATCAGTAGGGGGCTGTCTTCCACACAGTCTTTCAAGGACCAAGGCTGATGGAGACTCTTACACTTTATAGCTGCATCATCTGGAACAGGAGGCCCCCATGGTGGCTGCAGCTGCAGAAGTAAGAGCTACAGAGTCATACTCTTAAATGCTTTGGTCTGGACGTGACACTCGTGGCATTTGCTCACTAAAAGATCTTTTATTCCCAAAATGTCCCTTTGCAGTTAAGATAAAGTGTCAACATTCACTTAATCCAGAATCTTCTGGTTGAATGATCTTCTCTTTAATAATGTCGTCTTTCATTCACCTCTTCTTAAGCAAATCCCAGTGTTGTTAGCCTTTCTATCTGTCAGCATGTTTAGTTGCAGACAAAAAACTCAACTCTAGCTCATTTAAATGGCAAGGGACTTGTTAAGGGAGACTAGAAAGCCTGATAATCACTGGAAAGGTAAAAAAAACACAGGTCCTACACTGAGCCAGAACCAAACTTGCAACAGATGCAATGGGGAAGCTACTGCTCCCACTGCTGACCTCAGAACCGTGACCTCTGGAACAGCCTGGGCCAGCAGAATAGATGTCTGGAATCTGCCTGTTTTTTGGGTTAGTTTTTCACCGGGTGCAACTAGAGCCAGAAACTAAGTTATAGGACCTAATTCTTGACTCTAGAGGCTAGAAAATTAAGAAATATTAAATTTTTAGAATTTACTTTGGGAAGACAGGACCCACAATGTGGGGAATTATCAAAATGTGGAGCGGTTTCTCAAAAGATTTGGGCTGCCATGAATAACAGATGTTCGCTAGACTTTCTTTTATAGAACTCCTTTTACTTGTAAAAACTTTTTTTTTTCTATTGCAGAAGTAATATAACTAAAGATAAGAAAGAAGTGCTCACACTGCTACCACCCTAACCAGGCTACTATTATTGTTTTGGTATTTTTCCTTTTTGCCCTTTTTCTGTGCAGAATTCTTTTATTAAATAGTAGATAAAATCACATGACAATAAATATTGATTTTCTAGTGAGATATTAGAATGCAAACATTTCCCCCATTTTATTACATTATGTTTAAAATAATAAATTTTAGTGTTTGTACAATATTGTGGCAGTCAGAATGGTGATTGTTGTAATTATAATAATGTGATGCAAGTCAATGGGTATAACTTCTCTGATTAAAATTGTATGTTTATTCTTTCAGCTGTGCTATAATTAAGCCAACATCTTGTTACCTTATTTTCCAGTTTTTGTCAGGATGTGTGACCTTCCAGAGACACAGTTCAACGCTAAATCTACATAAGGAAAATAATGCGAAAATTTCAGGCAATTGTTTTATAAGTACCAAAACATAATCAGATTCCACTCATTTGAGACACTCAGGATAGTCAAATTCATGAAGACAGAAAGTAGAAAGTAGTGGTTGCCAGAGGCTGGGGGAGGAAAGAGGAATGGACAGTTATTGTTTAACGGGTACAGAGTTTCATTTGGGAGGATGAAAAAGTTCTGAAGATGGATGGTGGTAATGGCAGCACAACATTGTGAATGTACTTAATGCCGCTGAACTCTACACTTAAAAGTGGTTAAGGTGGTAAATTTTAAGTTATTTATATTTTACCACAATAAAAAATTTAAATAAAGAAGTCATAACAGGAAAAAAAAAAAGCTAAAAAAAGCCTTCACTCTTTTGTAAAAGGAAATTTAGTATGTATCATCCATGCTGGCAGTTAGCCTTCCTTTACATAATGTCAGATAATTTTTTAAAATTCCAGATTCATTTATCTATGTCATCATAAACTTAAAGTAGTTTCTAATAATTACATAGAGCAAAATTCTGTTTTGTTAAGTTATACCAAAAGAGAAAAAAAGAGTCACACAAACTATAACCTTAATTGAAATCTATTCATTCGTTTGAAATATATGTACTGAGCACTCACAATGTCGAAGAATGCCAGGCCCTGTGTGAACACAAAGATGTATAATATATGATTCTCCTAAGAAGGAGACATTTAAGTTCTCTTATCAGGATGTTTTTTTTAAAAAGCAGCAGTACGTTGGACTGCCTTTTAAGTCTTAATATTTAAAGGTACTAAAAGAATATTGAATTGGTAGTCAAGAGACGTTGAGTTTTATTCACAATTCTAGCACTGTGTTATTTTGAACAAGTTACTCAAACTCTCTTGGCCTCCATTTTCTCATCTGTAAGGAGAAGTTATTAGACTAGGTGAGAGCTCAGATTTTTCATCTTGAACATCCTAAAAATACGTGAAATATCCCACAGGTTGTCTGTCAGTGTTTCTATGTCAAAAAAGAAGAAACACACACACACACCCCAACACACACACCCACACACCCCAATGATATTTGCATTGAGAAAACGTGTAAAGTGGATATCCTATATAAAATTCATGAAATACTAATATCACCTTAAAAACTATGATTAAAAGAACAATTATTCCTTAAGAGTGATCTATAACACTTGTAGTCTTGATCTGCTCAGAGTCTTTCAAAGTGTTAATGAACCACCGGACAAGATTTTTTCAAATAGGATCATTTAGTTATTTACACTTAGGTAATGGACTCAGCTAAAAGAGGGCAGTTACTATTTTTAAGGGCCTAATGGACAGCCGGGCTCTGAACAAAGCACTCTTCAAATGTAATCTCATTTAATGCTTGTAACAACCCAATGAAGAAGGTATTATCTTGTTTTATAGGTGAGGAAATGGAAACTTAAGGGTTAAGTAATTTGTCAAAAGCCATATAGCTTGCAAGTGGCAGAGCCAGTTTCCCAACCCAGGTCTGTCTGACTCCAGAGGCCAATGCTTTCCATCACAACCTGTTTTAATTAATATTTCTCTGAATTTAATTAATATTGATTTTCCTCTTATTATAACAGTCATATCTTATGTGAACTAATTTCTCATATCCTGATCATTATTTTTGGGTGTGGCTGAACCCAGCAAATCATTCAGGGAACCCAGGTGATTTTCAAAATAATTAAAGTTTAGGCCGAGTGTGGTGGCTTAAACCTGTAATCACAGCACTTTGGGATTTGTTTTGTAGATCTTTCTCTGAATTTAATTAATATTGATTTTCCTCTTATTATGATAATCACATCTTATTTGAACTAATTTCTCATATCCTGGTCATTATTTTTGGGTGTGGCTGAACCCAGCAAATCGTGAAGGGAACCCAGGTGATTTTCAAAATAATTAAAGATTAGGCTGAGCGTGGTGGCTTAAACCTGTAATCCCAGCACTTTCGGAGGCCGTGTATTAAGGAGGGTTGCTTGAGCCCAGGAGTTTGAGACCAGGCTGGGCAATATGGTGAGACCCTGACTCTATAAAAAATTTTAAAAAAATCAGCTGGGCATGGTGGTGCACACCTTTAGTCCCAGCTACTTGGGAGGCTGAGGTGGGAGGATCACTTGAGCCCAGGAGGTGGAGGTTTCAGTGAGCCATGTTTGCACCATTGCACTCCAGCTAGGCAACAGAGCGAGTACCTATCTCAAAATAAAAAAAAAACTTAAAATATCTTCTTAATTAAATTATTTGGCTATTTTGGGCAAACTTTTTTTTAAAATCTAAGCTGCTAGTAAAAATAGTAATATTGCCTATTAAAAATATGTATATATGCATATACACATATATATGCAAATATATAGAGGGCATCATTATTTCAGTCATAAATAATTTCCTACATATTCTAAGACTTCCCATATTTCTTTCTAAAATGAGGAAAAAAAAAGAGCTTTCCCACCATCCCCTAGTTACTCAGAACATCTAAGCCAAAATTTCTTTCTGAGTCTCAGTCATTCTTGGATATATCCTAAAGCAGTTTCTTTTTTATTTTTTCTTCCAAGTTTCTTTTGAAGGATATCCCTTTCTATTTATTTATGTAAAGATGGGGTCTTGCTATGTTGGCCAGGCTTGTCATGAACTCCTGGCCTCAAGCAATCCTCCTGCCTTTGCCCACCAAAGTTCTGGGATTGCAGGTGTGAGCCACTACATACAGCCAGATATCCCATTTTTAATCATTATTATTTAGCATGTAACTAGAACATCAGGCTTATAAAGCCTTTTGTAATTATTATCCAATAAATTCTTCCAGCAGCTTCTGAGGAGACCAACATTTTACAAAAAGGCAAAATGAGATGTAGATATATTAATTTATTTGGCCAGAGTGAAACAGTGCCTTTCCACAGACATAGCCAACGGACAGCTGGAGCAGTCTTGGATTATTAAGACAGAAATTCTGCTCCTGGAATGATAACATTTAATGTTGTACTGGTTTTATAATTGCAGAACAGTCCATTTAGCTTTGCAAATCAGCCAGTGATAGAGGTATCCTAAGAAAAAAATAGAGTTCCCAATTTGCTACCCAGAATGGATTCACCTGATTTTCCAGTGATTTTCAAGTGTTTGCCCTTAAGTAAATTGATAAAAGGCTGCTTTTGCTCTTCATTCTTCTTTTCAATTTTTGTATTGATTTAAAAATGATAGACATAATGCTGTTTTGTGTACAACAGGCTTCCTTGACACCATTTTAGCTTGCTCTTTTAATTCTTGTATTAACATGAAGCTTGATGCTAAATCAGAAGTATGAGAGAGAAGTGGCAGCTCTCCCCACAAATGGATGTCCTCCTGTATCTGACTTCTAGCCAGATCCACCTGAACATAGGTCCCTGCTATTAAATCAATATTTTCTGATTTGCTTTACTGTTCTCTCTTGGCAAAATGACTCCTATCTTTTAACCTTTCTGATGACTAAGCTGAATGTGTCTTTGGTTTGGATGAATAATTATATAGCTTAGTGAAGGTAGTAAATCTTTGCTATATGGCTAATAAATAACACTGTGGTATTTTATATTTGATTTCTTGATGCTTCAAATTTAGAGTTGATAAGCAGACTCTCCAGCATCATATTATAAATAAAATGCCAACTTTATTTAAAGTTTTATGTTAAGTCATATGATAATTTGACAATAATTTTGAATAGCAACAAAGGAAATGAAACACCAGCAGAATCTATTTCAGAAGGTGTGTCATCCTGTACATTTAGAATCAGAAAAAATAAAACTCCAGGAACAGAAGAACTAGTATGTTTTATTAGGTAAAATCTGAATCATAGTCTCTAGATTGATTCAATGGTAATTTTACAGATGGGGTATGTACTAATTTTTATGAAGTATAATTTAGAAATTTGGGAAGATAGATAATTAACATTACTGAGCAATTATTGACAGCCACCTTTGTAATTAATTTTTCTCCAAACTGTCCTTTAAGGATGTTTTCTGAAAATTAATTAGGATGTATTATTTAATTAGTTTAATTTAATATTTTAAATTAAATTCCTCTTTAAAAATATTTACATAAGGTCAGGTTTCTTGGAAAATTCAGATTAAATGGAAATAAATTTATGCAGCTGAGAAGTTTAACATATACGTTATATGTATGTATGTATATATATATCATAAATAAATATGAATTCGAACACTTCCGTTTGACCACTCTAATGTGATATACTTCAGTCTTTATGGAATTAATTGGGAAAGAAATTGAATTAGTAAAATGATGTTTCTGCCACTAGATTAGTCAGCTGACTCATTTCTTGGCAGGGGAAGTGAGGCTGCCCACATGAAGTAGTCACTAGACTGGGACCTAGAATGTCTGGGTCCAAACCCTGGCTCTGTTGATGATGAGTTACTTAATGTCTGTGCATCAGATCCCACACATAAAATGTTATAATGATATCTTTAGACTTAGGCAGATTGTGAAGGATATTTTATCAAGTGCTTATTAAATGCTTTGAAGTCTACAAATCCTGAATGTTATTAGATCACAATATTTAGGGTAAATAGAACATTAGATAGCTGCTTTCTCATTACCATCATATATGAATGGATTTCTTAGGATTGGGAAACTTACTTAGCTAAATATAGAGCCCAGTTGCTGGTGTTTGGAGGAAAAACTGCTATGTTGGACTCACTGAGCAATAGTGTGTCAGTCTCTAATGAAGCTTGGATATAGACTTATATGCCCTACTTGACTTTATTTATTTTGGTCTTCTGGAGATTTCATGATCAAATTATAAACTTCAAATTTTTTTTTTAACTTCAACTTATTTATTTTAACATTACCTTGGTACTGTCTAGTCCTTAAGGGCAGAGAGATATTTGCTTGAACCCAATCACAGAAATGTAAATGGTTTCATTACATATTGTTTTAATGACGTCTCTTTTATTACCAATGCTGTGATTATTGTATCACTGATTGTTGGGAACTCTAGGTTTTTAGTTGACCTGGTTACATGGATTTTACCATTTTTCCCCAAAAGGTGACAGTCCTGGGAATGACTTTTCCTCTCTAAAACATGGTTACAGAAGTACTTTCTTTAATAGTCCTCTAAGAATCTCCAAAGTAAAACAAACAAAAGGACTAACACAAAACCTCAGACTCCTCAATATCAGTAGGTTCATAAAATTATATGATCATTAAAGTTCTTTTAGGTCCAAAGAACTATAATTCTACAATTTCAAGTTGGAAAAAATCCCTCCTGGCAGTTTCCTCCGCTCCCCGCACCGGTGGATAATAACCAGGGATAGTCTGCAGCATTATGGTATCTGCAGTGTTCTGCCAGGACATGGGCATTGAGGAGAGCCCTGGGATGCTGGGGAACAATGGCAGATCACAGGAGGGTTCAAGGGCTGGAAGAATTTTTATTTCCAGGTGGGAGAGGCCTAAGCTAGGGTGAGGCAAGTGAGGCACCTTGGGTGCAAAATTAAAGGAGACAGTCACTCTCGGGGTCAGCTTGAGAGTGAGTGCCCCCTTAAACTTTGTTCCCCAGAAGCCTCGGCCTTGGGAAAAGTCTTAACAAGTCTTGTGCCAGGGAGTAGGCAACCAGCCACAACCCAGGAATTTTGAAGCAGTGAGTGTGAGTTGGAGAAGCCAATCAAATCAAATGAAGAGCTAGGTGGAGTTCTTTGTTTTTTGCTGCATACCGTTTCTGGCCTTGGAGCACTGAATTCCAGCATCTTCACAGCCCAAATGGCCTCCCATCATCTCCCACTCTCTCAGGGCACCCATGAAAAGGGAAGGAAAATTCTAGGGGTCAACATGGAGACAGCAGAGAAGAATTGAGGCATGGGGGAAAAAAGTAAGGTCAGAATGAATAGTGTACACAGAGGCTTGGCCCTGGGGTTCTTCCTAGGTCAGCAGTCTCTCTGGTTGCTTGGGCGTGGGTCCTTGAAGGAGTCCACACTGCCAGGTGACTTCAAAGCCCCTGCTCTTGGAGGAACCCTTTCCCGCTCTTGGTAGTTACTGCTCCCTTTGCACAGATCCAGGTAGCCAGACCTGTGTTTTCAATTCACAAAACTGAACTTAAAATCTCTATTACTGAACTTGAAATCTCTATTTCAAGCTTCCATTCTGTCTGATAACAGAAATATAGTTCAGTAGATTGCAGGTAATCATCTGTTTTTTAAAGAATAAATTCTGATAAACTCCATCAATTCAGAATTTCCCCCTTCCCCTTCATCTCCCTAGGTGGCATCTAAGTTCCAGGAGATGTGGGGTGAAGTGTTGGGTTCCTGACCCCCAATGCCCCTCCAGGCTGCCATTTGCTGCTAATGTCCCCATTGTCCAGTCATCAGTCCTAGTGCCTGCAGCTCCCTTATCCTGACTGTAGTGGTTCTCCCTGAGCCACATCCTCACCCCTCTTAGGAAAATGGGAAGCTGTTGGGTGTTCTCTTGTGCCCCTCTGGAGCTGTGGAGACATAGGGGGCTGTCTTAGACACATCTGTTGCCCCTTCTTCTCTTCTTTCCTGTTTACCCTGGCCCTACTTGAGAAGTGGTGACTCCTCTCTCAACTGCCCACCCCTGGGGCCTCAGCCAAATCTTGAAGTCACTCTCTCATTTGACCCTTCCCTCTCTTCAGCTTGGAGAATTATCTAACACTTCACTGTTTAATATAGTAGCCACTAGTCACATGTGGCTACTGAGCTATTGAAATGTGGTTAGTCCAAATGGAGATGTACTGAGAGTGAGAATGCACACCAATTTCAAAGACTTAGTATGAATAATAGATTGTGAAATATTGATAATTTCATGTCGAGATGGTATTTTTGAAATGTTGAATTAAATAAAGTATAGCATTACAATTAATTTCACTTATTTATTTTACTTTTTAAAAAATGTGGTCACTAGAAAAATTTAAATTGCACTGTTTTGCTTTTGGACAGAGCTGATCTAACAAGTATAAGGAAGTGTTATGGACTGGATTGTGTCTCCCCCCACCCACCCAATTCATATGTTGAAATCCTAACCCCCCACGTGACTGTATTTGGAGATAGGACCTGTGAGGAGGTAATTAAAGTTAACTGAGCTTGCAAGGGTGGGACACTAATCCATAGGACTGTTGTACTTATGGGAAGAGGAAGAGATACCAGGAGCTTATGGTGTGTACAGGAAAACCCACCTGAGGACACAGCAATGAGACATCTGTCTGCAAGCCAGGAAGAGAAGTCTCACCAGAAACCAACCCTGCCAACACCTTAAACTTGGACTCCCAGGCTTCAGAGCTGAGAGAGAGTAAATTTCTGTTGATGAAGCCACCTAGTCTCTGGTATTCTGTTGTGGCAGCCCTAGAAAACTAATACAGCAAGGAAAACTCACTCTGATATTATGCATTCTCCCAAAATTAAATGTTTATAGCATTAATTTTAGCCCGTGTTCCTCAAAAACCCATTCTTAGTCTATTGTCTGTGCCATGAATTAAAAAAAATCTATTTTGAAATTCAAAAGCAGAGTGAAAATGGATTCTATTGTTTTCTGTTGTCTGTTGTGACCTTCCTTTCCCAAGGCCATAGAAGCAGCTACCCTCTGCTGTCTGAAGTTGAGGGAGGAGTTACATAGCAAAAGGGAAATATGGAGAATGAAAAACACATTGGCAAATATCAAAATGTGCCTCAGCGATAGCAGTACATTTTGCCTTACCCTATGCTATCAAAAATCAGAAGGATCTGATTTTATTTGTCATTCATTAATTTGTTATGTATTTATTGCCTACAGATTGATTTTGTGTACTTTAGTGTGAATAGCTTTTGGACAGCATTTGCATGTCTGAAAATTTCAGGTCTTTAATTTCATAATGAAAGATATTTCTGTGAAAGAAATTGAAGGTATCATAGAAACTGTGATAGTGGTAGAGAGGTGGTTGAAGGTATTAAAATCCTGTTGTTCATATCATTATAGTTCAGAAAGTTTTGTTAACTATGGAAGAGACCTTGTTGTCCACCCTCAGCACAGATTCTACTTTGCTAGAAGTCCTATAGTTCCTGATGTGATGCGTATGGCACACACAGAGTCAGTCTTGGCTTCCAGACTAAATAGTATATATGGTGGTCCCTGGGGGACAGCAGAGGGCCAGAAAGGCAAGTCTTGCACTTAGAGGAACATGACCAGCTCATTTCATACTTTGTACTTCTCTGATGCACTAGGTATAACTGGGTCTGTTACTGACCTCACTGCATTATGCATGTTTTTTTTACTCTTCTGTGAACCTCTAGAGGGCAGGGAAATACAGCTTTCATCTCTAAATATTCCTTTGTACAATGCCTAGCATATAGTAAATGCAAGATAAAAGTGTTTGGAATTTTATAAAATGAATGCATGAATCCAACAACTTCTGCTCTCAAATCCTCACTTCAGATGTTCTCCTACCACTTATCTCTGTTGGCCTGGGTATTGCAGATAATCTTACTTCTGATCTTTTAAAAATCATTTCTGATAAACTCTATCAATTCAGAATTTCCCCTTTCTCCTTTGTCTGCTTAGCTGGCATCTAAGTTCTGGGAGGCATGGGGTGAAGTGTTGGGTTCTTGACCTCCTCCAGGTCAAGCAGCTTTCTCCAGCTCCTTTAATCCTAACCAACTTATTCTCTTATATATACAAATTCTTTTAAAAAAGTGTTTAGGAGGGGAAGAGCAAGATGGGGGAATAGAAGCCTAGACCATTTATCCCCCAAACCTGGCTGGAACACCAAATTTTAACAACTATCTGTACACAGAAAAGCACCATCACAAAAACCAAAAATCAGGTACCAGGTATCAGTTCAGCCACAGTGGAGTAGAACAACAAGCAAGCTCTTGGGGGTCATTGAGTCCAGGTCTAGGCTTTTGGACAGCATTTCTGGACCTGCCCTGGGTGGGGATGGGGGTGCCCACTGCCCTGAAGTGTGAGTCCAAGGGCTAGCAGCATTCACCACAAGCTGACGGAAGGGTCCTTGGGCTTTAAGTGAACATCAGTAATGGCCTGGCAGAAATCCCCATGGACTGATGGTGGAGAGGGCCGCAGGGAGAGGCTCCTCTTTCTGTGGAAAGGGGAGGGAAGAGCAGGAACTTTGTATTATGGTTTGAGTGCCAGCTTAGCCACAGTAGAATAGAACATCAGGTAAACTGCCGAGGTTTTGGACTCCAATCCCTGGCTCCCAGACAGCATCTCTGGACATGCCCAGGGCCTGGGGGAACATGTCACCCAGAAAGGAAAGGCTTTGGATAAGGCCCAGTGCTGTGCTGGCTCCAGGTCTGACCTAGTACAGCCCCAGTGGTGTGGCCTCTGGGGTGCTTGCATCATGACACCCCCTGTTCCCCATGGCTCAGCACAGAGAGAGACTTTGTATGTTTGGGAGAAAGTAAGGAAAAAGAACAAGAGCCTCTGCTTGGTAATCCAGATAATTCTTCCTGATCTTATCCAAGACTGCCAAAGCAGTACCTCTACAAGTCTGCAAAAACCATAGTGTTATCAGGTGTGGGGCCCAAGTCCTTTTGAATACTTGGAAAGCCTTCTCAAGAAGGACAGGCACAAAAAAGCCCAGACCGTGAAGACTGCAATAATACCTAATTCCTCATCCTCCAGACACCAATGAACATCTACAAGCATCAGCACCATCCAGGAAAACATAACCTCACCAAATGAACTAAATAAGGCATCAAGGATCAGTTCTAGAGAAACAGAGATATATGACCTTTCAGACAGAGAATTTAAAATAGCTGTTTTGAGGAAACTCAAAAGACATTCAAGATAACACAAAGAAACTCAGAATTTTATCAGACAAATTTAACAAAAAGATTGAAATAATTAAAAAGAATCAAGCAGAAATTCTAAAGTTGAAAAATGCAACCAACATGCTGGAGAAAGTATCAGTCTCTTAATAACAGAATTGATCAAGCAGAAGAAAGAATTATTGAACTTGAAGACAGGCTATTTGAAAATACACAGAGGAGACAAAAGAAAAATAAGAATAAAAAACATTGAAGCACACCTACGGGATTTAGAAAATAGCCTCAAAAGGGCAAATCTAAGAGTGATTGGCCTTAAAGAGGAGGTAGGGAAAGAGATAGGGGTAGAAAGTATATTCAAAGGGATAATATCAGAGAACTTTCCAAACCTAGGGAAATACATCAACATTCAAGTTCAGGAAGGTTATAGAACACCAAGCAGATTTAACCCAAAGAAGACTATCTCAAGACATTTAATAATCAAACTCCCTAAGGTCAAGGATAAAGAAAGGATCCTAAAAGCAGCAAGAGAAAAGAAACAAACAACATATAATGGAGCTCCAATATGTTTGGCAGCAGAGTTTTCAGTGGAAACCTTACAGGCCAGGAGAGAGTGGCATGACATATTTAAAATGTTGAATGAGAAAAAACCTGTACTAGAATTGTATATTTGGTGAAAATATCCTTCAAAGATGAAGAAGAAATAAAGACCTTCCCAGACAAACAAAAACTGAGGGATTTTATCAAAACTAGACCTGTCCTACAAGACGTACTAAAGGGAGTTTTGAATCTGAAAGAAAAGGGTGTTAATGAGGAAGAAGAAATCATCTGAAGGTGCAAAAATCACTGGTAATAGCATACAGAAAAACACAGAATATTGTAACACTGTAATTGTAGTGTGTCAACCTCTCTTGACTGAAGTAGAAAGACTAAATGATGAACAAATAAAAACTAATAGCTACAATAATTTTCCAAACAGTACAATAAGATATAAACAGAAATAACAAAAAGTTAAAAAGCAGGGCGGACAAAGTTAAAGTATAGAGTTTTTATTAGTTTTCTCTTTACATGTTTGTTTGCTTGTTTGTTTATACAATCAGTGTTAAGTTGTTATCAGTTTAAAATAATGTATTATAAGGTAGGATTTGTAAGCCTTATGGTAACCTTAAATCAAACAACACCAACAGATACACAAAAAAATAAAAAGCAAGAAATTAAAGTGTACCACCAGAGAAAATCAAAACAATCAAACTCATAAAGATAGAGAATAGGAGGATGGTTACCAGAGGCTGTGAAGGGTAGTAGGGGATGAGATGGTTAATGGGTACAAAAAAATCGAAAGAGTGAATAAGACCTAGTATCTAATAGCACAACAGGGGGACTATCATCAATAATAATTTAATTGTACATTTAAAAATAACTAAAAAGGTATAATTGGATTGTTTGTAACATAAAGGATAAATGCTTGAAGGGATAGATACCCAGTTTTCCACGATGTGATTATGTATTGCATGCCTATACCAAAATATCCCTGTATCCCATAAATATATACACTTACTATGTATTCACGAAAATTTAAAATAAAAAATTGAAAATTGGCCTGGCGTGGTGGCTCACGCCTGTAATTCCAGCACTTTGAGAAGCCAAGGTGGGCAGATCACCTGAGGTCAGGAGTTCGAGACCAGTCTGGCCAACATAGTGAAACCCTGTCTCTACTAAAAATACCAAAAAAAAAAAAAAATAGCTGGGCATGGTGGTGGGCACCTGTAATCTCAGCTACTTGGGAGGCTGAGGCAGGAGAATCGCTTGAACCTGGAAGGCGGAGGTTGCAATGAGCTGAGATAGTGCCACTGCACTGTAGCCTGGATGACAAAAGCAAAACTCCGTCTCAAAAAAAAAAATAATACTAATAATTAAAATAAAGAAAAAATTGTTTAATCACTCAAGTTCTACATGAAGATATTCTCATTGTAACATAAAATGATACAAAAAAATTTTAAACCGCTATTACCATTTCATGGCAATCTCTACCATTGCATAGTATGAGAATAGCCTTCCAAGCCCCCCTTCTCCATGCAACTTCATATATTTATCATATATCTGTTAAAATAGATATGTGTCAGTGTGTGTGTGTGTGTGTGTGTGTGTGTGTGCATAACAGACACGCAAAGGAAATATCATTTAGGTTAAACATGTACATATATTCAACCTAAATGATTTCATGCTGTTGTGTACTGTTCTGCAACTTGCTTTTTTTTTTTAAAAAAAACTTAATCAGATATCCCCTTTTTTTTCCTTCTTTAACTTTTATTTTAGATTCAGGGGATATATGTGCAGGTTTGCTACCTGGGTATATTACGTGATGCTGAGGTGTGGGGTACTAATGATCCCATCACCCAGATACTGAGCATAGTACTCAACAGTTAGTTATTCAACTTATCCCCCTTCCACCCTCCCCTGTGTAGTAGTCCCCAGTGTTTATTGTTGCCATCTTTATGTTCATGAGTACCTGATGTTTAGCTCCATTTATAAGTGAGAACATGCCATATTTAATTTTCTCTTCCTGTGTTAACTTGCTGCATCCATGTTGCTGCAAAGGATATCCATGTTGCTGTAAAGGACATGATTTTGTTCTTTTTTTGGCTGTGTAGTATTCCATGCTGTATATGTACTATATTTTCTTTATCTAATCCACCATTGAAGAGTACCTAGGTTGATACCATGTCTTTGCTATTGTGAATCGTGCTGTGATGAACATGCCAGTACATGTGTCTTTTTGGTAGAACAATTGTTTCCTTTTGAATATATACCCAGCAATGGGATTGCTGGGTCAAATGTTAGTTCTGTCTTAAGTTCGTTAAGAAATCTTCAAACTTATTTTCACAGTAGTTGAACTAATGTACATTCCCACCAATAGTGTATATATGTTCCCTTTTCTCCACAGCCTCACCAATATCTGGTGTTTTTGACTTTTTAATAATGGCCATTCTGATTATGTGAGATGGTCTCCCATTGCAGTTTTGATTTGCATTTCTCTGTTGATTAGTGATGAAGAACATTTTTTTCATATGTTTGTTGGCTGCTTGTATATCTTTTTTTTTTTTTTTCAGAAATGTCTGTTCTTGCCTTTTGCCCATTTCACAATGGGGTTATTTGATTTTTGCTTGTTGAATTGTTTAAGTTCCTTTTAGATTCTGAATATCAGGCCTTTGCCAGATGCATAGTTTGTGAACAATTTCTTCCATTCTGTAAGTTGTGTTTACTCTGATGATAGTTTCTTTTACTGTGCAGAAGCTCTTTAGCTTAATTAGGTCCCACTTGTCAATTTTTGTTGTTGTTGAAATTGCTTTTAAGGACTTAGTCATAAATTCTTTCCCATGGCTCATGTCCAGAATGGTATTTCCTAGATTTTCTTCTAGGATTTTTATAGTTTGAGGTCCTATATTTAACTTATACCCTTTTTTAAGTCACTATACATACACCTCTCTCATTCTCTTTTTAGTTGCTGCAAACTATTCCATAGCACAGAGGAATGAAAATCTATTTCAAACATATGTAACTTCTCCTCGGTTGATGGTTACATAGGCTGTTTTAGAATTTTACTGTTAGAAACAATAAAGCATGAATGTTCATCTTTGTATGTGCTTCTTTTGGACATACACAATTTTTTTTTTTATGATACACTCTTAGAGGTTGACTTATTGGGTTAAAAGGTACATATAGGTGCTGGGGAAAATCTTGAGGAAGGGGCTTTCTTGGTCATTTGTCGCACGATCTCTTTTTATTTGTAAACCAAATGGATTTACTAAACTGTACTAGGGAAGGCTGGCACAGCAAGACCTAGATAGTTCACGTTCAAGGGGATAATTTATATGTTTTATGACCATAAGATGAACATATGACCTCCTTTAACATCTCTAGCAATCTTTTCCCACTGGATAGCAGAATAGACAGTATGCTTCCAAGCCCTTTTCCATGTATTTGTATTATGCCTTAAGGATTTTTGCATGCTTGCTACTTTGCAATACCTCTGTCAGTAAATAAGAAGAAGCCACCTCCAGTACTCCAAATGAGAAAGAAAATATTGTTAATAGATGCCATTACTGTCTATCATCTTGTTCAAAAAGGGAGAGGTGGATCACATCAAAAGAATCAGTGACCATGTCATAGTCAAGGTGATAGACTTCATGACATCCATCTGTTCCATGGACTCAGTTCACCAGTTAAAGAGGAGAATCACCTCATTATCCAAGTGCTAAGGAACCAGAGGGGGTAATATCTGAAAACTTAATGTTATCTTGATGTTATAGTTTGAATGTGTCCCCCCAGGTTCATGTGTTAGCAAATTAATACCTAATGCAACAGCATTGGGAGGTGGGGTCTAATGGGAGGCATTTATGTCATGAGGGCTCACCATCATGAATGAATTAACGCCAATTATAAAAGGTTTGAGGCTATAAGTACAGTATTTTGCTCTGTTGCTGTCTTACTCTCACTCTCTCTTGCCCTTCTACCTTCTGCCATGAAGTGATACAGAAAGAAGACCCTTGCTAGATGCCAGCACCATGCTCTTAGACTTTCCAGCCTTTAGACCATGAGTCAATAAATTTCTGCTCTTTATAAATTACCCAGTTTCTGGCTCACCTGAGGTCAGGAGTTCAAGACCAGCCTGGTCAACATGGTGAAACCTCGTCTTTACTAAAAATACAAAAATTAGCCAGGCATGGTGGTGGGCACCTGTAATCCCAGCTACTTTGGAGACTGAGGCAGGAGAATCACTTGAACCCAAGAGGTGCAGGTTGCAGTGAGCTGAGATCACACCACTGCACTCCAGCCTGGGCGACAATAGTGAAACTACATCTCAAAAAAAATAAAATTAATTAATTAATTAATAAGTAAATTACCCAGTCTCAGGTATTCTGTTATAGCAGCAGAAATGAAATAAGACACTTGAAAACTTTCTTAAAAACCTTTCTAGCTGATACTGGCCTTTTTGAGTTCAGATCCCTTTCACTCACTGTTTCCTAGAAAGAAACTACTAATTACTGGGGATTTGGAAAGAGAATGGTACATCCTTCAAGCATTGTTCAAAACTCCTTAAAGTAATATGTTGTAAATTTTAATAGATATATTGCTAAACTGCCCTCCAAAAAGACTGCATCAATTTTTACTCCCACTAATAATTAATATCTAACATATTATCAGTCTTTTGAATTCTCATCTGTTGGGTGAAAGATGATACTTTACTATTTTAATATGCATTTCTCTGATAACCAGTGACATTATACATATTTTTAATATAATTGTTGGCCATTTGCGTCCTCTTCTATGGACTGTCTCCATATCCTTTGCTCATTTTCTAATTGGTTTTATGTGTTTTCTATAGTGACTTGTATGAGTTAATGACATATTATATAATCTTTCATTATATATTGTTAATATTTGCTTCTGGTTGCTTTGTGGCCTTTTAATTTCATTTAAGGTGTTGTTTTCACACAAAAATTTTAAAAGCTTGTGTAGTTAAATATATTAATCAATATTAATTCTTTATAGGTTTTGTAATTTTAGCTTAAGAAGGCCTTCTATAACCAAAGTTATTAACATATTCTTCATTTTTTCTAACATTTTATTGTATTTTAAGTGTGTTTTAAAAAATTCTAATATATGCTTATATTCAAACTAAAAATTCGAAGTTTTTATGTAATGAACTAGGCCTTAAATAAAACTCTTCCCAGTACCGTACACTTTAAAAATGTGGTGTAGAATATTAAGATAAACAAACAAGCAAAAACCCAATAAAACTTTTTTTCATGTTGGCCTGAGGCTGAGCTGGTGGGAAATTAAGGGAATTTTTCAGCAGCCAGGAAAAAAGTAAAAGTAAAATATGTTAGGTGGAGCCCTGATTAGGTTTACGAGCTCCTTAGTGGCCGCTGGCCTGTGTTTTAGTGAGCCCACTGCAGCAGGGATGAAGATAAAGCCGGGGCCTCAAGCAAGACAGAAGCTCACATAGGGTGCCTTGAAGGGTGGCCCTTTCAGTGAGTGTGATGATTAATTCTATGGGTCGACTTGACCATTCTGGTACCCTGGTATCAGGTTTCCAGCTCCAAAACTGAGAGAAATAAGTTTCTGTTTTTTATAAGCCACTCAGTCTATGGTACTTTGTTACAGCTGCCTGAATTGATTAAGACACTAAGGTTACTGGGTATGAGATCAATATTCAAAAGTCTTTTGCTTTTTTACACAACAGCCTAAACAGTAAGAAATTTTAATTTAAGAAAAATATATGATATTTTATTTGTTTGCTATTGCTTCATAACAAATTACCCTAAGAATTAGTTGTATCAAACAATAATAACAATTTATCATCTCATACAGGGTCAGGAATTCAGGAATGGCTTAGTTGGCTTGTCTGGTTCAGGGTCTCTTACAGGATGTCAGCCGAGGCTGCAGTCATCTGATGGCTTGACTGAGACCAGAAGATCAGCCTCTAAGATGGATCATCTACCTGGCTGGCAAATTAATCCTGGCTATTTGTGGGAGGCCTCAGTTCCTCCCCTCATGGACTTCTTTGTAGGGTAGCTCAAGTGTCCTTATAATGTGGCAGCTGGCTTCCCCCAGAGCAAGGGATCCAAGAGAGAACAAAGCAGAAACCACAGTTTCTTTTATGGCTTAGACTTAGCAGTCACACTCTGTCATTTCCATGGTTACACAGGTCAGCCCTATTCAGTGTGAGAGGAGACTTACCAGTGTGAATACCAGGAGGCAAGGATCACTGGGAGCTATTTTGGAGGCTGACTACTACAGATGCACAATAGCAACGAAAATCTAAAGATTCTCAGAAATTTAAAAAAGATTTGAAAGACATTTAGGGAAAAATTTTAAAACTATCACAATATATTAAATAAAGATAGTTATATTGTAAAATAGTTCATATTTTAAGAAGAATATAACAAAGTAAGTGGAGAAACATATCATGTATAGGAGTCATCAATATTATAAAGATATTAATTCTTCTCAATTAATCTATGGATTCCATGGAAACTTAATCCAAATCCTAACAGTTTTTGTTTTAGTGGAAATTGACTATTTCACTGTAAAATTTTCATGAACAAGTAAAAGGCTGAGAAGAAGATACTACTAAAGAAAAACAAGGGTAGTGGGTGTTGTAATGCAGATTTCAAGAATTATATAAAGTTAGCCAATTAATACAGTATGGTATTCATACAGGGATAGACAGACTCATAGAACGGACTTATAGACATAGATTCATGCATGCAAGGAAATTTGACATAGAACAGAAATGGCATTGCAGATGAATGGAGAAAGATACTAATAAAATTGATTTTCCATAGAAAAATTCAAAATCAATTCCAACTTCACACACACCATGCACAAAATTAGCTTGGTTTAAATGTGAAAGCAAATTTTAAAAACTTTTAGAAGAAAAGCCAGGAGAATATCTTTATGGCCTCAGGGTAGGGAAGGATTTCTATAAAGAAAATCACAAAAGAAGGTTGGATAAATTTGAATTCATTAAAATTAATAATTTCATTTTTCAAAGATACCATAAAAGCAGTGAAATGACAACTTACAAATTGTGAGGAGATATCTGAAACACAACCAACAAAGGATTAGTATTTAACACATACACACGACAACTCACATACATCAATAATAAAACAATGAAGAATCTAACAGAAAAATGGGCTAAAGACATGAATAGGCATTTCACAGAATGGGAAATATGAGTGGCCAACAAATATTTTAAAAATTCTCAGCCTTACAATTAGTAATCAGGAAAATGCAAACTAAAACCAAAAGATTTCACATAATTTCACATCCATTAGGATGGCAACAATTTAAAAGTTTGACAATACCATGTATTGATGAAGATATGAAGCAAGGGAACTCTTATACATTGCTTCAGAACATAAATTGGTACAACCTTTTTGGAAGACAGTTGGGATTACCTAGGAAAACTGAGTAAGTATACACCCTCTGACCCAGCATCACCTCCTGGATGTGTGTATATAATAAAGAAATTTGAAAATGTATAGTAGGGCACATGTACAAGAATATTCAGAACAGCATTATTCAGAACAGCAAAAAATCTAGAAAGGCTCTAAATATTCATTAATGGTAGGATGACTAAATAATGAAATAATATTCTAAAGTGAAAACGAATAAACTAAATCTACATGCAATATTAGGGATTACTATTAGAAATGCAATTTTGAATCAAAAAAGGAATTGTAAATGAATTCACTTACATAAATTAAAAAAACAGTCAAGTAATATATTGTATAAGGATGTGTGTGTATGTGTGTGTGTGTGGGTGTGTATCTTTTCTATATAAAAACACTAAAACCAAGAGCAGCAAATAGGTAACACTAGC
The DNA here is from genome assembly GCF_000001405.40 of Homo sapiens. Lineage (NCBI taxonomy): Eukaryota > Metazoa > Chordata > Mammalia > Primates > Hominidae > Homo > Homo sapiens. The sequence goes on from NC_000003.12 coordinate 160,663,606, forward strand.
TTCAGGTCAGTAGTTATCTCTCAGGGAAAAAGAAACGAATGCCATCATTTAAGGCCATGCAGAGGTTGTCAGTGGTACCAGTGATGTTCTATTTTTTCATCTGGGCGGTAGATGCACATTTGTGATCATTTAAAGATTTATTTCTCTTCTTTAAAATGTACATATACTTTATATAATTTCTTTCATATGTGTAATATTTTGCTTTTCCTAAGTTAAAAAATTCAAAGAATACAGATAAGTAAAAACATTTCCTTTTAACCAAGCCTCCCCTAGTGTTAACCACTCTTACCAGTTTTATGTGTACCTTTCTAAATTTGCTCTATGCACTAACATACATATATCTGGCCAGGCATGGTGGCTCACGCCTGTAATCCCAGCACTTTGGGAGGTCGAGGTGGGTGGATCACCTGAGGTCAGGAGTTCGAGAGCAGCCTGGCCAACAAGGTGAAACCCCATCTCTACTAAAAATACAAAAATTGGCCCAGCATGGTGGTGGACGCCTGTAATCCTAGTCCTTGGGAGGCTGAGACTGGAGAATCGCTTGAACCCGGGAGGTGGAGGTTGCAGTGAGCCGAGATTTCACCACTGCACTCCAGCCTGGGCAACAAGAATGAAACTCCATCTCAAAAACAAAACAAAACATACATATATCTGTAGAAGTATATAGTTTTTTTGTGAGGTGGGAGTTAACATAAATAGTATTAGACCAACAGTCTTATTTTAGAATTTGCTTTTCTCCTTAATAATACCTCTTAGCAAGCTTTACACATGAGTACATGGATATCCAGCTCATAATTTTTATGTGCTGTACAGTATTACATGATTTGGGGACATTCTTTATTTTACCTTACTTTGGGCTGTGCAATAGTAACAAGCAAACTTAGAATCTTGTTAGCTTATAACAAGAACTATTTACTTTTATGCTCGTGCTACCTGTCCACTGAGTTGACTGAAAGCTCTGTATCATACTTCCTTACTCTGGGACCAGGCTGATGGAGTAGCCACTACAGCAAACATTGCTGGTCACTATGGTGTAAAGGGAAAAGAGCTCTGAAACATCTTACATGGGCAGTTAAATGCTCTGTGTTACAAGTACATCTACTACTTCCACTCACAACTCATTGGCCCGAACCAGTTGCAGGGCACCATCTAACCGCAAGGAAGTAGGAAATGCCGTGCCACTGTGCGCCTAGGAAAGGAGCAAGCCAGATCTATTTGGTAAGTAGTACTGATGACTACCTCACCCTGTTGATGGTCTGGTTTTTGTTTTTCTTTTTGTTTTTTTAGGTTTAGACCTTTAATCTCTCCAGAGGTTTTTTTTTTTTTTTTTTTTTTTGAGACGGAGTCTCACTCTGTCACCCAGGCTGGAGTGCAGTGGCGCGATCTCGGCTCACTGCAAGCTCCGCCTCCCGCCGGTTCACACCATTCTCCTGCCTCAGCCTCAGGCGCCCACCACCACGCCCGGCTAATTTTTTGTATTTTTAGTAGAGACGGGGTTTCACCGTGTTAGCCAGGATGGTCTCGATCTCCTGACCTCGTGATCCACCCACCTCAGCCTCCCAAAGTGCTGGGATTACATGCGTGAGCCACCGCATCTGACCTAATCTCTCCAGAATTTTTTAGTGTCTGGTTCCAAATGCATAGTAAGTTTTCCCAACAGTATTGACTTAAAAGTTCCCTATTTGTTGAGAATTGTGTTTGTTTTTAAGCAATAAAGACTAAAAAACCCCAGCGGGTTAAACAAATTAGGGGTTTTATTTGTTCTTACATGAAGAATCTGAGGGGACACAGTCTGGGGATGGTGCTATGATGTCATTAAAACCCAGCCTTCTCTTGACTTGTTGCTCAGCCATCCTTAAGACATGGCTGTCTCTACCTACAAGGGAGAGCTAGAGAGATAGGGTTTTCTTAAAAAGATAAAAATAAAAAAGGACATATTACCATTACCGGAAAATGTTTGTATAATTGTGTATGTATGTGTGTGTATACGCTTGTTTCTGCACTTCCTACTCTGCTGTATTTTCTTATTGCTTATTTTTCATGATCGTTTTTAGGTTTTTTTTTCCATTTTGTTTTTGTGTCAAATTTCAAACAGCTTGTCAAGTTTTATTAGAGAACTAACTTTATGGCTTTTCTCCTTGAAGTCCTCTTCTCCCTCCTCTCAGCAAATGGCACCACCATCCTCCCAGTTCTTTAGTCAAAAAACCCTGTGAGTTATCTTAAGCTCTATCTCTCACCTTCATCTAATCCGTTAGCAAGTCCTACGGCTGCTGCCTCCAAATTATATCTTGAATCTGATCAATTCTGACTTCCTCCTTCTCTGCTACTCTAGTTCAAGCTGCTGTCATCCCAACATTACTACTGAGAGAGTCTTCTAACCAGTCCCCCTGCCTCCACATTTCCTACCCTCTCTCCCACCAGCCCATTTGCCGCACAGCAGCCTAAATGGTCCTCAGATGATGTCACTTCCCTGCTTACAACTGCCCAAGGGCTTCACAATTAAATCTAGAATCAAATGCTTCCCCATGGCCTAGAATCTCTACACATTTAGCCCTGCTAATTTACTTTATCACATTTAGCCCTGCTAATTTATCTTCCCCAATGCTCTCTCTTTCAACTAGGTTTCAACCATAGTCCCTTTATTCTGTCTCTTTAGCTGGCTATGATCATGGTTGATTCAGGGCTCTTGCTCTTCCTGTTGCTTGGAAGGCTGGGGCTTCCCAGATATTTGCATGATTGACCAATTTGCGTAATTGAGGTTTGACCTTACATGTCACCTCTTCTGGGAGGCTTTCTCTGATTCACTCTAGTTAAAATAGAGTCCCATCCCCTCCCCCACTGCAGTGCTTTTGTCAGTCTCCATCAATTATCTATTCTCCATAACACATGATCATCTGAAATTATCTTGTTTATTTGTTTATATACTTATCTTCTCTCTCCTCCCTTGCATTAGAATCTGGAGAGCAGGGACTCTGTGCTATTCACCATTATATCTCCAATGCTTAGCAACTGACTCATAATTAAATGTTATATAAAATTTGTTACCACCTGCTTTTGATTGGCCCTGAATTTAACTTACAGATTAAATTAGGAGTGAATTGGCATTTTATAATGCTATATGTCTTCCTTTATTTGATTATTTTTTTAAGGCCAGCAGTAAAATTTTATTATTTTCTCCATACAGAAACTGTGCATATATTATTGAGTTTATTCCTAGATATTTTATAGTTTTATTGCTACTGAGAATGGGGTCTTTCTCAGTTATTGTTCTCTAAGAGGAATGCTACTTATCTTTGTATGTTGATCTTGCAACTGGCCACAATGTAAATTCTGTTTGTCATCCTATTCTCTGGGTTTCTCATCTGTACATTTTCTTGCCTTTCCCTCTGACTTGGGACTCTTGGATGACTGTCTTGTATTTTTTAACTCCCTGGATGTTATTTAAATTAATATTTAGTGAAATCTTTGTGCTATAAATGTACTGATTTGTTGTTCTGGATTACAGCTAAAAGGCTAAGTCCCTCCTCTTTTCTTAGGGGAAATTATGTATTCTTTCAGTAGGCTATGTCAGATATCAGGCTATTATGAACCTGTAATGATAGGATTCTGGAGACTACTTGCAAGTAGGTGGGGTTAAAATTATCAGTAAACATCTGGGGAAATGCAAGGAGCTAATACTTTAAGCTGGGGAGAAGCTTAGATAGGTCATCAAATTGGCTGATGTTGGCCAGGTAGCTCCTGCACATGATCTAAGGAATGAAGGAACTCCTCCAAACAGAGATGGGAACTCTGTAGTTGAAACAGAGTAGGTATCAAGACTCTTCAGGGTCCTTTCTGCCCAAACTCCTAGGGAAGAAGCACATCAAGGAGGAATATTCTGCAGGAAAAGAAAGCTTCAGTCTAAGTGAAGGGCTCCCATAATCTGGACTCTTTGAAAAAGTTCCAGTCTTCCTGGAGGATAATGTGTCACCCTTTGCCCCCAATCAGGGTGACTCACCAAATGGTCCAAATCTTTCTGGAGGATAAGGTGTGTCAGCCCTTGCCCCCAATCAACATGACTCACCAGGCCCAGAATCAGCACCAATAAAACCTCCCTAGAAAGGCTCTCTTGACCTGAGACTGAGTCAGATTCTTCCACTGGACTTTCTTAGTAGCCTACTACCCTCCCAGTGCCTACTACCCTCCTGGTACCTGGCACAGGGCTTGGCTCATTGCAATTAATAAATATTTGCCTAGCTGATGGCATAAAGGTATTTTCTGAGTGGATAAATTTGATTTCTGTCAACCCATGGAATTAAAAGGTAGAATTTTTCAATACTGGATTCAAGAGAAAGTTGCATGATATGGTCCTGTTAACTTTAGTCCTTTCTTGCTTCTAGGTATTTATACTTCATACTGAGATTTCTGTGATATTTTCATGCAAAGTTATATGTATATTTTTGACTTAGCAAGTATTCAGTTAAAGGTTGGTGTACAAAAAATTGATGGGGAAACCAGAGTGAGCAATATTGAGAAGCCCATAGTCAACAACTAAGAAGTTTTCAATAGTTAACAGGGATTTATCCTGAAGGTTAGATTTTGAGGATTAGAGATGCTAATTTTGGAAAGCCTATGGCTAATGTGAATTCAGGGTACCTATTTTAGGAAGGTGCTGGAGTGGAAGAAGCCTAGTTACTAGAACTAGGTTTAACAATAGGGACTGGGACTTAGTAAAAAAGGCAACAGTCTAGTTGTTAAAATTAGGCTACCATGTTGTGATTGGATTCATGGTTAGGATGACTCTGGGCTGGATCTTAGAAAGGAGGATTGGAGCTGCTTAAGCATTTGTTGTCTTAGGTGAGGATTGAGACTACATGTAGCTTCTGAAAGAGGATCAGGTGACCTCAACTATGGGGAGGAGGGATTATAGGCTTGGAAACCATGCTGTGTCTGATACTAGCAATTGAAAATGGCAAATAGGGTTACTATGTTCCTTCCTACACTCATAGCAGACATTGTCAATTGAGCATAGCAGTCTTTTCTATGGAGCCAAGAAACAACTGTAGACTCCCTGTAGACTTTCAAAACAGTTACTAATAATAAATCTGATTTGACCTGCAAATATAAACCTACTGCCATTCCTCTGACCAATAATAAAATCACAATAGCTGCCATTTACCAAGTGCCTAACATATGCTGTATACTTGGCTGTGTTATATCTCATTTATTCCTTATAATAACCCTGAGAGACAGATAATATTATTTCCCAATTTACAGATTAAGAAGTTGAGGGTTTTTTTTTGTTTTGTTTTGTTTTTTTGAGACAGAGTCTCACTCTGTCGCCCTGGCTGGAGTGCAGTGGCGTGATCTCTGCTCACTGCAAGCTCTGCCTCCCGGGTTTCACGCCATTCTCCTGCCTCAGCCTCCCAAGTAGCTGGGACTACAGGCGCCCACCACCACGCCTGGCTAATTTTTTTGTATTTTTAGTAGAGACGGGGTTTCACCGTGCTAGCCAGGATGGTCTCGATCTCCTGACCTTGTGATCCACCCGCCTCGGCCTCCCAAAGTGCTGGGATTACCGAGTCTCACACTGTTGCCTGGGCTGGAGTGCAATGTACGATATCGGCTCGCAGCAACGTCCGCCTCCTGAGTTCACGTGATTCTCCTGCCTCTGCCTCCCGAGTAGCTGGGATACAGGCACATGCCACTATGCCCAGCTAATTTTTTGTATTTTTAGTAAAGATGGAGTTTCACTGTGTTGGCCAGGCTGGTCTCAAACTCCTGACCTCGTGATCCACCCACCTCGGCGTCCCAAAGTGCTAGGATTACAGGCGTGAGCCACAGCATCCTGCCAAGAAGTTGAGATGTTAAATAACTTGCCCAGGTTCATACAGAGAGAAAATAGTACAAATGTGATCAGAAGCCAGGACTTCCAGAGTCTTGCTTGACCAGTTCAACCTAGAAAGTTTAATGCTTCAAACCTATACCAAGCTAAATTTGAGACTCTGATTTACTTTTGGAATATTTAATTCATACCCTGAAATGTCTCATGCTAGAGTTAATTTTAGCTATGCATTTGAAATAATTGTGTGCCCAGGTTGCACTATTGGAGGTAAGAGGGATAACCAATGGAGAATAAAAGTGCAAGAGCAGAATATTTGATGAAAATAATTTTATCTCATCTGACCCTTCGTTGGTGTATCTGGAAAGCCAACCCTGAGATCTTGCAGCAATGGGACAGGGCCTGGGAGTCTGGAAGGGCTTCTCCGTCTCTTGGGTGGCCTGACTTAGTGTGTCACTGTCACTTTAAATGTCATAACATTTCTTTTTCTCTCTCACCCTACCATTCCATTTATCTCTGCTTATTCAAAATTTCCCTTTGAAATTCCTTATTAAAAACACTTGTAATCCCAGCACTTTGGGAGGCAGAGGTGGAAGAATTGCTTGAATTTAGGAGTTTGAGGCCATCCTGGGCAACATGACAAAACTCTGTCTCTACCAAGAAAACAAACAAACAAAAAACCCCAGGTGTGGTGGTGCGGCTGTAGTCCCAGCTACTTGGGAGGCTGAGGTAGGAGGATCGCTTGAATCCAGAAAGTGGAGGCTGCAGTGAGCCATGATCACACCACGGCATTTCAGCTTGGATGACAGAGACCCCGTCTCAAAAACAAAACCAAACCCAAAGCAACAACCTGTCGGCCGGGTATATTAGTACCTGGTTAATTATTTACACAAGTATTTAACTTGGTCATGTATTTTTTCATGTCCTTTATGGAAGTGAAAACTGAATCATATTAATCTATTTTTGTGGTCATTATTTTTACTTTCATGCTTATCATACAGGAAGGAATTTTTTTAAAGATAAGAAAACAAAGAGTAAGGGAATAATTTTGCTGTTTATGTGAGTTCTAGCTTTCACTAAAATAGGATTAGTTTTACTTATATACTCCTAACAAATTTAATTGGAATACATTAAAAATGGCAGGAGATTAACTTTTCTATTATGATCAAATTGACAACCGTCATATTTCTAGAAGAAACGCTGAAACTCTGAAGGCTCTTGATTATATTTTGATGCTCCTTGACCATGCTGCAAATTTGTACAGAATTATTTTACTTTTAAAGTCAATCAATGCAAACAGGAGAAAGTTGACACGAGTTCCATCTACAACCTTGTGGTTTGGAACTGGGGACAGAGATAATAGAGGCTGGTGGGAAGGAACTTGATTGCCCTCAAGAAAAGATTTACTGTTGATTCAGGTTATAGAAAATCAAAAAGTGAAAACACAAACAAAAACGAAACCCAATTTGTGAAGTGAGAAACATGTTTATCTAGGCTCTAATATGTAATAATAGGTTAATCCTTTAAAATATAATACTAATTATTCCTGAGCACTAGCATTTTACTGACCTGACCTAATCAGACAGAAAATAGGAAAGGGGAAAGAAATAAATTGAAAGGAGTTGGGGCAAAAGGAGAAAAGCAAGGGGACAGAAGGAGAGTAGGATGGTGAAGAGAGAGAAGTGAAATGACATTAACTCTAACAACCCTCACTTTTGCTGTCTATTCCCTTTGGAGTCAGCAGGAAGTCATGACAACTGTATCAAGTACATGTTATTATCCCATTATATCTTTTTAACACTTTGGTTTCTTAGTTTATCCTTTAGAAAGGCTAGAAAGGAGAATGTCAGTGAGTGATAGTGGACATATTTGAAAAGTAGCTATGCAGCCCTTGGGCTCTTTCATCCTGAAATTAGCTCAAGCTTCCTCTCGTGAAGCCAGGCAAGTCTCAGTGGCCTGTTCTAAGATGACCGTACAGCCTAATTTTCTTAGGCCTGTTTACATCTGTTTGCCGGTGTACTCATTATTAGTACCGCTTTCGCTTTCAAAACTGTCCCAGTTTGGACAGATAGAAGATGTGAGCGACCCATAATGAGCCATGCTGGCTTGACACTGACTTGCAGCCTCCTCTTAAGTCTTGTTACCTTATCTATAACAACATTCATATTGTTAGTGAGTGTTGGTCTCTTTCATTAGATTGTTAGTTCCTTGAAAATGAAGACTGTTTTGATTATATACAGACAATTGCCAGTATCTTGAGTTATATACAGACATATTACACGCTCAATAGAAATGTACTGAATAAATGAATGCAGCGTGTAAAAATTGCATATGTATGTGAACAAAGAGAAAGAAAAGTGAGACTCATAATCACATTAAGTTTTAAATGTTTTAGATTATTTAAACATTTTTAAATGCTTTTATAATAAAATATTTCTTTTCTAAAATTGGAAGACTGTATAGAGCATTTTAAAAATATTTTTAAATGTTTCAACTTTTAGTTACTTCTTAAATGGTGAACCATCAGTAATTCTGAAAACAGAATATAGACAGTGCCTGCCATTTAGTGTATACTCAATAAATGTTGAAAGAATAATCAAAGATTTATCATGAGTTTGAAGAGAGATGAGGAGCTGTAAAAAATAAAGACCTATGAGAACCATTTGGATCATTATTTCACGGAAGTGAAAAAGGAACCAATTAGGTCAATGGTGGTCAGGTTGCACAGCTGAGTTCTTTTGGGCCCTGTTGCTGCTGACTAGGTAGACACCCAGGATACTGACAGCTTCGCAGGTAGCTGGGGCCAAAGATATCTGAGTCATCTGTCCCTAAATAAATCCCCCATCTTCACCAAGGCAAAGGGGTGCAACTATTGCTCCCAAGTTCCAGATATAGCCCTCAGGCTGCCCCTCTGGTGTGTTGTCTCTCTGTTCATCTTTATCTTATTGGGGGTGGGCTGGATAAAAATGCTGGGGTGTTGGGGAAGGGGTCCCACACATGGTGACTTGTTCTCCCAATGGAATACTTTTATGGGAATTATCAAATTGTTCCTCATCTGGAAAAGGTTAAGAATCACAGGTATTTAAAAATGTTAGCTAAGACACAAAAACTGTGAGAGGAGAGGGAGAAAACTTGTATCAACCAGGGGCCAGGCTCTGTGATAATGTTTTTTTCACATTTATTTTATATAATTATGACAACTATTTAATATTTAGTGAGTGCCAGAGGCCAGATTTGAACTCACATCCAATGATCTACCAATGTGAAAGTAAAAAAAACCTTTGGTGATGTGGGTGAAAGTGTTGGTTCAGTTTGATGGAAATGGCTCTGGGAAAATCTTTGTAGATTAGGATATATCATTCTTTGCAGCTTCAAAGAATCTCAACTAGGATAAAGAGTGACTATTGTTCAGGAACAGAGCGTATTTCTCATTACTGGGTATAGAAATACATGAGGTCTTGAATTTTTACTTGCAAAAAATAAAAAAAGGAAAGTTAAAAATTAATCCTGGCCTTAGTGGAGGTTACATGAGTGTTTTCAATTTTTGGTAACTCTTTGAGCTGTATATTGATGATTTTTGCATTTTTCTATATATGTGTTATACTTCAATTTTCCAAACATTTATTTTTAAAAAGACCAAAAAAGTTATTGTAGGGAAAGTAGGGGATGTTCCAAGTCTCTGTAAGCTAAGCAATTTATACAACCACATCCTGATTCTTCCTTCTTATCTGTGAAAAATAAAGATAATGGAATAAGTTGCACCTTCTTCCAAGAGATAAGTGTCTGTATTTTTGCTTGGTCCATACATGGTTGAGCTTAGGACTTTTTGCCTCACACCTCCATGGTAAGAAATTAAAGAAAATGTTTCTTTCATTCCCATATTTTAAAACAAATTTCCTGTGACACCACAGTTAGCCTGCCAGTAACTCTCTCACAAGTCTACCTTTATTTGCGTAATCTTAGAATGATTTACAGAAAACAAATACCTTGCCTTCCCTCAAGTTTGGCTGGGACACATGAATCCATAAATGTTTTGGGACAGTAAGAAAGGATATTGAAACATTTGTAGATTCTTTCATGACAATTAGCATTGACAAAGAAATTATCTTATTTCTTTTCACAGAAGAGAATCATATTCTTATGTGGATATAATATTCATGCAGAATTTAAGCCCTCATTTGTTTGGCTATCCCGAAAACAAGGTATAATTGGTCAGATGGGAGACAATGAAGGCATATATGTATGATCATGCTCATTACAGCAAAAATATATTAAAGGATGTCCCCAATACCAACGGTAGACCTCATAAAGCACTCAAATCATTGAGTTTATTATAAAATAAATGTTTAACTTCTTTCAAAAATTTTAATTGTTGAAATATGGAGGTGAGAAAGAGCTTAAGCAGTAGTGCAGTCAAAGTCCCTAAATTCACCTTTGGAAGTACGGACTTACCCCTAAGTAAGCTGAATTATTTTCTGTATTACTATGGACTACAGTCTAATTTTATTAGCTTATTTCAATTATATTCTTTTTTTAACATGTTATTTTGAAAAATTTCAAATCTAGAGGAAAGTTAAAAAATAGTAAAATGAACATTCAATACCTCTGACCTAGAGCCACCAACTATCGCCATATTTACACACACTTCCTCCCTCCCATATACATACATATCTTTGTGTGCATGTGTTTGCTGAGCCAGTTGAAATTAACTTGCTGATATCACCCCTAAGTACTTTAGCCTGTATCTCCTTGAAACAAAATCATCTTCCTACATAACAATTGAATTATTGCCTTCAAGAAATTTATCATTGATAAATAATACCATCTAATATACAGTTCATAATCAAGTTTCCCCAATTTGAATTTTCATAATTGTTATAGTAATTTCCTTAATCACTATTATTGACACAGGATCCAATAAAAGTTTACACAATGCATTTAGTAGTCATGTATCTTTTATTTAGAACATTCTTCCCCCGATCCTTTTTTTCCTTTCTGTCTTTCATGACATGGACCTACCTTGTAGAGTCCAAGTCTGTTGTCTTGCAGCATGGCCTATAATCTAGATTTATCTTATGGTTTTATCATGATAGTTCAAAATGTTTATGGAAGAAACCCCTACTTATCCATATACAGTTGGTTTTCCACATACATCCCCATATTTTCCCATTTCTAAGACTTTGCTCTCACAGACTGTTTCTTTCATGTATGCCCTCACGTGTCTCTACAAGGCCTGGTTCAATACTTAACCTTCTCCAGGAAGATTTCTCTGACGCCTTTCATTCTGAAAGAGTCTGTGAATACCTAGAATACATTAGCCTTTCTTTTCTTGTAGCATGTATAATTTTTTGACTTTGTATGTATTTTTATTTGGTCACATATCTTTTACCTTCTCCCCAGTGAAAGTCAACTAAAGGCAAGCCTAGTTTATCTTTGTGATCTCTCTGGCATCTAGCACAGACTAGGCCATCAATATGTTTATTTCCTGAATGGTTAGATGAATAAATCAATGAACAAATCAAAACAGTATCTTTAGCCTCTGAGATATAGTGAGTTGGTTAAGAACTTAATTCTTTATAAAAGGTTACAGAATTTCTTCATACGTGTGCTTTCTGCATCTAAAATAGTCTACTTATTTTGTGTAAAAACTCTAAATAAATTTTTAGTTTTAATAAGAAAACATGTATATCACATGGTATAGCTCTTTTAAAAATCATGTTGGTAAGCGTTGAGGGAAGTCTTTCAATCTGGCAAGTTCATTCTTTAGCTTTGGGAAGTGGTCCCATATTATTTCTTGATAATTTCCTCTTGTGCATATTTTTTTTCTCTCTGGAATAAGTCCTA